>NC_000010.11:103627943-103930974 GCF_000001405.40 Homo sapiens | reverse complement strand
ATAGAGTAAGACCCTGTCTCTTAAAAAACAAAACAACAACAACAAAATGAATATATATGAATAGAATATACATCAGTAGTTAAGACGCTGGGCCACTGGATGCATTCTAAGGAGTAGGTCAACTAAAAAATGCTGCTAGAAGGTTTGTGACTATGTGACTATATTTGATTTGTAATATTTAGCGAGTCATTGAGTAGAAATATTAACATCTCTTAGGTCATGTCCCTGACATAAAAATGGAGTAGAAGTTGCTGAAACAAGGCCAAGGAAACAAGTTACAAGGAAATAAAAGATCACATCAGAAAAACTAGAAACATCAAAGGCAACAGGTTGGCTAGCAACAGCATCAGAACCACCTGGGGCTCTTACTGCAAATGCAGAGTCCCACCAGCAGAAATAACCCAATTTGGTGGCTCCAGGATTGGGACAGGAGGCCACTGGAGCCTTCCTTTTTAACAGGTTCCACAGAAGATACTAATGCAAGTGACACCAGATCTCACTCTAAGAGGCACTGCAGTGTTTCTACCATCTGCTTTCTTTTAGCCCATTGATTAATCACCAATTATGTTCTTAAGTTTTAGCAAGTTAGGTTGCCAGATAAAATACAGAACACCTAGTTAAATTCGCGTTTCAGATGAACAACAAATAGCTTTTTAGTACGTCTCATGGAACCATAAAATATTAATAATATAAAAACATAACATACTATAATAGAAATGTAATGTTAGAATATGAATGATACTGTTATAAATTAAATGATCACATCAAATAGACATAAATAAGTAATTATAATAAAATATAATAGAAGTGTTTAGTAAGAAGAAACTATTCATTGTTTACCTGAAATTCAAATGTGGCTGAACATCCTGCATTTTGATTGGCTAAATCTGCCAGCCCTGCTATCAAGGGAATTTTCAAACACACACAAAAGTAGAAAGAAAGTAGAATAGACCCACGTGTAACCATCCCTCTGCTTGAATAATTATCAAAATTTTGCTCCAGTTATTTTTTTATTGAACTTTTATGCTTATCCCCCATGCTGTGGAGAACATAGAAAAAAATGATGTTCTTAAGTAGCTTATGCTTAAGTTGGGGAACATGGTACACATTCCTGAAATAACTATTGAAGAAATAGGTGCTAAAGTATGTGATGCTGACTGTAAGTTGCACAGTTGTTTGGGGAAGGGAGCATCAGCCAATGTTGACTGGGGCGGTCTTGGCTGAGGGGAGGCGGGAGTGGAGATTGTGTTAGGCCTGATAAAGTCTGTGTAGATAAAGAGATGATTAAACAGGCTTTCTAGGTGGTAGGTGAGGTAACCAGCATAACCAGGCTGTATTCACTCTGGCTCTATAAAAAAACTCTCTTTCCATTTGAAAGCACTCACCACACCCCGACGACCCTCCACCCCACCCTCGTGCTTCACACTTTAATCATCTGGGCCCAGAGCAGCTGTCACCCATCAGGCTAATATACATCAAGCACTACTGCAAATTACATCATCAGAACCGATTAGCCCTTGAACATGTCAGCATAATAGCACTTCTATCTTCTCTGGGTGACTCGTTAATTAATCTCTGGAATATGCTGTCTTTGACATCATTGGGGAGTTAAATTTTTCCTAGATTGAAAGTAGCCCTGGGGAAAATTATAAGTTGATAAGAGAAACAAAATTCTATTCAGCCGCCCAGCTTTATGCTAATGCTCATGAAATGTCATGGCTACTTGAACCTATAGGCATGTGAAAGGAAAATAAATCTCAGTACCCCCAAATCACTAAACCAAAGGGAAAAGTCAAGCTGGGAACTGCATAGGGCAAACCTGCCTCCCATTCTACTCCTCAATAAGATAGCTACAAAGATAAAAAAGCTATATACCTCCCTTACAATCTGCCCACAAGAAAATTCCCTGCGGACAAAAGGACAGACAGAACTCAAAGCCATTCCTCTGTTCACGTAAGACAAATGCATATCTGATTGCTACCTTCGGCCTATTGTTTCACTAAGCCAGACAAAGGCCTAAGTGACTGTTCCTGTAAATTGCCGTATTCAGTGAAAGGCTCATCAGAAACTCAAAAGAATGCAACCGTTTGTCCTTTATCTACCTGTGACCTGGAAGCCCCCACCACACTTCAAGTTGTCTTGCCTTTCTGGACCAAACCAATGTACGTCTTATGTATATTGATTGATGTCCCGTGTCTTCCTAAAATGTAAAATACCAAGCTGTGCCCCAATCACCCTGGGCACATGTCTTCAGGACTCCTGGGGCCATGTCACGAGTGCATTCTTAACCTTGGCAGAATAAACTTCCTAAATTGAGTCTTGTCTCAGATATTCTTTGGTTTACAGGCACATGTTGAAAAATAAAGCAAAGTACAAAATAATGCTCTGTGTTTTCTCTGGAATCACATTAACATTTAAAATGATCAGTTTTTTTTTTTTTTTGAGACGGAGTCTCACTATGTTGCCATACTGGAGTGCAGTGGTGCGATCTCGGCTCACTGCAACCTCCGCCTCCTGGGTTCAAGGGATTCTCCCGCCTCAGTCTCCCGAGTAGCTGGGATTACAGGCACGCGCCTCCACTCCCAGCTAATTTTTGTACTTTTAGTAGAGACAGGGTTTCACCATGTTGGCCAGGATGGTCTCGATCTCCTGACCTCGTGAAAAATGATCAGTTTTTCCATACGAGTGACAAGAAGGCAAAATGTGGGGTCTTACACATTCACACACTCACTTTTTAATTCCTCTCAACTTTAAATGTAACTGTAAACACTAAGAAGAATGCAAACTTGAAAAAAATACTTTATTGAAATATAATATAGCTACAGATCAAGAAACACAAAATAACCAGTAGCCCCACAAGCCCTCTTCATGCTCCTTTGAAGTCAACACCCTTCATCAAAGGGTAATTGATTCTTTACCTCTAATAGCATAGAACAGCTTTGACTGGTTTTGTACTTTATATAAATAGAGTCATATGATATGTACTGTCTTCTGTGTTTGCCTTCTTTCATTCCACATCACATTTGAGAGATTCAAGAGAAATAGCTTTTGTAATTAATATATACTCAACATTTTAAAAATTGGAGCTGGGTGCGGTGTTTCAGGCCTATAATCCCAACATTTGGAGAGGCTGAGACGGGAGGATCACTTGCACCTAGGAGTTCAAGACCAGCCAGAGCAATATAGTGAGGCCCCCAACTCTACCAAAAAGAAAAAAAAATTGGAAAACATCCCTTTAGATTACTTTTAAAATCGTATGTATGGGCTGGGCACGGTGGCTTACATCTGTAATCCCAACACTTTGGGAGGCAGAAGTGGGCGGATCATGAGGTCAAGAGATCGAGACCATCCTGGCCAACATGGTGAAACCCCATCTCTACTAAAAATACAAAAATTAGCTGGGCATGGTGGTGGGCGCCTGTATTCCAGCTACTCAGGAGACTGAGGCAGGAGAATCGCTTGAACCCAGGAGGCAGAGGTTGCAGTGAGTCGAGATCGTGCCACTACACTCCAGCCTGGCGACAGAGCAAGACTCCATCTCAAAAAAAAAAAAAATTGTATGTATGTCTGTACACAATTTATTTGACCAAGACTATAAATTTTTATAAATGTCCTGCCTAAAAAGAAAAGTTATTTTTTCTTTTTGACATTTTCATTAATTCTTTTATCCTGGCCTATTATAATGAATATTAATCCAATTTCTCCAAAACTTAATCTTTACCCAGCTCCAAATGCCTTACAATCTTTGTAGCATTTTTATGAGAAGAGAAATATAAGAATAACACAAAGGTGTTTTCCAGCTGGTGGACCCACTAGCAGCTGGTGACCACTAGGGAGGTCGATGTGTTGCCAGCTCTGTCCCTGTAAGGACATCTGTCATCTGTCAGAGCAATACTCTGGGACTTTCTCAGAAGAGTGCATGTGCATCAAGACTTGGCTGATTGTTTCCACTCACTTAATTATAAGCCTGAGTCCAGTTAAAAAAAAAAAGGGAGTTCACCTATCACATAAACTACCAGTAATCATGGGAACTTCCAAAGTTGGCAAGACACTGTGGATTTATGACTTAAATGACCAGGAATAATGTAGAACGCCAGGCAACAGTCACATAGATTTTTATACCATAAACTCCACAAACCATGCACAGTGTTGCCCTGTGATACAGGCTTTCTAAAAAAATTCTTTGATTTTCTTAATTTTAAAAATTGTGTTAAAATACATGTAACATAAAATTTACCATCTTAACCATTTTAAGCGTACAGTTCAGTGGTATTAAGTATATCCATATTATTGTGCAATTATGACTGCCATCCATCTCCAGATCTCTTCATTTTGCAAAACTGAAACTCTGTACCCATTAATCAGTAACTCCTCATCCCCCCTACCGCAGCCCCTGACAACCATCATTCCACTTTCTTCAAGATGCAGATTTTTAAAGCACAAAACGCAAAGTTCTCTTGTGTACTCAATCCAGTCTCTTGGGACACAAATTTTCCTTAATTAAAGTCATTCTCTGCTCTCCAGAATGAACCCTAGCCCATTACCTCCTGCCCTCTTCATCTTTGCAAGGGTCATAATCCTTTGGTCAAGTTCCTGCCATTTGGACAGGAAGGATGAGCTATTTGACTCACATGAAAGGACCCAAGTAGCCCTCTTGATGCAGTGGGCAGCACTGTCAGTCTCATAAGTGTAAGGACCTAGAGGGTATCTCACCCTCAGCCATCTCTCCCTTTTATATCTGCTTCTGCTTATTCCAAGAATGAGAAGAAGCAGAAATGCGAATTGCACCCTGGTTCACCTGGGGCCTTCTGCTGACACAGGAATCTCCTTCAAAGTCCATGAGGCGGGATGGGCTGTAACTGTTATCTACAACTAGGCAATTTCTGACTTTGTTCTACAATTCAGTCCTTCACTCCTTAAATTCTTGAGCCACCTTATTCCCCCTGACCAAATGGACTTGCTGTTAACTAAAAGCTATATCACTAATAACTTCTAGTTATGGGTGACTGACAAGATCAGCAAATCATCTTGCCAAAATGCAAACATAAAACTGGACAAAACTGACCAAAACAACCATTTCAGCACTCTGAGATCAAAGACACACAACAGTCTGAAAGCAGTTATGCTTGAAAATGACTGAACTCCAGGTAAGAACAGTGAGCATCTGATGCATTTGGCCTGGGGCCTCTCTCATTCCCCTTGCTGACCCCAGCTTGGTTAATGTAGATGTTCTGTCTGGGAAGGGCAAGCTCTCAGCGCAAGCAGCACCTCTACCACAGTCAAAGGGGCTCATTCAATTTGGAGTACCCATTCCTAAAGGGAAAAATGAAGAGCACAAAAGTAATAGTTATACAGGTTATTACAAAATCATCTATGGTAATTTTTCTTCTCATTTCTTTTTTTTTTTTTTTTTTTTTGAGACGGAGTTTCACTCTTGTTGCCCAGGCTGGAGTGCAATGGCACGATCTCGGCTCACCACAACCTCTACCTCCCAGGTTCAAGCGATTCTTCTGCCTCAGGCTCCCTAGTAGCTGGGATTACAGGCATGTGCCACCATGCCCAGCTAATTTTGTATTTTTAGTAAAGGCGGGGTTTCTCCTTGTTGGTCAGGCTGGTCTTGAACTCCTGACCTCAGGTGATCCGCCCGCCTCAGCCTCCCAAAGTGCTGGGATTACAGGCATGAGCCACCACGCCCGGCCTCTCATTTCTTATCTAACTTTTTTCAAAGACATGAGATTGTATAAAGCAATAATTACAACATTGTATTGCTGTGTTTATAACATATAGATGTAATATATATGTAAATAATAGCACAAAGAAGGTGGGAGGGATAGAAGAATATTGAAGCAAAATTTTTATGTTTTTCAGGAATTTAGTATTAATCTGAAGTACATTATGATAAATAAAGACATATATTGTAATTCTTAGACTACAATCTCTGAGAAATAGCTAAAACTTTTTTCAAAATGTGGAGTAATTCAGACGTTACCCTAAAAATATTTAACACAAAAGAAAAGAAAAAAGGAAAGCAATCAAGGATTAACCGATTAATAAAAAAGAAAGTTGACATATAGAAAACAAATAGAAAAATAGCAAATATAAATCTAACCATATCAACAATTACATTAAATGTGAATGGTCTACATACCCCAATCAAAACCCAGAGATTATTAGACTGAATAAAAAGACAAGAGCCAACTATATGATATCTATAAGAGGCTTAGATTCAAAGACACAAATAGGCTGAAAGTAAGAAGATGGAAAAAGATACACCATTCAAAGAGTAACTATTAGAGGACTGAAATGGTTATATTAACAGACAAAACAGACTTTAAAACTAGAAATATTACTAGAGACAAAGAGGAACAATTTCATAACAATAAGAGTCAATACATCAGAAAGACATAACAATTAGAAATATATGTGCCTTTAACAACTAAGCTCAAAATACATAAAGTAAAACTGACACCTTTCTCAGAGATAACTCACATGAAGCAGGGGGAAAAGTTACTGTCCTCTGATTACTCCAACTCAGGGCCCCCACTTTATGCTGCTAAGTTATACAGCATTTATCATGACATATTGTAATTGTCTGTTTACTTGTTTGGCTCACCTGGAGCCTTTTTTCCTTTTGTATGCCCAGGATACAGCACTTTTTTCAGTCTGCTCAGCAGATACAGAACAGTTGACTTTTGTAATCAATTAATTAATAAGTGAATGGTATCCTAGGCAGAAGGGGAGAAGCAAAAGACAGAGTGGCATATTGTAGGAACTATAAGTTGTTCCAAATAGCTTGAGTTGTGTATTCCAATGTAAACTATTGATTGGATTTAAGTCCAGACTTATTTGGGCAAACTTTCTTCAATATTTTGAGGATGTATTCTTCAGAACAGCATTGGAGAGATGATGGTCTGAAGTGTAGGATGGCTATGAGGGACTGATGGGAGATGAGCCTGGAGAGGCCAGGCCAGGAGGAACTTGGTAGGAAATGCTAAGAGATTTGAACATTATTCTGCAGACCACATAGAGCCATTGAAATATTTCAGACAAGGGAGTAACATAGTTTAATTTGCATTTTATAAGGCTCACCTTGACAGTGGCACAGATGATGAATTGGAAGAAAGCCAGGCTAAAGGCAAAGAAACTAGTTGGAAGGTAGTGTCAGTAACCCAGGCAATAAATGACAAAAGCCTGGGCTCAGGTTATGGCAGTGGGAACAGGGAAGAGAGGCTGAGTTACGAAAACGCATTTAGAAAACAGAACTGACAGGTCTTCATGACTAATTACATTGTAGGGTGAAACAGAGGGAGGTGTCCTTGAAACATTCCAGGTTTCTGACTTCGACAAAAGGCAGGTGGTGGTGACATTCATCCTGACATTCATCCTGACTTAGAAAGGAGAAATGGGGAAGAGGTTTACTTTGAGGTATCCAGGAGAGTCTGGTTGGAAATTCACATGACAGACTCAGGAGAGTGTTCTGGGCTGGATGTGAAGAATTGAGAGTCACTAGAAGATTGTTTCCACTGAAGTCATAGGTTTGGATAAGGCCACTCAGAGAAAGTACATAGGGTAAGAAGGGAAATGAGCAGGAGATTGAACCTTGGGGAACATCAACATGTAAAAGAGATAACAGGAGAGGACACTGAGAAGGAAGAAACAGAGGCAGTAGGAGGAAAACCTAAAAGGTGAGAAAACCCATCAGGAAGCCAAGGTGGGACTGAGAGAAAATATGATCAAATCAACATCAAATACTAGTACATCAAGAAAAAAAAGATACAGAATGATAAGGAAAGAAAAGTATTCATTGAATTTGAATCTGCTAAGGTTATTGTGAGTCTTAGGAGAGCAATGTCAGTCGAGTGGTGGGCTGTGGTGGGGTGGGTTGAAGACCAAGATAAGCCAAATGATGGTGGGTTGAATTAGAGACCTACCACAGAGAAGTACAGATAGGAAGCATTTAGGACTCTTCCAAGGAGCTTTGCTTTGAAAGGAGATGAGAGTGAGCTGGAGGGCAGTAGTTAAAGGGGAGAAGGGGGTCTTCAGAGATGCTGCTTTTGGAAAGTTTGGATGATGTTAAAGAGAGCAGGAGAGCGTGCTTATGGGCCAAGGGGAAGCCAGAGAGAGAGGGAGGATGACATCATAAGGGATTGAGCCAGGTTGCTAAGGAGGCAGGAGGACAAGTGATACAGATGAGGCCCACTGCATTAGGCCCAGAAATGTTTTCTTATTCTAGTTTCTTCACCACCAATTGATGAATATCCGTAAGACACAATTTTTAGGATAGATTCAGTAAATTGGATTGAGAACACTTCTTATACATTTTTGTACCCCCCACCGTAGTATGTTAGATGTGGCAGGTATACCTACAATTCTTTTTTTTTTTTTTTGAGAGAGAGAGAGTCTTGCTCTGTTGTCCAGGCTAGGGTGCAGTGGCATGACTACAGCTCACTGCAAGTTCGGATTCCTGGGCTCAAGCGATCCTCCCACCTCAGCCTCCTGAGTAGCTGGGACTACAGGTGTACACCACCATGCCCTGCTGATATTTTTCTTTTTTGTGGAGATGGGGTTTCACTATGTTGCCCAGGCTGGTCTTGAACTCTTGGGCTCAAGCAATCCTCCCTCCTTGGCCTCTCAAAATATTGAGGTTATAGGGGTAAGCCACCACACCCAGCCTAACTACAATTTTTAAATTCATTAAATCGTTCCTCTGATGAATAATTAACAACTCCCGTTGTTTACAGGAATAAAGGTAGAAGCTAGCTCAAGACCTTCAGAATCTAACTAAAATCTTGGTCTCCAGGTGGCTTCCACTGCAGCCTCCCTCTCCAGCCAGGCTGCTGTGTTGGCTTACCCAGGAACATGACTCGCCCATCCTGCTGCCTATGCCGTGCTCCCACTCCATCACAGCATCACAGTACCCTTTTCACATAGAGTGAGACTAAGACTAAAATCCACACCAACCATGGCCTACAAGGTCCCTCGGATCTGCCTCCTGCCTATCTCTCCATTGCATATGCAACCGCTCTCCCCACACTCTCTTCTGTTCCTTGAACAGGGAAGTATTTTGCTGCCTCCACACGGTGGCCCTTGCTTTGACTGCTGCCTGAAATGCTCTTTGCTTAGCTCTGTGTGGCTGGCTTTTTAACCCTTCCGGTTTCAACCTGACGTCACTTCATCTAAGCACTGAGAACAATTTGTTTATTGTCCCTCCACTTTCCCCCTACAGAATGGAAGCTCCATAAGGGCTGGAACCCCACTGTCTTGTCTCTTTCTTACCCTCAATGTCTATTACAGTGCTTGACAAATGCCTTTAAAATATGCTTCATGAATGAAGCATGAATGAATGAACAGCTCCTCCATAATCTCAACACCCAGCTTAAATCCCACCTCCATAGTAAATATGAATAATAGCTGACATTTATTTAGTGCTTACCTTGTTCCAGTGGTTACATATATTATCTCACTTAATGAGGTCCCTCAATTTACCTCCTGTAACTCATACAGTAATTATCCATGCTACTCCTTTCATATTGAATCACAATTTAGCCTCTTACTTTGTTATTTAATATATTACAGGCATCACCCTTTTTGCTCCAGTGGCATAATTACTGCTCCTCCACAGCCCAGTGCCAAAGCACACAGAGAAAGCTCAAGATATGCTGAATGACTGAAGATGTCCCCGCCCCCCACCTGCCATCCCTGGGGTTATAATAGTAGCCTAAGAAAAATGTTGAGAGGTTGTCTTTATTATGGCAAAGATAAGCACAGTCAGACTTTAGTTAAAACAGTGAAAACACTTTACTGAATAACTATTGACAGTAGGGGAAAGAGCTGAGTTCCCTTCAGATTTATAGAGAGGTCACCGGGCTTTTTAAAGAGAAAATGAATTGGGGGACAGTGGGGCAGGGAAGAATTGCAGGTGCCTAAGAAGAGTCTGCGAAGTGAAAAAATTACAAAAAATGAGAAGAGAGGGGACCAGTCCCTGTGAGACCCATCTAGGCTTGCTAACTGGTGCTTATTGGAGTTAGGCTCCTACCCTCCAACAAAGGCTAGGAGACAAGGCCTTGCCTTCAGGTATTGGCTGGAACAAACAGTAAATTATTCTTCTTCTTTTTTTTTTTAATTATACTTTAAGTTCTAGGGTACATGTGCACAACGTGCAGGTTTGTTACTTTTGGCAGTCTTGAGTTTTCTCAGGCAGGCACTTTAAAGGGATCTAGGGTCATTCTAGGAATGTAGCCTTGAGCTGTTTGAAACTATGTAGCATTTGTTCATGTCTTTATAGGCCAAGGTTGAGGACAAATTGGGAAGAGGACTCAAGGAGACTGATTAGAGTTTGGTCAAAGAGAGAATCTTTTGTCAACTGTAAACTTCAAACAGAAAATCTAACCCACTTTGCAAGTGGACAAACTCAATTCCACCTGTAAAGGTGTAAAACATGTTTAAAACATGATAGTTTGAGTTTGAGGTATGAGATATCCAGTTCAATCCCCTCATTTTCCAGAAGAACTTGTTAAAACCTTAACTTTCTAGAAAGAATTGTCTATTCTGTCACAAATGCTTCAAAACCAAGTTCACAAGTTTCACATTGAGAAGCTATAAGAATGGGTTCCTAGCATTACATCTTAACTGCTGGGTTTTGAAATATCTGCTTTGCAGTGTTGCAGAATTCCAGAGGAGCCCTGCAGTGTTGAGGATTTTAGGAGTCCCTTCATACACGTCCAGGCGGTGGCTTGGGGAACCTGAAATCTGTGTTGATGGAGACTAAAGGGAAGAGGATCCTCCCAAATTCCTCTAAATGCTTCTGCAGTCTGGAAATTCTTTTCTACATTTCACCTTAGGTTTCAGTTACAACCTACTCCTTCAGGTTTGGGGCTCAGATCAAAAGGAACACCCTTAGACTCCAAGGAGTCCTCCCTTCATTGTAAAAGATGACATTGGGACATTCTGCTCTGCTTATACCACCTGGGTGTGGTCCTTCCCAAGGCTGGCAGTAAGCATGGAGTCCAGGAGGGCTCTTTTATCCAACACTCTACCCTTGAGCGCCATGAGCATTATTCCTGAAATCATCTCAGGCTCTGACACTTAGTAGTGATTTCCTCCTTTGGGTTTCACCCTGGAGCAGATGTGTACAGTCAGGAAAATGTCACTCAACCTGTCTCTCCCCATCTGACAGGTCAGCAGGAAGCACCTGTCCTACTGGGTGTGTTTTCTTTGCAAGGGCCTTCCTCCTATAAGAGAAGGTATCTTCTCTCTCTCTCTTTTTTTTTTTTTTTTTTTAATTGAGGCAGAGTCTCACACTGTCACCCAGGCTGGAGTGCAATGGCCCGATCTCAGCTCACTGCAACCGCTGTCTCCCAGGTTCATGCGATTCTCCTGCCTCAGCCTCCCGAGTAGCTGGGATTACAGGCGCACGCCACCACATTTGGCTATTTTTGTATTTTTAGTAGAGAGGGGGTTGGTTTCCGTATATTGGCCTGCCTGGTCTTGAACTCCTGACCTCGTGATCTGCCCGCCTCGGCCTCACAAAATGTTGGGATTACAGGTGTGAGCCACCGCGCCCAGCCAGTGTCTTCTCTTAATTAAATCTTAAACCCTACATTTCCTAGTGTTCATTGCAGTAGAATCTGGGCAATGTATTTTACCAAGGACTCTTGTTTTTGAGCTTCTTAAATGGCCGGGGAGGTAATTAAATGCCATGGGTCTAATGACACACACACTTTCCATTCCAGCGGCTCCAAGTTCCTTCTCTGATAAATAGTTTAGCAATTATCTCTTTGGCCACCACCTGCCTCCCCCGGGAATGGTCTGCCAGGGTGATCTGTACTCCCCTGCCATTTTCCAGAGTCTCTGTAAATTAGGAAGAATTCCTGACGTCTCGGGTAACGTAGCTCTTTATGGGAGTGGAACGTGGCTATCTTTCCTCACTTTAAAATAGAAATTCTGGAGACTAAGCACCATCAAGGTGGCCATGATTTACCAAAATGCCAGCTTTTCAAAGTTCTTAAGTGTACAACCTTCCAGACTGTAGACCGAACAAGGGTAAAGGAGACAAAATGTATTGTCATGATTTTGCACGGCTAGTCTCTGGCAGAGTCAAGACCTCACATTCACTCGAGGGCTCAAATTTAGATATTGACATCTCCAAGTGAAACTAGAGTCCTAAGTGTGTGAGTCAGGTCACTTACCAACTGTAAATGAACATTTAAAATATGCCACAATGCACTCGTGGCACTGCTTACTTTTTATCTGTTTTACATATCAGGAATCAAAAAGAAAAATAGTCTGATCCTGACCCAACCTCTAGGAGGCCCAGGTTCAGGGTCCCGCCACCAGCAGGAGGAGGGGTGAAAGGTGACTAGAAGAGCGGCGTTAGAACTGCAGGAATTTCAAGGTCGCCTCCTAGGCCTCAGCGGTGGAGGCTAGCACGAAGGCGGGGCTGCAGCGCTGCCTGAACCAAAAGTACGCTGCGCTGAGGCGGGGCACGGAACGGGCTGGACTTCGGCTGGATGGGGCCTAGCGGATGGTTGGGCCGCGGCGGGATGGGGCGGGGCTTCGGGCGGGATGGGGCGGGGCTTCGGGCAGGATGGGGCGTGGCCGCGGCGGGATGGGTGGGGTCTGGGTGGGATGAGGCGGGACTTCGGGAGAGATGGGGCGGAGCCGTGGCGAGGCGCTGCAGCAGAAAGGAAATGCGCTGGCGGGGAGACCGGGGTTGGTCCCTGGCGGGGCAGGGGGCGGGCTCAGGCCGGAACTCCAGAGACGACCTCAGCCAACTGCTCCTGCGCCGGGCGGGGTCGTCGCCGCCAGCGGCTCCGAGCGCCGGAAGGGCCAGGTCTCAGGGCTCCTGGAGCTGCAGGCGGCGGGAGGGGCTACAAGTGGGTCCATTTTTTAGTATCTTTTTTCCTCCTTTTCTTGGCTCATCCCCAAAAGCGGAAAGTTTAGGGCAGAGCGACAGTCAGACCCATCCACTATGCCCCAACACGTGCAGGGCTGCGAGGGCGCCCGTTCCTCCCGGGACCCCAAGCGGTTTCTGCTACGCCTGTACAGACGTATCTTCCCAGAGTGAAAGTTGATGTTTAGCCGTTCCGAAGTTGGTGCTTTGTGGGAAGGAGAACAGCGGGAGAGCCGTAAGGAACGCAGGCGTCCTGACGTGAGGAACGCCTCTTAACACGCCCCGTGGCATGGAGTTTGACAGGGCCCTGGATCCCTGCGTTCACCCCTCCTGGAGTCCTGGACGCCCACCTGGGAGCAGCGTCAGGGCCGTGCCACTTTGACCCACGTTAAACGCATTGCATCCTCATTTCTGTGTCCCATCTAGATGCTTGACTCAGTGATGCAGAACCTTTCAGAGTTAGCTGGAAGCCACAGCCCTGCCTCTTGATGCAGCCTGGATCCAGCCGGTGTGAAGAGGAGACCCCTTCCCTCTTGTGGGGTTTGGATCCTGTGTTTCTAGCCTTTGCAAAACTCTACATCAGGGATATCCTGGACATGAAGGAGTCCCGCCAGGTGCCAGGTATGTGGCTAGCCACCCTGGGATGCCCTGGGCTGCATCTGCCACCCTTTCCCAAAGTCTCAGAAAGCTGGGATTAGAGGCTTTTAGGAGAGCCTTCCCTGCTGCAGGCTTTGAAAGGGACCTAGCCTGGACCTTCGCATGAGTTCATTTATTTGCAAGGTAAAAAAAACAGTCTAAATCTTTTTTTTTTTTTTTTTTTTTTTAGTAGGTGTTTGGGGGAGTAACTTTTGTACTGGGGTTTTTACCTCCATTTAGGGTCTTTCATGCTTAAAAATGCTCATTTGTTTTTCTTTGGCCCTGCTCCTGTTGGAGAGATCGCTGGGCCAGATATTCCTAGGCCTGGCTCCTTTCCTAAATGTGCCACTTACCTGGTCCGGGCATGTGACTCACCTTCTGCAAAGTCTGGGTTTCTTTGTAAAAATGGAGCTTAACCCTGTGTAATGGAATCTTTTGATTCCTGATATGTAAAGGGGGTTTGTTTTCTTTTGAATTAAGCAGAATCAAAATATTATAAACTCCCTGAGAGGAAGAACATCATCTGTCTTGTTCACCTTTGTAATCCCAGGGCTTAGAACAGTGCCTGGCATATAGTGGGCCCTCAAATAGAAATAGCAGTTGAAGCAACAAGGCATTATACATGTAAAGTTTAAATTTTCTTTTTTTTTTTTTGTATTAGAATAGTGGCTACTAGAGATAGGCTTATCTTACCTAAAAATATAACAAGTATAGTTTGGGGTGGATTTAAATAATTCACGTAGCTGTGTAATAATTCACAAATAGCCACATGTTTACTGTGCTATTTGAGAAGTTTGGTTAAACTTTCTTTGCTATTTTGAGTGAAGCTTTCCAGTCAAGGTCCTTCTGAATAACAAACTATGAGTTAGAAGTAGTCAAGAATCTCAAGCATCCACAGTTTTAATGAGATAAGGTTTTGTTTGTTTCCAGTTAAATGTACAAATATATTTGGATGACCTTATGCTAATGCCTTTTGTACAGATTTTTCGCCACACCTTTATTTCCTAATTATTGTTGGAAATGGTCTGTGTTTTCCCTTGGAAGGCAGCCAACCTCCTCCACAGTTTTCCATTTTCCAGTCTGGTTTTCTTCATAGCTCATCTCTTCAGGAAGAAATTAATTCACACCAAATTCTAGCCTTGCTTAATGATCTTCTGCAGGTGAGAAAACAGGTACCAAGGACATGACAGGGGCTTAACTCTACCTGTAGGCAAAAGACTTTATGATGTGTTAAAAACAAACCAACAAAAACAGGACCAGTGATCTTTGATTTATCACTGGTGAGAATGTTTCCAAGGTGTTTTAAAAATGAAACCTCACGGTTAAAGCAGACATCAGCTGACAGATTGGATACTTTTAGACCTGGGGCCCCCAACCCCTGGGACCACAGACCACTACTGGTACATGGCCATTAGGAACTGGGCCACACAGCAGGAAGTGAGTGGTTGGCCAGTGAGCATTACTGCCTGAGCCCCACATCCTGTCACATCAGCAGCGGCATTACATTCTTTTAGGAGCGCAAACCTTATTGTGAACTGCACGTGTGAGGGATCTAGTTGCACACTCCTTAGGATAATCTAATGCCTCATGATCTGAGGTGGAACAGTTTCATCCCCAAACCGTTCCCCCAACCCCCATCCCCGGAAAAATTGTCTTCTACAAAACCGGTGTCAAAAAGGTTGGGGACCACTGCTTTAGACTATACCATAGTGTTCTGGGGGGTGGGGAATTCCACTCCTAGGTTTTTGTTTTGTTGTTGTGTTTGGTTCCATTTACTATAAAGGCAAAACTTTTGACTACATAAAATTTAGGATTGTTTAAACAGCAAAGAATATCTTAAACAAAATAACAAAGACAAACCCCAAAAATGATAAAATATGAAATGAATGTGTTGTGTGATAAAGAATTTCACTGACCTTTGCCCTTGGTTCCTGCAGGGTAACATCTAAATTATTATAGTTTCCTGAGTGATAGGAGCGTCATCATTATTCATGGTGCCCTCTCGAACCACACTTGAATTTATGCGAATCAGGTGGTTCATGCTGGATCCCTAGATAGTTTGGGGTGGGGCTGTCTATGCCTAAAAGACCAACTGTTCAATTAGAGAGTTGGGGGTTTTGAGCCAGATCATATCAGTCTGACCCTTTGGGAAGGGAGTGGGGCTGGAGATTGAGTTCAGTTATGTGGCCAATCATTCAGTTAATTGTGCCTACCTTATGAGACCTCAGTAAAAACTCTGGACACTGAGGGTCAGATGAGCTTCCCTAGTTGATAATCATGTGTTGGTGTGTCAGGGGGCAAGGTGTCAAGGACACAGAAGCTTTGTGTTTGTGCCCTCCCAGACCCTGCCTTAGCATCTCTTCATTTGGCTGGCCCTGATTTGGATCCTTCATGGATAAAACTATAATCATAAGTATAGCACCTTCCTGAGTCCTGTGAGTCATTCTAGCAAATTATCAAACCTGAGGGAGTGTTGGGGACCCCCAAATTTATAACCAGTTGGTCAGAAGTGCAGTTGGCCTGAGGACTCTCACAAAACTTGGGACTCATGACTCAAATGAGGGCAGTATTGTTGGGGACTGTGCCCTTCACCTGTGAAATTTAACCTATCTTTGAGTAGTTAGCATCAGAATTGCATTGCAAAATGATTGCAAAACGTCAGCTCCTCAAAATTTGAATTTAGAGTTGAACTAAGAAAAATACTGTGAAATTTGATTGTGGTGGTATTTAGATTTGTGTGGGTTCTTTTTGTTTTGTTTTGTTTTTGGGTTTTTTTTGCATTAAAAAAAAAGTATCCCAGGTACAGTGGCTCATGCCTGTAATCCCAGCACTTTGGGAGGCCAAGGCGGGAGGATCACTTGAGCCCAGAGTTCAAGACCAGCCTGGGCAACAAAGTGAGACCCCGTGTCTGAGTTTTAAAAAGCAGTACCTATGGTCCCAGTTAGTCAGGAGGCTGAGGTGGGAGAATCACTTTAGCCTGGAAGGTCAAGGCTGCAGTAAGCTGTGATTGTACCACTGCCTTCCAGTCTGGACAACAGAGCAAGACCCTGTCTCAAAAAAAAAAAAAAAAAATATATATATATATATATATATATATATATATATATATATGTATTTTTAATAATAGCTCATAACATACAGAAGTCGTATTTATTGTTTTAAATATCTCTATCCATGTCAAACTTTAATGATGGGTTAAATAATAGTGACTCTTTTATTTAAATCAGCATATAATACTTATCCTATTATTCTAGTGGGTACAATGAAGTGGAAATAATATATTCATAAGAATTATATTAAATCTGGTTGAAAAAGATTATCTTAGGTGTTTTAATGCTGTCAAACATAAATAACATAGCATCGATTAAATAACAGCAGTTAAACTAAAAAGAGAGCAATCAAAAGTACTTTTAAAAAGAGAAAACAGTCAAATGTCTTGCTGTGGTTGTGGATGTTCAGGGTTGGCTGCTTGAAATCCGAGTCAACCTGCCTGTGACCCTAGATCCCTGAACCCTTATAGCTTGACCCTCCTCCTTCTTGGGGGCCTGATGATCCAGGGGGTCCTCTGATGCTTTTAGGCCTCTGTGGGCTGCATGTGGAACAGCAGGAACACAAGGGCCTTGGGAAAGGCTGGAACATGAGCTCTGTTATCTAGTATTTGTTACCATTTTCTTTTCTTAGTTCATTAAGCTTTCTCTCAGTTGACAGAGCAGCCATCCAACTTTCCTGAGCTCTCTTCTTATAGAAGATCACTTTGATACAAGAAAATGGCTCTCTAATTCTTTTTTCCATGTCTTCAGCCATCTTTTTGTAGATGCTGTGCATCTGATACGTATAGTTCACGTTTCTATATACTTGGAGAAGTTTCTTCTTTCTAAGCAGTGTATTTCCTCCTCAGTTGCTTTTCTCTGAGTTTTAAAATTCAAACTATCTGTTATAGTCTTCTGATCTCTTTCTCCGTTGTTCTGTGATGCTTTTAAGATTTTTTTTTTTTCATCAGCCACTTGGAACTGGAAGGGTTTTGTTGCATCTTCATCTTGAGTGACTGTCCTTAAAGGCAAGTCATTGTTGTCAGTCCGTGAGATGAAAATTCACAGGGCTCACTTTTCTGTCCTTTTTCAAGAAAGTCTACTGTGTCCACAAGTGAAGACCTGTTCAGATTTTTATTAAGTGTTGCCACATACAAAGTTGATACCATTGGATGACTGGCCTCCATCACAGGTGACTTGAGTACTTCATTGGTTTGTGCCATTAGCCCAGTCTTCTCAATGCCTTTCCCCCAGACTTCAACCCAGGAAGAATACCTTTTGTTCCACTCTTCTCCCCATCTGAAAGTGTTTTTGCTCTTTATTAAAACCACGACAGTGGTATATGCTAGGATCTCCTTGGAGACCCAAAGAATCCTGGGACTTTCAGACATCACCAGCAGAGCATCCTGCTGCTTCTCAACCAACTGGAAAGACATTTCAGTGGCAGACAGCCGGCCCTCTGTGGGTCCAAACAGCTCTGCTTTCTGCCTCTGATTGCCTATGTGCTGTGGGCCACAACAGACCCTGTGGAGTGTCTGTCTCTAATACAAACAAGTACCTGGCAGCCAGGAAGGACCATCACGTAGGCCAGGGGAGCGGGGGCCAGCCCTATTCTATAAAACAGTTCTCTCTAACTTTACTCTGCTCAGTGTACAAATAGTGATATAGAGCATTTGGGGAGGCAGAAAGGGCTGAGTGCAGCCAGAGATCCTGCCTGGAGCTCAGGCCACCTGGCCCTGCAGCAAACCTAGACCACCAAAGCAGCACCATGCCTCAGCCCTGCTCTGCACACAGGCACTCCAAGGCTGAGTGGTGGGGTGTACGGCAGTAGAGGGCATCCCTGGGTGAGGCTCATTTTCCTAGTTTAAAGTTTGCTTCTGCCATAAGGAAGCCTGCCCTTGACTACACAGGACACAGGGATCTCCCTTCTCTGCAGGCTCCCTATCCTTTTGCGTTTGGTCAGTGCAGGCAGGCAGGGGCAGGGGACTGAAGATCTCATCAATGGTGTTATGGAAAAGACTAAGTTTCAATTGTGAGAACTTGGGAGAAGCCAGTTGGAACTGGCTACATCTTAAAATTTTATGGCCTGGGTGCAGTGGCTCACACCTATAATTCTAGTGCTTTGGGAGGCCAAGAGTTTGAGGCCAGCATGGGCGACAGGGAGAGACCCCATCTCTATGAAAAATTTTAAAAATTAGTTGGGCTTCTGCTTGAGACCAGGAGTTGAGACTGGAACCACTTTGTCTCCATTCAATCCAAGTTTTCCTGGATGGAGGTGACTCTCTTTTTGGGGGTGACACAGTGACCCAGGCTCCTTCCCTCCTTGTTCCTGCCATCTTCAGCTCATGCCTGCAAGGTGGTCCTGAGGACAATCTCCAACCACCAGGTTATCTCTTGAAGCGTGCCTCTGTGGAGGGAGAGGGTCTTGCTTTTGGCTAAATTTGCCACCTCTTATTTCTTAAAACCACGTCTCACTCCCTTGGTGTCTCTCTGTAACTGAGGCTTAGAAGCTCCTTGTTCATTCTTTGGACTCTTTCTCAGTCCCTTTGTCTACAAGGGAAACAGAGCCATCAGCAGAGGCCAGTCTGGGGGTTATAAGGGGCGTCGGGATTCAGGCCACAGGTCCCCCCATGAATGGACAGAATAGAAGCTGTGACTATGCTTGATGTGAGGGGAAGAATGGCCAAATGCCTGAGGTGATCATTGTTTCTTAATTTAGAATTCGTATATTTATTTTAAAAAGGACTTGACTGGGTGTGGTGGCTCCCAGCACTTTGAGACACCAAGGTGGGAGGATCGCTTGAGGCCGGGAGTTCAAGACCAGCCTGGGCAACAAAGTGAGATGCCCATGTCTAATTTAAAAAAAAGAAAAAGGAAATCACCATATGAAAGTTTATAACCTGTTTCTGAAAGTAAAGAATTTAGCCGTCATGGGGGCGGGGGGAAGAGGCTGGAAAAGAGATTGGGCAGGACTCTTTAGCTGCAGGTGACAGGAACACAGTGCGTGTAGCTTAAGGTGAAGTGGGGAGCTCGGGTTAGGTTATTGGGGGACAGGCAGAAGGGAAGACCTGCAGGAGCCAGGACAGCCCTGGGACCATCAGGGACTCCCTGCTCTGAGCAGCCCCTCTGTGTCCTGGCCCCAAGTCAGAAAAAAGCCTCTGGGTATCAGTGGGTAGGTTCCCCCTCTCAGCTTTCTCCTCTGGCAGGAAGTTGCCTGCCACCATCTGTAGCCTAGGTTTTGAAAACAGAGTTTTAAAAAGAGAAGTTTTGGGGTTGTAACCTGGCCCCAAAGGGTAGCGTTTTGTAACCTACTTACTGTTTTTTTTTAAAAAAAATGCTATTGCCAGTTCAAAGAAATCATGACTGGTTTCTTAGAAAAGCACTTGTTTGAAAAAAAAAAAAAGCCAAAGAAGCCTTTCTCATGGTTTCCTCTCTCTTTCCTTCTAGTTGCTTCAAATATAGTCCTGTGTTTGGTCCCCCAGTATAATGACTGTTTTCAGGCCCCTTGTGAGCATTCAGAACAGGGTGCATTAACCAAATCTAGTTGGACAGCGTTGGTTTTCTCCCGTCTAGTGCAAGCTTTAATGCCAAGCTTTCTACTTAGGACCTGTGAGGAAAAGACATTGGAATTTCTTGGGGCGTTGTCATTTGTCAAGGACTGATTCTTAAGTCTAGAATTTCAGCAAACAGCATGGATTGATTTTTTTACACTCCCTTCCCCCCTACAAGTTAAGATTTATTGAAGCAGAAAATGTAATCATACATTATGTCGACTTTGCTTTTTTTAAATTTTAGGTGTATTTTTGTACAATGGACATCCAATAAAACAGGTAGATGTCTTGGGAACTGTCATTGGAGTGAGAGAAAGAGATGCTTTCTACAGTTATGGAGGTAAGAACAATTGTGTCTGAAATGAAGTTGATGTAGAAGGCTGACCCTTCTGGGCTGAAAGTTGGATTTCAGCAGCCCCAGCCATTTAGAGTAGCTGGGGACCCTCACTAAGGGCATGTACTTTCTCTATGGGGTGCCCCTTATAGCCCCAGACACGGGCTAAGAATAAAATGAGGCAACGGGTAGGAATGATACTGATGAATTCAGTGAAGTGACAGCTGCTGAGGTGCTAAGAAGTGGAAGAATTAAAATACAGCCCCCTATGAGCATCGATGGACGGGCAGGGGGGCACCTGATGCCAAAGGGTATATCTGTAAATAGCAAAGCGTGGTAATATGTGGTTATGTGGATCACTTTAAAAAGCGAAGACCAGATTAATGTTAAAGTAGATTCTTTAACAACACAGGAAGATGTGAAAAATAATTTTAAAATATTTATATCCAGAACAGTTAACAAAAAGCCTTTTGATACCCAAAGGGGTAAATACCCATTATCAGAAAGTTTATTTTCCCTCATGATGGAAGCTTAATAAAGGGTTTCTATATTTTGGACACCAGAGAATTGCTCAAATGTGATTTTAGTGTAATAGGTCTTTCTTTTTTCATTGAGTTGATTTTTAAGCATTTAATACATTGCCTTGTACAACTCCAAGCTTCTCTATAATCAAGAGCCCAAGCTAGATATTTTGTGGGAAACTTAACTTTAAATTCCAAACCTTTGCTGAAATTGACATTGTCACTTTTTGTGCTGTGCCTTGGATTTGTATTCTTACTCTTCTTGAGGAAAGATAGAAGGCAGTTGAACTTTGTGACCAAGAGCGTTTCATTGGCAGTCCCTGCATGATTGATAATTTGTAGATACAATATTATTGCATTTCTTTACATGTATTCATTTTCCTGAAGAGTATTATCTTGTGCTTTTAATAAAATAACATGTGAAAAATAAAAGCTTATTTTTTCTGCTTTTTCTCAGCATATATATATGTACATATATATGTACATATATATACATATATACATATATACATATACACACACACATATATATACATATATACATATATATACATATATACATATATACATATATATACATATATATACATATATACATATATACATATATATACATATATACATATATATACATATATATATATATTTTTTTTTTTTGATTCTGAAAAGGATCATCCTGTCAGAAATTCCCATACTGAATCTCTTCTCTGCTTTATTTTACCAAAGATATTGGTCCTTTTTTTCTCCAGACAACTCAACAAATATTTACTAAGTTCCTACAGTGTATCCAGCTATGGGCAGTACACTGTGGTATATAGTACAGTGCTTCCTCTCCAAATGCCAACAACGAAATAATAGCGTCTTTCAGTTTGTAAAGCACTTTTATATGCATAATTTCATATTATTCTCCCTCTAGTCTTTTGAAACAGAAAGTACAGGTATTATTTCCATTTTGTAGATGAGAAAACTAAGGCTTAGTAACTTACTCAAGATTCCACTGATGGAGATTTGTGGGTCCATTCTGTTTACTGACTCCAGTGTGTTCTGTGGTCTCCATATAACTCAGTTTGATTTTTCTCTCCTCCTCCTTTCTTCCATCCCCCACCCACCAAAAAAAAAAAAATTAACTGCATTTGATTTTTAGTTTTCTGTTTTTCAGATCAAATAAATGAGACTGTTTGAGGACTTTAAAATCCTGGCCCTAGAACCAGGCTAGATATTAAGCCTGTGTCTAAAGGAGCTTCACTTAACCTCTTTTCCCATTATAAAAAGATTAAGGCACTATGATTGCCTCTTCTCCAGTAAGCATTTCCCTCTGAGTGAGTGTCTGAGGAGCATGAAACATCTGTGGGCTTTGGGAAAATAAAAAGCATCTGACTGCTGAAATTATTGAGAGTAGAGAGGCTTTTGCAACTTTAATTCTTGTGGAGAACTGCCCCTCTCCTTGCTGTCCTCAGGCACAATATGGCTTTTGGGCCATCTGCCAGGTGGCCGCTCCCTGCTGTTCTGGGTTCTGCTTCCCCTGACTCACCGCAGGCCTGTGCTGGGGGTGCTTCCTGCTCGCACTGACTCATCCCGCAGCTGAAACAAGGCCAGCGGCCCAGGCGGTACTGTGTAGCTGCTGAGGACATTGTGCAGCACTGCAAGGGTGCCTCCATTCAGGGGCATTCCAGCAGCCAGACCTCTGGGCACCAAGGCACAGGGTCTGCTGGGAGAGGTCACAAACTGGGAAGTCCGGGGGTTGGTGACAGTGCCCAGAGTGCACAGAACACTTGGTAGCAACTCGAGCTTAGACCTAGAATATTGGAAGGCTACAGTCAAGACCAGAATGACCTCGCATTCTCTAGGACAAATGTTCATGTGCTAATTTTTTTTTTTTTTTTGAGATGGAGTCTCGCTCTGTGGCCCACGCTGGAGTGCAGTGGTGTGATCTTGGCTCACTGCAACCCCCGCCTCCCGGGTTCAAGTGATTCTCCTGCCTCAGCCTTCTGAGTAGCTGGGACTACAGGTGCTTACCACCACACCCAGCTAATTTTTGTATTTTTAGTAGAGTTGTAGTTTCACCATGTTGGCCAGGCTGGTCTCGAACTCCTGGCCTCAAGTGATCTGCCCACCTCGGCCTCCCAAAGTGCTGAGATTACAGGCGTGAGCCACTGCTCCTGGCCTGCTAATTTTTTTTTTTTTAACTTTCTATTATACTATAAATCAAGCTTTTCACCTACAGAGAAGTGGTGTGCCTGGAAGTGCCATGCATTTTTTTAACGCAAAATGTCCTTATTCATTTTTTGGATTCTTAAAATGGTATTTACTCATTATAAAATAAAATTTCAAACTAGAGATAATTTTAATGAAGTATATAAAAATCATATGAAACACTATAAATCAGGCAAAACAATGTCAGTGTTTGGGTGAACATCCTTCCTCATTCTAAACATGTTCCCAGTATCAAAGAAATATAGAAATGCCTATTTCCTTAGTACTATTATGCATATTTATTTCTCAGTGTTTCTGAAATTAGGCTTACAGTCAACGTATACATTGAATGTGGGGTTCCTTCCCCACACTCCAAGAGAAACTGCTCTTAGTATTTAAAGTCTTAAAATCATTTCTGTCAAAATACACTGTTTAATGTTGCACATAAATTGGATTATATATTTCTATTTTACAATGAGCCATGTATATCTTTTTATTCTCATATACTACGTCATTGTAATTTTTTTAACCAATTCCATATTTATAAACATTTAGGTATTTCCAAGTGTCAGTATTATAAAGAATACTACAGTGAACAGCCTTACATAGATGTATGTATCTGTGTACTTGTTTTTGTTTTATCTGGAAGTAATTGTTAAGTCAAAGGATATATACATTTAAAAACAACTTTTTTTAAGAGGCAGGGTCTCACTGTGTTGCCCAGGCTGGAGTGCAGTGGCTATCACAGGCACAATCATAGCACACTGCAGCCCCAAACTCTTGGACTCAAGCAATCCTGCCTCAGCCCCCCAAGTAGCAGGCATGTGCCACCGCACCTGGCTTACATTTCACAATCCGATGCCTGTTTACAAACTTGCTCATTAAGATTTAAATTTTAGAAATGTGTTACTAATTTATACTCCCACTATCGACATATGAGGGTATCAGTATTTTTAATATTTGTCAATTTCATTGTTGATAAATTATGTATACTTGCTTTTCTTAATGGTAACTAGTGAACTTATACTGATGTATTTTTATTGGCCATTTTTAGATCTTCCATGAATCGCATATTCTTTTCTTTGCCACTTTTTCTCTTGTGATGTTGATCTTTTTCTTATTAATTTATATGAGCTCTTTATTTATTTTTTATTTTTTGAAACAAGGTTTCATTCTGTTGCCCAGGCTGGAGTGCAGTGGCATGATCATGGCTCACTGCAGCCTTGAACTCCTGGGCTCAAGCAATTCTCCCACCTCAGCCTCCCAAGTAGCTGGGACTACAGGCACATACCACCAAGCCTGGCTAATTTAAAAATTTTTTTTTGGTAGAGACGGGGTCTCCCTGTGTTGCCCAGGCTGGTCTCAAACTCCTAGGCTCAAGTGATCCTCCTGCCTTGGCTTCCCAAAGTGCTGGGATTATAGGCATGAGCCACCATGTCCAGCCTATGAGCTCTTTATATATTAAATCATTAACCCTATCATTTGGAATATTGCTATCCAGTATTAGTTTTTAGGTGGTTAGACTTATCAGACTTTCTTTAATGAGTTCTGATTTTAAGATTCTGCTTAAAGAAGTCTCACCCCACCCACTGTAAGTCCAGGGTTAAAGGTATTCACCCATATCTTCTTCTCATCTTAAGTTTACCTTTTTTATATTTAATAAAATGAAACCCATCTAGGATTTATTTTAGTATAGGAAGTACTCTTTTTGGCTTTTTCTTCAGCATAGATTTAGGCCAGCAGTAACAAATTTTGCCTTAGATTTCTTCAGGATTGTGTGTGCTTTTACAACAGTCTAGTTGATGATTTTTTTTTAAATTTAGAGACCCACTGACCCCATGCTTAGCAACCTCTGTTCTGAGTTTGTCGGAAATTAGGCAAAGAGAAAATGCCTGTTATTCCCTAGCAAACATCTCCAAATTCCTCTGTAGTTGTAAATATAACTGCAATGGGAATTGTTTGATTTTTTGCAAAAATGAGATAAGCCAGGAATAACATAAGCCAGACTAGTACTGTTTTTGTGGCCAGGATATAATTATTTTCTATAATGAAAATAAAACGGTGCCCTTCTGTGATGTGCTTGGCTTTCCTTACAGCCCCTGCGGTGGTGAGGACTGGGCAAAAGATCTTTCACAAAGAGAAACCCAGGCCAGATGACTTGGAACACTTTGTCTTGGGAAGTCAGCACACTAGCAAAGAGACTGTGACAGAAGGCTGCGCCCTAAGTGCCTGTGCCTCTAACCACACTCCACACGATGCTCTCTTGTTTCAGGGTGGGAGAGAAAGGCTGATTTTCTATGTGAGCAGTCATTCAGTTTTTGCACTTAACTTCCCAAGGCCACCATTTTTAGTAGAGAGGTGTAGACCAGCATCATGAGGGTACCCTTGAGGGTACTAATCGTTAGTACCTTGAGGTAGGATAAGTGAAATGCTGACCATATCCCACTGGGCTTGTGTATTACATTGACTTGTGCAGACAAGCAGTTTATACTCGTATGTAGTGAGAGGTTGTTTCAAAGGTGGAAGGAGAGTTTGATAAGGGATTTGCTTCTCCAGGCTATTGAAAGAGGTCATCTTTCAGTATGGCTGAATGCAATGACAGCATGCTAATTCACCAGCCTTGCCCAAATCTCTCTTATACCCTTTTGCTTTTCTCTTGCAGTGGATGACAGCACTGGAGTTATAAACTGCATCTGCTGGAAAAAGTTGAATACTGAGTCTGTATCAGGTAATTTTATTTGCCACATTCCTTTACTTTTCACCTAACTAATGGATTTTACTCAATGTAGTTCATCAAAACAGCTATAGGGCTAAATTTTCACATTTATCTGCTGGTGAGTTACATTGATCTACCTGAAGCACTATACCCAGAGCTTTGGCTGCTCTGAAAACTGATGCCATAGGAGAGCCAGTTGCTTTTCTTTCTCCCATCTCTTTGGTGCTCACTGCTTCCTAAGCCTACAAGAATGTGAATAGGTTACAGGGAG
The DNA here is from genome assembly GCF_000001405.40 of Homo sapiens. Lineage (NCBI taxonomy): Eukaryota > Metazoa > Chordata > Mammalia > Primates > Hominidae > Homo > Homo sapiens. The sequence continues at coordinate 103,904,831 of NC_000010.11, read as the reverse complement.
TTTCAGCAATTCATTTTTACCATGCCCATTATTACATAAGTCAAGGTGTCTTAGCCTAATTGCAAGTCAGGTCTGAATCCCCTTGTCCCAGCCATATCACTTGACCAAAGAACATTTTGAAGACTGTTTCTCTCACATGGTTGCCACTAACTTCTGTGCTGCCATGGTCCAGATTTTCTAAAATCTCTGTGTTCAAACAAATAATACCAGGAATTCTAAGACTGAGAAGGTAAGATAGGATTCCTTTGGAAATTATCCATTAAGTAATATAAATTAAAAGAACTTTAAAATTGTATAGTGAATACATTGACTATAACTGAAACAACATTTGGAGTTGCTTGAATATATTTTAATAATTTTTAGATACTTTTTTTTTTTTTTAAAGTTAGGTTCTCACTATGTTTCCAGGGCTGGTCTCAAACTCCTGGACACAAGTGATCCTCCTGCCTCAGCCTCCCAAAGTGTTAGGATTACAGGCTTGAGCCACCACACCCGGCCTAATTTTTAGATATTTTTTAATTTAAGTTCATAATATGAAAGAATATCGTGCAATATTGGTGATGGTTTTTGGTTCTAGAGAAGCTTTGAAAACTGGAACCTTGTTTTTCCTGTGTTTTACAACATATACAGTATAGTGCCATACACAGTGGGGTTATTCAGTAAACACTGCCTGCTCTAATATCTAACATCTAGTATCTATCTACTTGCATTATGTATGGTAAGAATATCTAGTGCTTAGAGTCGTTTCTTCTTTTTTGCCATTACGTGTCAGAATCTCAACTTTGTACTTTGACTATACCGATCAATGGAATGCTCATTTGCTTAATTTTCTGATGTATTTACATTTAGAATTTGGCCATCAGTTTCATGTAACTTTGGAATTCTAATTCCTAATTTGGGAACATCTAAATCAATGGCATTGCTTTGGTGAGGAAGGTTTGTAGATAGATTTAAGGGAGACAACGTGTTTTTAGGCAGATACCTCATAGGCAAGAAATAAACCTATGAGACAATCAGGTATCTGGATTTTTATGTATGTCTGAGGTGTTTTTCTTAATCTGTTTTGTGCTGCTGTTACAGAATACCTAAGACTGGGTAATTTTATAAAGAAAGAAATTTATTTCTCATAGTTCTGGAGGCCAGAAATTCCAAGATCAAAGTTTTGGTGTCTGGTGAGGTCCGGGTTTCCCCTCCAAGATGGCACCTTGAATGCTTCATCCTCCAGAGGGGAGGAGAACTGTTCCTCACATGGCAGAAGAGCGTGAGAATGAGAACCACTTCTGCAAACCCATTTTATAGTGGCCTTAATTCATTCATGAGAGTGGAGCTCTCATAACCTAAACACCTCCCATTAGACCCCATCTTCTAACACTGTTGCATTGGGGGTTAAATTTCTAACACATGAGATTTTGAGGGGACAAAAACATTGAAACTTGTTTTTGTCAAACTGTAGCAGTATTAAAATCATTTGCAGATTTTTGGTTGTTGTCACAATCTTCAGTCAGAAGGTGTAGTTTGAATATGCGTACTTGTTCTAGATGGGGAGTCAGCAAAGTTTTTCTGTAAAGGGCCATATTTTCTGTTTGTGCACCCTATGGTCTGTGTGTCTCAACTATTCAACGCTGCCATTATAACAGAAAGTAACCATAGGTAGTACATAAGCAAATGGGCATGGCTGTGTTCCAATAAAACTTTATTTTAAAAAACAGGCTGTGGATGGATTTGGTCCATGGGCTATAGTTTGCAGACCCCTGTTTTAGTCATTGTTTCAGTTTTCAAAATTAACTCTTTTTAAAGAAATAGCATCATCAGGAATATATAATTCTTATACTTCGTAATTTTTTAGATCAACAAAATGGGTATTAATACTGAGAGTCAGATTTTTAAAATATCAATAAGTAGATGAATGGATGAACAATCACAGTAGGTAGCCTTAAGATTGCTTTGCAAATATAACGAGAAGGTAAGAGTAGAAGGAGAAAACCTAAAAATGATTCTCATCGTCTTTAAATTGTTCCCAACTAGCCCATTCTCTCCTTTTAATTTAATTGCCCTTAGTTTAAAAGCTTTCCATTGGAAGGTGGCCAGCAAAGACTAATTTTTTAAACAAAATTTAGTCTGAGTCAAAATCATGTTCCACTCAGTTAAAGTAAAAGAATATAATATTAGCTTTCATAAATGTCACATTGAATGTACCATTTGGACTTAGCTTATGAGCAAAGTTAAGATTTCCTGGCCCTGAGTATTCGAATGTTAAAGGGGATTTATCTTTCATGATGGAATAGACACTGAAAGTGAAGTTCTGTCAGGCTCCAGTCTTCTCATTATATTCATTTAATTACACAGCTTGAGCCTCCTTTTGGCAACTTGGCTCACCCTTTAAGTGAAAGGTGGGCCTCTTTTTCTCAGACCAACCATCAGTCTGATCATTTCAGTGGTGCTATGTGAAGCATTTATTATCACCTATAATGTCTGCATAATGACAATGAGATTTATAAATACCTTTAAAATTCAGCCTAAGTAGAAGAGGGCCTGGGGATAGGAACTGCTACTTTTGAAAAAGTAGCAGTTGGGGATTTTTTGAAGAAACCCAGTAAGCTCTGAGCAGCGGTAATGCTGATTGCGTCCAGGTTCCTACCTGGACTCACTGAATGCACAGAGTTCTCTGTGCTCCCTATGTTGCTGTTTCCCTGGGTATAGTAGGTGTGTTCAAGGAAAATTAATGCCTCTGTACATTACAGAGCCACAGTTGTCAAAATTATATTAGGTTGATTTTGATGAAGGGTTTCTCTATAAAGAAATACAGAGAGTAGATCATCTTGTGTAAAAACACAGCCTCTCCTGCAATTTAAAAGCAAAATAAGATGTACGGAATAATTATGTATTTTTTAAGGTATTAAAAATCCAAATGACTGAAGCTGGTGTAGGAGTTGTGAGCCTGCATGCATTACTGACAATGTTGTCTAAAAACAGAGAGATTTGATCATTTTTTTCTGGCAAGCATTCTGACAATATGTAATGAACTGTAAACCAGTTTGTAATTTTTTATCCAGTAATAATCTCCAAAGAAAGACCCCCAAAAAACAAGATACTTTTTCTGGAAGGTTTAATTATTCATTATCACAAATAGCTTACATTTATTATTTCCTATAAATATGGAATTGTGCTAAGTGCAGAATGTAAGTGTTCAATTAGATAATGCACAACAACTCTATGTATGAGGTAGACTCTACTGTTATATCCATTTCATAATTGAGGAAACCGAAGCGTAAGTGTAGAAAGGAAACAGGCACAGTGAGGTTAAGCAGGTTAAGCAGCCTGCCCAAGATTACACAGCTAGTAGGAGGTAAACTGAGATTCACGTCAGGTCTTTCTGACTCCAGTAGCCAAAATGCCGATGGCTGAGCTATACTGCCCCCATACAGTGCTAGTGAAAAAAACGAAAGTAAAAATTTATAAAACTGTACCTATAATCCCAGCTACTCAAGAGACTGAGGTGGGAGGATTGCTTGAGGCCAGGAGTTCAATTCCAGCCTGGGCAACATAGTGAGACCCTGTCTCTAATAAACATAAAATGCTTGGCTGTGTAGCTTCTTTGGATACATATGTGTATTTGAAATTATGCTAGACAGGAAAACAGAATACATAGTCTTTTACACCCACCAGCCGTAACTGGGAAATGTGAGTATCTTCCTGGGGCAGGCAGCAGAGAATAAAGGATAAGTGGGATGGCTCTGGAGCTAGAGACTGCCTGGGTTCAAACTCCAGCCTTGTCTCTAACTAGCTGTTCTACTTTGGGCAAGTTGCTTGACCTCTCTGTGACTCAGTTTCCTCTCTAAAATGGGACTAATAATGAGCAGGAGTGGTTGTGAGGACTAAATGTGCTAATACATTGTAAACTCCTTAGAACAGCATCTATAGTACCCAGACATTCGTGACGATTCTTCTTACTTAACTAATACAATTTGGAAGTAAAATAGTGATAGAAGTTATTTAGAATTGAGTGTACATTGGGTTTTTTTCATTATAAAGTTGCTCGAGTTTATAGTTTTAAGTGGTATGAGAGAGAGAAAGTGGAGAAAGTGTGAGAGAGAGAGAGAGTGTGTGTGTGTGTGTGTGAGAGAGAGAGAGAGAGACAGAGAGATTAGCCTAGTTTCCCAACAGAGATGAGAGGTGAGAAATTGGGATGTTGAGCACTCAGATGGGACAAGTCTCCTCGCAAGGACATTTGAAAGGTTGTTTAAAGCTATTGCTGCCACGCCCAGCTGAACTCATTGTACAGAATTTGTCTCAAGGCCATGCAGAGCCCTTTGACTGCACTGGTGATGCAGGGCAGGAAAGAAGGCCCTGGAGCCTGTCGGAACTTGCCCGCTGGACCTCAGTCTAGACTCCGTTCCTTTCACCCCGCTCTTGAATAATTACAGTTTATACCTTGTTCTCAGTGGAGTACTCCAAAAGGTTATGTGGATTTCCAACAGTAGAACAATTACTCAGAAGTAGAATAAATAAGCATATTGTGTTGGTCTTACCCTAAAACTGTCTCACAGATGTGGTAGAGTGATTGTGTTATAACTTTTTCTCTTTCCCTCTGGCTCTAAACAACTACAGCTGCTCCAAGTGCAGCAAGAGAGCTCAGCTTAACCTCACAACTTAAGAAGCTACAAGAGACCATTGAGCAGAAAACAAAGATAGAGATCGGGGACACGATCCGAGTCAGAGGCAGTATCCGCACATACAGAGAAGAGCGAGAGATTCATGCCACCACTTACTGTAAGCACAAGATATTTCTACCAAATTGGTGGTTTTTCTGGATGTGCGTCCAGTAAACCTCTTGTTCAGCTGGAAGTCAAACTTTCAAAAAGTTCAGTTAAGGTATAACTCTATTTAATGAGTGAATTACATTGTTTAACATGCTTTCTTTAGAAAATCAGCATTTCTTACTTTTATTTTGAAGACAGCTAATTATAAGTTGGGAAAGAAAATGAATTATTTACTTTATATATGGTTGGCAAGTTTATTTGGATGACATAGTAGAGTTTCCAAAGCACTTTCAAGTTCAGAATGTCAATCCATTAGGGCAAAATATGAATATTCTTCAAAATAATGGAAATTTCTTTATTTTTTCTTTATTTTTTTTCTTTTTTTGAGACAGAGTCTTACACTGTTGCCCAGGGTGGAATGCAGTGGCACAGTCACAGCCCAATGCAGCCTCAAATTCCTGGGCTCAGGAGATTCTCCCACCTCAGCCTTCTGAGTAGCTGGAACTACAGGCATGCGCCACCACACCCAGCTAATTTTTTGTAGAGATGGGGTTTCGCCATGTTGTCCAGGCTGGTCTCAAATTTCTGAGCTCAAGAGATCCGCCCACCTCAGCCTCCCAGAGTGCTGGGATTACAGCCGTGTGCCACTGTGCCTGGCCAGAAATTTCTTGAATACCATTAAGTCCATTAACTTTAAATGAAAACAGCTAATCAGAAATATGACAGTTCCCCATCATCTTCCCTTTGCACGTGCTGGCTGGTTTTCAGTTGGAAATCTCAAGGACAGCCCCTGCTGTCCACCAGAGGAGCAGACGAATCAATACATTGATGTGCTTTCCTGGTTCCTTGGCCCTGGCCAAGCCCATGACACTTAGGGCATCGCATTCCCTCATGCAGGATGACTGGGAGCCATTTAGTGCATCTAGACTGTGATCCCTGGGCACTCACAAGGAAGGAGGCCCACCCAGCACCTCATTTACTGTTGTCTTAGCAGCAGTTTGGGCCTGGGAAAGAATTGATCTCAATGTAATTTGTAATTTCTGTAGCATCTTTTTTCTGGTCACTTGTTAGATAAAGTGGACGACCCAGTGTGGAACATTCAAATTGCAAGGATGCTTGAGCTGCCCACTATCTACAGGAAAGTTTATGACCAGCCTTTTCACAGCTCAGCCCTAGAGAAAGAAGAGGCACTAAGGTAAGTGGTGACTTATCACTGCTGAGCACGTGACCACGGCAGAAAACTGAAGCAGCTGAGCCCAGATGCTGGGATCGGCCTAGGTTCAAATCCCGAATCATCCACCTATGCACTGTGGGGCTCTGGGCAAGCCCTCTAACCCTCTCTATGCTTCAATTTCCTCAACTGTAACATGAAGAGAATAATAGCACAGATGTCCTAGGGTTGTCGTGAGGAAATTATGGGTGTAATTGGAGTCACTGAAGGAGGAGTGGAGGCAGGAGCAGAGAAAAACACTTGGAAGAAATAATAATGCCTGACATTTTTCCAAGTTTGATAAAAACTTTAAACTCACAGATCCAGGAAGCTCAATGAACCCCAAGGCAAGAAACCTGAAGAAAAATGCACCAAGTCACCTCATAATCAAAATATGATACCATAGCACGTCATAATCAAAAACCTGTTTTAAAAAAACCTGCACCGGTCATTCTCAACCAGGGATGATTTTACTTTTTTATAGGGGAGAAAACCCAGGAGGAATGAGAATGTGTGCATATTTGCTAATATGTGCATAAAAGAACTCTGAGAGGAGACACAGAGAACCGGTAACAGCAGCTCCCTCGGGGGTGGGGACCGGAGGATAGGACAGGAAGGGGACAGAAAGGAGACTTTACTGTGTATCCTTTAATGTTTTTTAACATGAATATATTATATATTCAAAAAAGTATATTAAAAGCACAACTATAGACTCATATAAAAAGTGAAAATTCTCCATTTTCCTGTCTCCTGCCTCAGGACCATTCCCCAGAGATTACCAATGTTCATAAGCCAATGTGTGTCTTTTTAAATTAGTTTCTTCTGTGCTTACACAAGCATGAATATTCACCCATAGATTTTGTGGGTTTCCATTTTTTTTATATAAAAATAGGACCATACCTTACATGCTGTTCTGCAGTTTGACTTTTTTCTCCTAATCTGTCATGAATATCTTAGTTCCTGTAGTTCTGCCTCATCATTTTAAACAACCACATGATGTTCCCTGTATATATTACTCTGTATATGAAAAACAAACTCCAATATAGTGTTGCATTTTCTAGCTAATTTTCTGGTTTTTATACACCAAAAAGGAACAAAGGTGATGGTTTTCTGCAGAGCTCTTTAAAACTTTCCCTCCGCAGCAATCCAGGCGCCCTGGACCTCCCCAGTCTCACGAGTTTGCTGAGTGAAAAAGCCAAAGAATTCCTCATGGAGAACAGAGTGCAGAGCTTTTACCAGCAGGAGCTGGAAATGGTGGAGTCTTTGCTGTCCCTTGCCAATCAGCCTGTGATTCACAGTGCCTCCTCCGACCAAGTGAGTGCAGCATGCCCATGTGAGAATTCTGGTTCCCTGCCCCAGATCTGCAACTGCAGGTGTGGGTGAAAGTGACTGTGGCATGAAGATTCACAGAGTTGACCCAGGGAACGGAGGGAATGGTTCTGTCACACATTATTTCTATTCTGGAAAGGTCATTGACTACTAAGAACTTGAAATGAGGCATAAGGCTGGACCTGCCCCTTCTTCCTCCTTACCTAATCTTTTTTTTTTCGGAGACAGAGTCTCACTCTGTCGCCCAGGCTGGTGCTTCTCCTGCCTTGGCCTCACAAGTAACTGGGACCACAGGCATGTGCCATCACGCCTGGCTAACCAAGATAACTTTTTCTAAGAGGAATAAAAAATTAAAGAATAAAAAATTACTTAAGTGTTCCTTGAAATTTTACTTACAAATGAGTCTGAATACAACTCGGTCTTTATTTAAACTCCTAAAACACAATGGGTTAATCTTATTCTGAAAAAGACAGAGCAAGTCATTAAAAACCATGGTTCAAGTTCGCGAATCATTTTGCTGATGAATAAATCATCTTGGATGGATAATTACCTCCTCTCATCTACTTCCCTGTCACTTGGCTTCTGCTGAGATTAAACATCCATCTCAATGAATACTAACAACCTACTACTATGGACCTTAGACTATTATTATTTTTTTCTACTCAAATATTAAGCATAATAAGATTAAGTAACGAGGGGCCAGGCGCAGTGGCTCACGCCTGTAATCCCAGCATTTTGGGAGGTCAAGGTGGGCAGATCACTTGAGGCCAGGAGTTCAAGACCAGCCTAGCCAAAATGGTGAAATCTTGTCTCTACTAAAAATACAAAAATTAGACAGGGTCTCACTCTGGGTGACCCTGACCCCTGACTGTCACCCGGAGTGAGACCTTGTCCCAACAAAAAAAAAAGAAAAAGTTATCTCCATGTTTTTACCCCTAGTTTTATTTGGGTAACTTGTTTTGTTGCTTGGTGTTGACGTATTGCTTGGAATTAAGAATTATTTGAGACATTGATTTTAGGCTTTCCCTTTCATTGCAGTTCTTAGGTTTGTTGTTGTTGTAACGTGACTCATTTATTTACTTTCTTTATCCCACCAGGGAATGATCTCAGCTTAAATGTCCCTCCTTGCCCTCCCTGGCCGTCTAGCTGCTCTGATTGCCACGTGGCCCCTCACCCTTACACCCTGTTTTTGTATCTGACGTCACTGGTCTTTATTTGTTTGCTTGCCTATTCCTCCATCAGAATTTAAGTTCTGTGAGAGCAGAGGACTTGTCTGTCTTATTCTTTGCTCTCTACCCAGGGCCTAGAACGGGGCTGGCATAAAGCAGGTTCTCACTCATTATTTGCTGATTGAAGGAATGAATGATTTTTAAAAATTCAAATTGTCCCACAAAGTGTAAAGGTAAAGGTCAGTTTCTTTCCCATCCTCCCTCTCACTCCCTTTCCCCTGAGACAAGCACCAGTACTAGTGTCTGGAATATCATTCTGGAGATAGTCTGTGCTTGTGTGTACTCTAAGTCACTGTAGCCCCTTCTGTTTCACACAGATGGTAGCATGGCGTAGTATACTATGAGACACCACACTTTTCATTGACGTATGTCTCACAGATTCTTTCCTAGCCGTACATATAGGTTGGCCCCTACAGTCTTTGTCACATGTACCATCATGTATATGACCAGTCTGTCCATTCCTGGACTGTTTAGATGTTTTCTGATCTCTTGCCATCACCAACAAGGCTGCTGTGAACACCCTTGCTAGGTAACATAAGTTCTTGATTTTGGTGGAACAGATACTGAGTCACATCCTGACTTCCTGGGCATGACCACTGCTTCTCAGTTTTGTTTGTGCTCCTAATTATCTCTTCTGGGCAACAGCCTGATGTGCCCAGTGACCCATGGTTTCATACGAGGAGATGAGGGATATCGTTTCAGAAAACACCAAAGTGGAAAGGGTCACGACTGGCTGCTTTGTTCTTTGCCAAGGTTGCTTCTAAACAGTTGCAGCGCTCCAGCTGTCGGCTGACAGCAAGATTGACCTTCTTCCCACTTAATCATTTAGAGGCGGCTCAAAGCCAAATTGACCTCCTAGGACTTCTGATGATTCTATCAGCATGTTTGGATAGAAACTTTAAAGCTTAGCGAAGACCATATTTTTCACATGAAGCCAGCTCTTCCGTGATAGCTATAATTAAGTAGAGAGAGAGACTTAAGGACTCTTTGAGGACTAAAAGACTCCTCCATTCAAAATGATCTGTGGGGAACCTTTGGCATATCTTTTTGAAAATGCTTACAGCAGAAACTTGTGTCTGCCTGGTGCTATATGTTTAAAAAGAATCGAATATGGCACTATATTTGTTTTGTCTTTGGAAACTCTTTTTTCTATCAATTATGAATTAGTCCCTCACATTGCTCTGGTTGGGGAGGTCAGTGTGATTAAACTGAGTTCTGTTTAATAGATTCCTGGGAGACTAAAGGTGCTTTACAATGAGACTGAAACCCTAGATCCTTTGGCACTTTCTGTTGTCATACAGATGAAAGCTTAACAGAAAAAATCATTGTGATGGTGTTATAGTTTAGAGGCAGAGAGAGAGCAGGCTTGAATGTTTCCTCCTTTTTTTCATAGTGGTCCTTCTTAGCAAATCCAGAAACATGATAAGCAGGGCCTGCAAAACCATTGTTTCTTTGACAGCTGGATGAATGTTGAGTTTGTTTGGGAATGAAGACTATATATATTTCAGGGATCCACCCAGTTCCTGACCTGAGATGAGGCGAGGCTTGGTAAAGCTCAGCACGTTTAGCTAGTGACTGTTTTTTTTTGTTTGTTTGGTTTTTTTTTTTTTTTGCCTGTGAGCAATTTCGGTTTCCTAAATCTGATGAGTCTGTCATTGCTTTTTTGAAAAAGACAAGAAAGACACAGATCCCAGTCCAGGAAAAGCTGCTGGCTGGAAGAGACGATTAGTGGCTTTACCCTTGAGACTATGGTCTTTATAACTAGGCCAGGGAAATATGTCCCAGGGTCAGCTGAGGCAAATGTTTTTGGAAAGGAAGCTTCAAGTATTGTTTATATTTACAGAGAGCCATTTCTGTTGAGTCCTTGCTCACAGCTGAAACTGTGTTTTTAATCTCCTAGGCCTAGCATTGTCTCTTCCTGCTGCTTGATCTGACTGAAATCTGGGAGGGGGAACTAGGCTTTTTATATGGTTTGGGGATAACCAAGAGTCATTTTTAAAGACAGGAATAATCATGTAATACTCATCTCTAGTTAGTTTCCAATTTATTTCTATCTTGCTAAGAGATGTAATAAACCTAACCTTTAGGATCCTTATGTTAAATTGACTAAAGAAGATAGATCTCCTTAGAATTATAAAGATTAAGTAGTTATGAAGGTTTGCAAAGGAGTCTATGTTGCACTGATGGTGCATCCCCTAAGAGCACTCATGTATGAAATTAAAAACAGTTTTGCCCTAAGCCTCGTGAATAAAAAGATGTGTGGCTGAGGATTGCTAGGTGTGGTGTTTATTCTAAACACACCCAGAGAGGTTTTCTGCCTGTGGGAGTTGTCAAATATTTCTCAGCCTTATTCTCCCTTCTGAATGGAAGCTGTCATAACCTGGAATGTTTGTCGGTTTGGGGGCTCTAATGACAAGGTTCTCCAGCTTGTTCTTTTAAGGAAAAACTTAGACTGATAATTCAATTAGTGTGTTAGGCTGTTATTGTTAGCCCAGGAGAACACATTTGTGAAACATCACCAGGATCTATTAGAGTAACAGAAAGCCTGTTTGGGAGGTCTCTTCTAGAAAGAGAAGGTTACTTTGGGACGGACTTGTGAACACTTGAGACCCTGTGGAGGCTCTTTCCTCTCCCCTTGAGGAAATGTCATTAGCAAATCTCAGCCACTCTTTTTCAGCACCTCTGGGTGCTGCCCCACATAGGCTTTGTAAGTACCTTTCAATAGAGGTAGGACTTGGCCTTCAAATGCTTTTCTGGAAGCTTTGCCACATTTGTTTGGAACTCTGATCTTTTCAATATCTTGACAAATTTCTGTCACATTGAAAATGGATCTGTAGGCTGGGCACGGTGGCTCACACCTGTAATCCCAGCACTTTGAGAGGCCGAGGCGGGTGGATCACGAGGTCGGGAGATCGAGACCATCCTGGCTAACATGGTGAAACCCTGTCTCTACTAAAAATACAAAAAATTAGCTGGGCATGGTGGCAGGCGCCTGTAGTCCCAGCTACTCGGGAGGCTGAGGCAGGAGAATGGCATGAATCCAGGAGGTGGAGCTTGCAGTGAGCTGAGATCGCGCCACTGCACTCCAGCCTGGGCGACAGAGACTCTGTCTCAAAAAAAAAAAGGATCTGTACTTTGAAGAGCAATTGTTGTTCGCCCTTTTCTTTGTTTTAGGAAGGAGTGGAAAATCCCCAATGGAATAATAAGAAGAATACACACACTCTAATGTGTATTTGTTTCCATTCATCTCACAGATACTTTATCAGTCACCTAACGTGTGCTAGGGAGGAGGTGGCCAAGATGAAACAAAGTCCCTGACTCAAGAAGCATCCCATCTGGTCAAGCATGGGGGGACATAGCTGATAGCCTAGCTTCCTCGGGGATAAGAAGCAGGATGACCTGGATGACCCTCCCCAGGCAAACGTGTCTCCAGAGAAGTGAAGAGACACTGAAAGTGAGGGGGAGAGCTGACAGCAGCAGAGGTCCCTTCTAGGTGGGGACTGTGCTTCACCAGGACTGCTGTCTACCTTCAGCCTTGTGGACTCCCCTTGGTGGATCTCTGCACAGCCTCTGTTGTCCTCCATTTAAAATAATGAGGCTATTTAATACTTCATGCTGGAATCCCCAAATTATTCCAACATACAAAAAATCTTTGAAGTCCCTAGGAAGAGATTGTATACAGCCTCAATTTTAATGGAAAAGGGGGCTAATATATATATACAGTGTTTTGGTTTTGTATAAAAAATAAGTCAAAGATTGTCCAACAGTGAGGGTAGCTTTTTTTATTCTGCACTATGGAGTGTTGAGTTCATTAAAAAAAAAAAAATCACAACTAAGGTAGGGAACAGTTATGAAAGGTGACCTGCCGGGGCACACTTCTCAGTCCTCCTTAAATACCATCCTGCTAGGCCGGTACATACCAGGATCTTTTTGACTCAGCAGTTAAAAGGCCTGTTGGACAAATTCATGAACCAGTTGGTCTAGGAGTTGTTCTCAGGTGCCGTAAGGTGAGACTTATTTCTTTTCTTTTTTCTTTTTCCTCTCTTTACAGGTGAATTTTAAGAAGGACACCACTTCCAAGGCAATTCATAGTATATTTAAGAATGCTATACAACTGCTGCAGGAAAAAGGACTTGTTTTCCAGAAAGATGATGGTTTTGATAACCTATACTATGTAAGACACTTGCAACTTAACTTTTTTTCTTTGTAGCTTCAATTACAAATATATTTATTACTTATGAATAACCACTTAATTATTCTTAAAAATCATTAAGGAGGTACATAAAATCAGAAGTGAAAGTTGGCCCTTATCCTTCCCCGAGGTATCTCTTTTAATAATACAGTTGACCCATGAACCACACAAGTTTGAATTGCATGGGTCTACTTATATGCAGACTTTTTCAACCAAATGCAGATGGAAAGTACAGTATTTGCAGATGTGAAACCCACATATGAGGGCTAACTTTTTGTACATGCAGGTTTCACAGAGCCAACTTCAGGACTTGAGTGTGTGTGGATTTTGGTATACCTGAGGGTCCTGGAACTGATCCACTGAGTATACCGAGAGATAACTGTATATCCTTCTAGACATTTATCTGTACATTTACAGATGCATACATATACAAATGTGCTCCTGTGGCTTTTTCATTGTTTCCAATCCCTGACTTATGCAAGAACCTTTTTGCTTTATAAAAAATGTGATCATCTTCTAAATTGACACTTCTCAATCTGAACACTATTTGGGGTAGGTGATCGATTGCCATGGGAACTATCCTGTGCATTGCAGGATATTTAGCAGCATGCCTGACCTTCACCTACTAGAGACCAGGAGCAACACCCCAACTGTGGCAACCAAAAATGTCCCTGGACATTGCCGGGTATCTCCTGGGACCATTGAGACTTGCTACTCTAAATAATGCTCTGTACCTTTTTTGGTACCAAGATAACACATGACAGGCACCTTTCCACATTAGTAGTTATAAATCTACCTCGTTCTTTTTAACATCCTCAGGGTATTCCATACTATGGGTACCTGTTGTGTATTTTTTAGACATTCCTTTTTGATGGGTACTTAGGGTATTTCTAACTTTTGCTGTCACAAATGGTGTTGCTGTGGCTATTTTTGCACAACTATATTTGTGAACTCATGTCAGTATTTCTGTAAGATTGACTCTTAAAAGAAGAGCTGCTGGAGCAGAGGGCATGGCCATTTAAGCTTTTGGTCAACACAGTGTGATGGGCCTGCCTGAAGGCTGTACCAGTTGACTCCCAGCAGAAGTGTAGGTGCTTGTTTGCCTCACTCTTTCAAGTTAAAAGTTCACCTTTTGCTGCATACCTTTAATATTGGGAGGAGCTAAGGTGGAAATGGGCCTTCTCAGGACCACTGACATCAGTGGGTGTGGACTCCGTTATGTGCAGCTCTCCCAGAGACTGATCAAATTCTGTGGTATTCCAGAAGTCTCACTATTCACAGGCAAGATTCCTGACGGGGAGCTTTTCTTAATATGACATTTCCTGATGTTGATTTACCCTAGTGACTCCCCTCTTTAGAGAGATTTTAGAAATTACAATACCATTTAAATAACTTTTGAAGCAGGTATCCCAGTCTACATAAGGGCGAGTGCCTCCCACACCGTCCCAGGATGGGAGTCCTGGCATGGGAAGGCCGGGTGGGAGTTGGTTGCTTCCTGGAAGTTGGAGAAGCTATGGGGGCAGCTCACCTTGAGCCCTGCTCTGGGACACACCTTTCCTCCCAGGCCTTTAGAGAGCAGCCCTTCCTGAGGAGCAGCAGTCCAGGGCAAGGCGTGGTGGGGCTGGGTACTTCCTCCTGTGAATCATTGTGATCAAGCACAAATAGATCTCTTGTCGCCATCTCTGACTTCATCTCTCCACTGCTTTGTAGTCACCTTTCTCCTGAAGCCCTGCCTCAGGGAAATGGTTAAAATAAGTCAACACTTCTGTTTGCCTAGTGCTTTCCTAGGTTCAGCAGCTCTCACACATGACCTTGTTTAATCTTCGTCATAACCTTGTGAGCTGAGAGAAGGCAGGTGTTCTCAAGATGCCCCCTCCAGTAAGGCAGGTCAGACAGGCATTCTTGGGCTGTCTTTAAGGAGGAAACTTACAGCTATTTGTTTGCATGCCTATTTTCTTTCTTCCTTTCTTCCTCTCTCTTTTTCTGTTTCTTTTTTTTCTTTCTCTTTCTCTCTTTTTTTGTTACTAGATTCACTGTGGAACATGAAGGTGAAACCTGTTGTGTGCTGCTTCCCTCTTAATCTGAGCTGGTTAAAAAAGACTAAGTTGGCCAGGTGCGGTGGCTCACGCCTATAATCCCAGCACTTTGGGAGGCCAAGTCGGGTGGAATCACTTGAGGTCAGGCATTCGAGACCAGCCTGGTCAACATGGTGAAACCCTCATCTCTACTAAAAATACAAAAATTAGCTGGACGTGGTGGTGCACGCTTGTAATCCCAGCTACTCGGGAGGCTGAGGCGGGAGAATCACTTGAACCTGGGAGGCGGAGGTTGCAGTGAGCTAAGATCGTGCCACTGCACTCCAGCCTGGGCGATAAGAGTGAGATTCCGTCTCAAAAAAAAAAAAAAAAAAAAAAAAGGAAAAAGAAAAAGACTAAGTTATGTCTACCTTTGAGAGCAGAATGTGTTTCAGTGGATAGGCTAGCTTTACTCTCATGCTAGCCTGTCCTTGCAGGGTTTTTTTTTTTTTTTTCTCCTTTTATTTTTCCTTGTGGTTGGGAGAAGCAAGAAAACTGATGCAACACAAGACAGGTGTCAGGGCCCAGAAGAAGGAGTCATGGGGTGGAGATTGGAGGCCTTGATCACTGTGCCTCGCTCAAAACTATAACAACAAATAACAAAAATGTGTTATGAGTGTTGAAGAAGAAAGTTGTCCCTTAAAAGTATGCAATTCCAGCTTTTTTTTTGTTTTAACCTCATTGCCCCAATGAACCAACTCCCAAGGACGTGTCCTCTGGGCAGAACTGGTTTGACACTAGGCCAAGTATCAAACACCACATTAATGGTGTAGGGAAGATGATTATTATGTAATCTTTAGAAACTATCCTGAATACTAATTTGGAAGTCTGGATGACACAACTGCTGTGTTACCTAAGAACACTCTCTCTCTCAACTATTTTTCCTATTTAGGTAACCAGAGAAGACAAAGACCTGCACAGAAAGATCCACCGGATCATTCAGCAGGACTGCCAGAAACCAAATCGTAAGTGGTATAATGTACAAGTGATGCCCTGGTGCCCTGGAAGGGGATACTGTCTCCCGGGGAGCACTGGATGGAGAGTCAGGAGACCCGGGACTTTTCCCAGTAGTGACTTGGAAAGGTGATAGTCAAAGTACCTGCCCTCCCTGAGCCTCCATCTCCTCTCTAAAGGAGTGTTGGGCTAGCACAGTTGTTGTGATCTTGGCTGTACATAAGATTCAACCTTGGAGCCCTCTGAACATTCAGAGCCCAGATTCTACCCTGGGGATTTTGTTTCCATAGAGGATGAGGTGGGGGCTAGACAAGGAATTCTGATACAGTGAGGTCACCACACTAGGACGTTTTGATGTCATTCTGCTTCTCATGTTCTCTCTGATTTGTGTTATTTCCTATTTCATGCTTGCCCCCCTTCTTTGAACACAAACCTGACATTTCCCTCTATTCTAACATCAAAGCCTTTCAGTGTTGGAAGGGATGGTTCTAGACATGACTGTTTATGAACGGTGTAATTCAGTCATCTTGGAAACTGTTAATTTGCAAAAGACATGGTTTAGAAAATAGTTTTGGTAGAGTTAGTTCAGCCCCTAGTGGTTAGACACTGAAACTGTAGCTACTCTGACAAGGAACAATACCATTTCCACACTAGTTAGAGAAGGAAGCATTAGTCTATCTTTAAATCCTATGTAAACTGACCGGTCTTAAAGGCGACTTTTCAAAGTCTAGCTTTTGCAAACACATACTATAATAAGAAGTGTTGGAAAAGTTTGTTAATGACCCCAGGTCCCTGATCTGCCAGTGAACTCCACCTCCAGTCCTTCGGCCCATACATCCCTGGGGCCTGGACCTGTGCCAGGTTGAGTCAGTGGGTGAAGCTGGGCCAGGTTTCCAGCACTGGTGTTTATGGTAGACAGCCCTAGTTAGCCTTTAAGAAACCATGAGGTCGGATCCCAGAGTGGTGTGACAGCAGCTCTTAAAATAAACTCAAAGCAATATATTATTTCAGTGCAAGTGAATGGACTTTGTTCACTTCATTCAGAACAATAAAAGCAAATATCCTTTAGTTGAGGGAAAAGCCCATCTGTCCACAATTGAAGGAGCTTTTGAGAGCAGTGCAATGTGGGATTCCTCAGCCAAGAAGGGATGAGAAGATGCTCCCAAGATAACATCTCTGCAGTCACCCTATTCGCAGGCCTCCTGGCCAGGTTCTTATTTTCATCTGCATTAGGAATAGAATGGATTGAACCCTAGGGCTAGTAAAGCACATGAAAAGAATTCACATTTCATTTGGACTTGGCTCTCTGAAGTGTCCTGAAAGTAGCAGGTTTAACATCTACATCTACCCACAGCTCATCAAGTGGACAGGCCCTGCCACTCAGTCTGTGAATGGGAGCCTCTAAAAGCCACTAGCCAATCACCTGGCACTACTACACTCCCAGGAGCTGAATTCTGAAGCCTGAGCTACTGAGAATGCTGATAAAAGATGTTATAAGGACTGTGTTGGAACCTGCTGTGACCACCCCGCTTCATAATGTTATAACATAGCAATTCAGAATAGTAACGTATGCCCCTCATGAAAAGCCAAGCAGTGCAAAAATCCACTCCAAAAAGCCAGACTCCCTCCCAGCACTGAGCCCCAGCTTCTGTGTTCCCCTCTCCAAAGGCAGTGGTTGTTATTAGTTACTTGCATATCCTGTTGGATATGTGTTTTCTATCAGGGATAAACTATACAGATATGCACTTACAAACATATCATATTATTTATCCTTGACAGAAAACACAAGTGAAGTTTAGCCGACGATATACATTGTCCTACACCTTGTATTTTAGATCTAACATTGCCTTCTAGAGGTCAACAGTACACATGAAAGTGCCTACGTCTTTTCATTAGCTGGACAGCATGCTGTTACATGTATAGGTAAATATCCGACCCTCAGTCTAACCATACCTACTGGGCCTTTAGTTCCTTTCTAGCCTTTCAAACAGAATATAGCCTGGAGTTTTTCCTTGTCAGGATGATTGGTAGAAGGACTTGAAGTCATTTATGAGTGTCTCACAAAGGCTAACCCTTCAATAATGAAAGGACTATGAACATCAAGCCTGTCTTAGGTCCCTGAAGGATTGATACTTGTTCTCTGAAGATGGGCAATGTGGCGGCATTGTGAGGAGCTGTGCTCTGGAGCCACCTTGCCTAGGTTTGAATCCCGGCTTTGCCACTTGCTAGCTGTGTAATGTTGGGCAAGTGCCTTGGGTTCTTTAAATGCAAAGTGGGGATAATAATAGTACCTACAAGATGGGTTTTTATAAGAAGTAAATGAATTGGCATTTAGAAAGTTAGAAGAGTACTCAGTGCATAATTATGATCCAAAAAGTATTAAATAAAAATGAAGTTCTCTTTCCTAATGGCACAAGTGGTAACCCCTAATTCTCTAGCCTGCAGGCCTGAAGGCTCACCCTCTACTTGGTTTAATATTGATCTGGAAGGAGGCAGTTTCAGATAGAATCTGTATGTGGATTTTGCTGTATTATTGTTGGAGTAAAGTTGACAAAATCTGGATTTTGGCTTTCAGTATGGGTACAACAATGGCAAATTATCCAAAAGAGCTCTATGTTGAACATGTCTTTTTATCTCTAACTTTTTACTCTGAAAATATTCCAATTTATCAAAAAAAAAAAAATTAAAAGACTGGTACAATAAACACCGATATACCCTTCACCTAGATTGACTAAAAACTTCAGTTTGTATTTGCTAAGCATGCAGAAATTCTCCTATTTGATCACCAAATCATTTCACACCGAAGAAAATTAACATTTGATGAGTTCCAAAATGGCAGCCTTTCACTAAATGTTACTTTATACCATTAGCTTTTCAAAAATCTCCCATGTATTTAGCTCAGGTTCATTTTTTACTATCCCAGAGCTGGAGAGAACTGCTGCTTTTGGTAGAAACTGAGTACCATATAACACTACTTATACTGGAGGATTTTTTTTTTAAACTTAAGACAAACTTTTAAAAAAGACTTAAAGAAGTTTAACCTTTTGTAGTTATAGTAGTAGGTTATATCTGAAATGTATCTTTATGTCATTTGGGTCTCTAGAACATTAGCCTTTGTGGTTTCTGGTGGAGGTATGATGGGGTATAGTATGAATCAGGCTACATGTGAAAGTTCTTGGGAAAATATAAGGCGCAGTTATCACCGCTCATAGTGATCCGTCATAAGATAACTATGTCTGCCAGGCAAACACTTTTCAGAAAAGTCTGCTTCGGCTTGTGGGTTTGTTCCAGAAGAGTCGAATTATGTAATTGTACTAACCCCTGGGGAGCTCCTTGCTGGCCTTTCCTACTTTTACTGTTTTATAATAATTTCTCACTTAGAGAAGAATCTAAGGCCAGGCACAGTGGCTCACTCCCATAATCCCAATGCTTGGGAGGATTGCTTAGGCCAGGAGTTCGAGACCAGCCTGGGCAACATAGCAAGACCCTGTCTCTACAAAAAATAAAAATTAAAAATAGAGAGGAGTCTAAGTTCACATTACCGAAGTGACTGGAGATCACTTTTGAACAGCCTCACCAGATAACCCTCAGCAGAACAGCCTTTCTGACTAAATAGTTGAAGGCCTCTGAGACAGTCAGCATCACTGCTTTGGGCCCCATGGATGCCTGTAAGTCACCTTGAGCCCTGGGTCCAAGCATCCAGGCCTTGCAGAAACTAAAAGCTGAGCAGCACTAAATTCCCTCTGCTCCTCCCTACCGTGTGCAGGTCTGTGTGGTTGGAGCCCCTCACCCTCCATCATCAAACCTATCCTTGCTTGCTGGTCAGCTCTTCCTCCTTGAGAGGCTTTTCTTCTTGGGAAGGGATGAAGCTTTTCTAGAGCAGGAACTAAGTTACATTCATCTTCTTGGATTACGGATATGATGAACCAAATCATAGTAGTTCCCCCTGGTCTCTCATCCACACAGCCACCCTGAGAAGGAAGTGGTTTTGTTCCCGGGAGTGACTTTGTCCCAGTTGTAGAGCCAGGGCTTGAATTCTGGTGTGGTGGACTCCAGTGGCAGCTCCAGGTCTGCCAAGCTCTACTTGCTCCTCCTTGCTCAGCAATGCACACATAGTAGGTGTTCAGGAAGTCTATGGAGTGAATGTTGAAGAAACAGCCTGGAAGTATAGATGCCAGCAATCCCAGTTGGAAGGAGTAATGAGTGGACACAGCCACTAGAGGTCAGAATTTAGCAAATTTTTGTTAGCCCAGGAGCAGTCTCTGAACCTTAGGGTTGGAAAGGGCCTTGGAAGTGGTTTTCACCACAGCTGAGAACACTCAGGCCTAGGGATGGCTTGCCCAAAGCTACAGAAGTGCACCAAACCTTGAACCGTGCTTTGCCTCACACCGCAATACCTCTTCGAGCACCTTCCTGAAGCCTAAAGCATTTTTCATCTGTAAACAACTTTCAGTGACTTTGTGGAGCACCTTTTGTGTGCCAGATACTGGGTATACGGCAGAGAGAGACCATGCCTGCGCCTGCCATGGAGTTTTAAACTGTGACAACTGGAGAGGGTTTGCTTTTGGTAAAGAAGTTTGACTTTGACTCAAAGTTAGAAATACATTTTACATCATGACCCAATAAATTATATAATTCTAATGCATAAGATGTATATGAAATTAAGTTTCATGAATTAATATGTATCCAAATTACAATGCAAGATATTCTGTAACGTTCTATTTCTGCTCTCTTTGAGTTTGGTAAGAAAAAGTTGCTGATCGCAACCTACAAAAATTGGTTTCGTTATCCCCTAATAGGCACAACCCCCAGTTTGACTACTGCCGACGACCTAAAAGGAAGGAGCTGAGGCAAAATTAATACAAGCAGAGAGTTGATTTGGGCCAAGTTTCAGGATTGCAGCTGGGGAGCACAGATTCAGGTTTCTCTGAATATACACTCTGATTAGCAGCAGTGATAAGTGGATTTTTTTTTTTTTTTTTTTTTTTTTTTTGAGATGGAGTCTCACTCTGTCACCCAGGTTGGAGTACAGTGGCGCAATCTCGGCTCACTGCAACCTCTGCTTCCTGGGTTCAAGTGATTCTCCTGCCTCAACCTCCCAAGTAGCTAGGATTACAGGTCCATGCCACCACACCTGGCTAATTTTTGTATTTTTAGTAGAGAGGAGGTTTCACCATGTTGGCCAGGCTGGTCTCGAACTCCCAACCTCAGGTGATCCGCCCACCTCGGCCTCCCAAAGTTCTGGGATTATAGGCGTGAGCCACTGCACCTAGCCCATAAGTGGATTTTTAAAAGCCAAAAAGGAGGACAGGGAGTGGGCTGATACAAAGTTGTTTGTCAGGAATTCTCATTGGTTTATAGATAACATTGATTGGTGACTGGCTATACATTGTTAAGCCATAGGGTGTGGATTATAGTGTTCAATTTGGCATTATTAGGCTAATTTATAACTACTTGTGCCAATAGCAAGCAGTTTCCGAGGTGAATATGTAGGAGTAGGGCGTGATTTCCGTTTCATGGTCGTGTCTCTCTGGGCCTGATAATTAAAAGGACTTGCATTCTTCAGATAAAAGTTATTTCATTTTCTCATTACCAACGTTTAAGTCATTGATTTCAACTAGGAAAGAGGTTACTAACTCTGAATTTGTATTGTTGTATACTAGATGGTCTTAGTTTGGGGCAGAGCATAAGAGGTTACTAGGAATACAACCATCACAGATAAGACTTTTGGAAGCCAGGAAGAGAGGAATGAGAACAGGCCAAAGGTAGGAATCCCTTCTCACCAGGCAGCCGCATCAAATCAGGACTTAGGGGGAAGCATACGGAGGCTGCAGCAAACCAGCTCTGCTGTGAGTTTCAAGAGGGCTCCTCCCTGAGAAACTAGAGGTTTGGCACTGAATACGTTACACTTATACATGTAATTACCCCACAGAAAAAAGTTTATCAAGCACTAAAAATCCACTAGGTTACAGATAAAAAAATCTTTGATTGGGAATCCTTGAAGGTTGAAGTTCAGAGTCCCTGAGCAGTGGCTCCATGTCGCCGTGGTGACATCAGGGGCCTGAGAACAGGTGTTTCTGTTTTGTTTTTGTGATCAGGTAGATCATGCATTTCTGACTTTAATGTGCATAAAGATCATCTGGGGATCTGGTCAGAATGCAGATGCCAAGTCAGGTATGGAGAGGACAGAGGAGGGCCTGACAGTTGTGTCCACACTCAGCCACCTACCTTTTTCCTGCAGACATGGAGAAGGGCTGTCACTTCCTGCACATCTTGGCCTGTGCTCGCCTGAGCATCCGCCCGGGCCTGAGCGAGGCTGTGCTGCAGCAAGTTCTGGAGCTCCTGGAGGACCAGAGTGACATTGTCAGCACAATGGAGCACTACTACACAGCGTTCTGAGCAGAGACACGCAGACCAGCTGAGGAGGACAAAGATAAGGTGGCATTCACCCCCAGGCTCTGACTTTCAGCATCATGCAGGGGCTTATCTGTCTGGAGGCAGTTACCTCATAATAAACTATAAAATATAGTCATCTTGGGAATGGGATTTGGCATAAATGTTGTTGGCTCCCTTCTGTCCACTATGTCCTTGGTGTACAATGACTTTGATCTCAGCCATGACACAACAAGAAAACCCTCCCTGTTGAGCTCCTGGCTGGACTGTGCGTTGTTCGCAGAGCAGAATGGGGAGGAAACAGTGTTGGCAGCTTAACTGATGTGTGTGGTTGGAGTCTCTTCCATGGCAAAGGGACACCACAGGGTAGTGAACATTCAGGAACTGAGGGGCATATGGCCTGATCACACAGTTCTAAGCTTTTCAAAACTTCAGGTTATCAGAGACCTTCCTGTGGGCCTCTCTTGCTGGCTAAGAACCGGTTTAGGGGAGTAGTTCTCCCTGGATGAGTGCTTACAGTTTCTGTGGCTCAGTTACCAGCAGTGGGGTTGAGACCTGGGTCGATGCTCTTTACAGGCCTGCCCAGAGATGGGAATAAACAGGGATCCACAGCGTGACTATGTGTTTGTCATTTTCCTTTTATTTCCTTGGGAATCGAAAGGTGTCCCAGTACATTTCCCTGCACTTACAGAGGTGCATGACTAAATACATTGTCCCTCGATGCCCCTGAAGATCACGGAGGCAGTCAGCCAATTGCCTGGCAGGTGGTAGATGTTATTTTCAGGGTTGCCGCTGAGTGTGCAGGATGTGCTGACACCATCCAGACAAAGACTCGGTATGTGCCCAGACAGGTGATGGAGTCATGCTTTTGCTCAGAATGACAAGGTAAAGGAAAAACATCTGAGGTATGTTGTAGGCCTGTTCTGACAGCAAAATGACAAATCCAGCCAGCAAAAATAAAGTGTGGAGAAAGATTTGGAGTTAATTACAGTCATTTCACAGAAGGCACTGCCTTCGTCTGCTGCATTTGCTCTTGATGTGATAAGCTCTTCGTGGCTCAGCTGGAGATCCTTTAGGCCTGGAGAGTTGCTCCTCTCTCCGTGGAAACAGGACAGTCTTTATACGCAGAAGTCCGCTGCAGCTCGATACGTCAGGCTGAGAGCTAGAACCAGTAGATTGCCTCCTGTCATAGACTTTTGTAATGATGCAAACCTTTGCTGATTTCTAACAGTGATTATGTAGTGGCTGCCCTGCATCTTCTCTGTGTACAGAAGGGTCCCTAGCATAGAGTCTGCCTGGAATGATGTCCTGGGCAGTTCTTCCTTGAGGTCAGCAGCTGTTCCACGTTGAATGCATCTGATTAGTGGGGCTGCCCAGGAAGGAGTTCAGAATCAGAAGGTAAAAAGGGCATACCCTTGCCTATAGCAACTCTGCTCTTAGGGGTTTATCTCAAGGAGATGGCTACACAAGTGTGAAAGGATGGTTGCACAAGGTGTTCATTGCTGTATAATCTAGAATTCTATATTGGGGAAAATACCTATAGGGAAAAAGTTAATTACGGTTCTTGGGCACAATGAAATACTATGCAGCTATGAAAAAAATGATGAAAGCAGACAGACAGTGTTGCCATGGCACACTGTCCCTAGTAGATTTAGTGGGAAGTAGATAGAGTTATAGATCTGTTTCTATAGTATAACACCATTATCTACAGCTCCCTGTGTGTATGTATATATCCGTAGAGAGAGTGTATATTTCTGCATGGAGGTCTTTATAAATGTAGCACATGTACATATATATATATATACACACACACAGTCGACCACTCCCTTCTCCTGGAAGTACTTTCCGCGTTTGGCTTTCAGGACACCAAGCTCTCTGGTTGCTCCTTCTCAGGTTCCTTTGTTCAGTGCTCTGCCTCCCTGAGGACTCAGTCCCAGACCTCTTTTCTATCTGGCTTGCTCACTGGGGTGTCTCCAGCAGCCACATGGATTATACCATCTACATGCTGTCTAACACCTCAGTTTAAACCCAGAATGGGCCTCTTCCCTGAACTGCAGACCCCTATATTCAGTTTGCTACTGACATCTCCACTTAGGTCTCTAATGGACATCTCAGATTTCACAGGCCCAAAGCCAGGCTCCCAATTACTCCTGACCCCAGGCTTGCTCCTGATAGTGACATGAGGCAGCCAAATGCCTAGGCAGAGAGGGGAGGGTCCCAAATGAAACCCCACGTTCAAGCAAAGATCAGCCTGAAGGCTAAAAGACCAGATTGCTGGTCCTGGATGAAACCCACCACGCAGAGTGGGAACTTCTGTTCCTGTTTGCCCACCCTTTCCCAATTGTTCTTTCTGAATAACGCCTTAACCAATCGAATGTTGCCTTTTCCAGTAATACCTACAGCCTGCCCCTCCCCCCATTCTGAGCCCATAAAAAGACCCAGACTCCCCCATATTAAGGGGACTTTCCTGCCTTTGGGTAGGGGGACCACCCCCACGTCTCCTCTCTGTTGAAAACTGTTTCATCACTCAATAAAACTCCCAGCTTTGCTCACTCTTCCACTGTCAGCACATTCTCATTCTTCTTTGGTGCTGGGCAAGAACTCAACCAGTGTGGAAGCCATACTTGGCCCAGGCGGGTGAAGTGGGCGGGCCGTCTCCTGCAGCAGGTAGCATGGTCAAGCGAGGCCCAGGTGGGCCGTCACCAGCCAGAGGTCCCTGGCTTGCAAAGTGACCGAGAAAAAAATCCTGTGCCACTCCTTTGGAAAATGTCCCTGATTCAGGAAGAGGTAGCTCCATCCAGTTGCTCAAACCAAATCCATTGGCTTCTTTCTTTCTATCATACCTCACATCCAATCTGTCTGCAAGTCTTTTGGCTCTACCTTCAGAATATCTCCAGAATCTTAACTGCTTCACCCTCCTCCCCGGCCTCCTCAGTCCTCTCTGCTTCCGCCCTGGCCCCTCTTGGGCTGTTCACAGCACAGCAGCTGTTGCCACCCTGTTAATGCTCCCACTCTCCTACAGCCTTCGGTCTTGCCCCAGGTAGGAGCCTGAGGCTGCACAGAGGTCAGCACGGCCCCGCTTACCCTGCCCTCCCAGCCCAGCCGCACGGGCCTTGCACACATGCCTCGGCATATTCCTGCCTTAGGGCTGGTGCTCCTGCTATTTCCTCTTCCCAGGTAACCATGTGAAGTGCCTCCCTCTGCCCTCTTTCCAGCCTTTACTTGAGTGTCACCTTCTCAGTGAGGCCTGCCCTCATTCCTCTTTCGCTGTTTGCAACCCATCTCCTGTCCCCCTTCCCAGAACTCCCTTTCCTACTTCGTTTTTCTTCACAGTACTTGATACTGCCTAACACACTCCATGGTTTCTTACTTGCCCTGTTTATTATTTTCCCCCAATAGACAGAATGTTCCATGATGGCAGAATTCTCTGTTTTGTTTCCTTCCATGTCCCCAGCACCTAGAACAGTGCCTGACGCATCTCCTAAGCAATACGACCAATAAGTATGTGTCTGGCTGCCTTCCGGCTGCCAGTGTCTGCCTCTTTCCTAGGGGCAGTGGTTGCGGGGGTGCTTTCTCACATGTCTTAGTAGGCTGTGCAGGCTGGAAGTGCTCAGAAGTCACACCCCCAGGGAGCAGCCTCAGCCAACAGCACCTTGGCTGTAAATGCCCCAGCTCCCTCGCCCTCAGGTAAGCATTGCTGAGGCACACGTTCCATACTCTTTTCCACAGTTCCTCCGTGGGACTGAGCACCACCCAGCCACCCACAGGAGCAGCTAACCTGATAACCACCAGCCTCACCCTCCCTGCCTTACTTCCCCGCTCCCCTTTACCACATGCTGACCTCCCAGATGCATTTCTTGCTTTCCGGTCTCTGTCTCAGGATTGGCTCCTGGATGAACACAAACTAACACTATGTTCACAAATATATTTGGGAAATGCTGGATGAATAATTATACACATCAGACAGATTACTAGAAATTCTCACCAAAGGGATGCACATGTTACCTCTGCATGGTGAGATCTCAGGTGCTTTTTACCCCACATAGCTATCCTTTGGCATTTTTATAATTAGCAAGTGCTCACTCTTCCACTGTCAGTACATTCTCATTCTTCTTGGGCGCTGGACAAGAATTCAACCGGTGTGTAAGCCAGACTCGGCCCGGGCAGTCTCAAACTCCTGACTCCTTATATAATTTCTACAAAAATTATAAAGCTATTTCCCACTCCCCACCCCACATTCATGTAACCTGAAGCATGAGTAAACCAAGAATGAGGTAGGCCTCTGTCTTCTAAGCAACATCAGAACTCTAAGAACATGAGGGACTCTTAGAAAACTCTCTGGAGCTAACCACAGCTGGGTCACTGCTCATGTACTGAAGACCAGCCAGAGGGTTCCCCTGAAAAGGAGGGAAACTGAGCAAACATTCTCCAGTTCTCTTAGTGTGCACATGTTTCAGGAGGTGTGAACCCCACATGTAGCTTGTGTAGGCAAGAAGACAAATAGTGCTACTGTCTGGTCAAGGATTTGTTTGAAGAGCCATGATTATGCCCATATGGTAAGCCACCAGTGCTCCCCATCCCTGTAAGACACTTCTTTCTCATTATTTTCTCCTCTGATGGTGTGCCAGGATGCTGGCCAAGAGAAGCCAAGTGGAAAGAAGGCTGTTCAGTGACAAGGAACCTAAGACTTAGTGCCAAGGACTGAAACCAAGTAAACTTGTAATTTTCCATGATGGAAACATCTACACTTTCTCATTAGTGGCCTCTACAGCAGTTGCCCCAAAGAAGCGTCTCATTGTTTTTTTACTACATTTATGTGAAGCATACAGGCAAACTCAGAAAGACTGTGATAAGGCTCGCCAGAGATGCCTGCACAGGTGCTGGGGGAAAAGCAGGACCATCCTGAAGGGAGATGGTGTCTGTGGACAAAGAACTCTGCAGTGGTTCTTATTTGCATGATTTCTGCTGGTGGAGGCTGTAAATGTGAGCTCAAACTCCCACATAAGTGAGTTTTCATTGTAATCCAGAATGTTTTTAAATCACCCTACTTCTATTGAACTTGCACTATCATCTGTTAACCTCTACTGTATTTATTAAATAAACCTGAATAGGTAAATCACAGTACAGCAAAAGGTTCTGTGTTCCCCAGAATTCTAATCAAACTCCAAATTCCTGAAAAGGCTCTAGTCCTTTCCTATATGTCAAATTTAAATGATAAGTTTTCATTTTGGAACATAAAGAGGGATTTTGAAGACCACAGCATAGCCCTGGGTTTTTGCATAGAGATAATAAACAGACAATCTCTTTTCAGACTGATTTGAGAAAATGTCAGTGTGAATTGGTGAAAAATCTGGGTTGGAAATAGTGCTGTTGTATTACTTCAGGTCTACCCAATGGTCTTTATTAAACCTGAAATACCACGAAGGAACAGGTTTCTGCTCTTAGGGAATTTGCTTTAATAAGAATTAATTGTGTACCAGTTATTAGTATCATTTGATTATTATGTATTTATCATTTAATATTTAGGTGATGTAAAAGTACTTCAACGCAAGAGAATTGAAAACATGGCCACACAAACACTTGTAAGCAAATGTTCACAGCAGCATTATTCCTAATAACCAAAAAGTAGCAACAACCCAAATGTCCATCAGCCAATTAATGGATAAACAAAAGGTGGGCTATCCATACAATGCAATATTACTCAATGAAGTACTGATATATGCTAAAGCATGGTGAACCTTGAAGAAATTAAGTGCAAGAAGCTAGACACAAAAGGCCACATATTGTATGATTCCATTTATATAAAATGTCCAGAAAATAGGCACATACACAGAGAAGAAGTAGATGAGGCTGGGTGCAGTGGCTCACGCCTGTAATCCCAGCACTTTCAAAGGCCAAGGTGGGCAGATCACCTGAGGTCAGGAGTTCAAGACCAACCTGGCCATGGCTAAACCCTGTATCAACTAAAAAGTACAAAAGTTAGCCAGGCGTGCTGGTGGGCACCTGTAATTCCAGCTACTCGGGAGACTGAGGCAGGGAGAATTGCTTGAACCCGGGAGGCAGAGGTTGCAGTGAGCCAAGGTCATGCTACTGAACTCCAGCCTGGGTGACAAAGCGAGACTCTGTCTCAAAAAAAAAAAGTAGATGGTGTGGCCAGGCATGGGGAGGGTGGGGATTGGGTGGTACAGGGCTCCTTTTGGGGTTAATGGACGTGTTCTGGAATTAGATAGTGGTGATGTGTGCACGACTCTGTGAACAGACTCAGAATTATGGGCTAGGTTGGGATTCCTCACATCATGGTGTCTGGGTTTCCAGGGCAGGCTTTCCAAGAGATAGCAAGATAGCAAGAGCCACACGGAAGCCACATGGCCCTTTTTCTGTAGCCCCAGAAGCCACAGCCTCACTTCCATGGCCTTCTAATTGTTGAGGCTATCACAGTCCCATGCAGGTTCGAGAGGAGAGGAATAAACTCCACCTCTTGATGGGGAGTAATGAGGTTCCAGAAGGGCATATAGGTCCGGGAATATTACCCTGGCCACATTGGAAAATACAGTCTCTCACAGATATCTTTCAGCTTTTATATAAATACAGCATCATTATTTAAAGAGCTAGTCTTAAAAATACCAAAAAAGTACAAAGAAGGGGAAAGAATGGTCTACCACTTCCCAAATACCGTGTGTATGTATGTGTGTATATATATGTGTATATACATATCTCTCTCTATATATATAAGTATGTGTGTATATATGTGTGTGTGTGTGTGTGTGTATATATATTTAGGTGATGTATGTATACATACATATAGAGAGAGAGAGAGAGAGAGAGAGAGACGGAGTTTTACTCTTGTTGCCCAGGCTGGAGTGCAGTGGCATGATCTCGCCTCACCGCAACCTCCACCTCCCGGCTTCAAGCAATTCTCCTGCCTCGGCCTCCCGAGTAGCTGGGATTTCAGGCATGTGCCACCATGCCCGGCTAATTTTGTGTTTTTAGTAGAGATGGGGTTTCTCTATGTTGGTCAGGCTGGTCTCGAACTCCCGACCTCAGGTGATCGGCCCGCCTCAGCCTCCCAAAGTGCTGGGATTACAGGTGTGAGCCACTGTGCCCAGCTTACTGTGTATATTTTTAAGATTATATATATATTGTTAGGAAAATAACCATGTTAACAATATTTTTGTGTATCCTTCCAAAAAAAAGTCAGCGTTTTATATGCACTTCACATTTTTATTAATGCTATATTTTGGAAGTCTTTTTTTCTTTTTCACTTTAGCATGCAAAATCAGCATCTTTTAAAATGGTGACATAATTCCATCGTATTGCTGTTCCATAATGCACTTAGCCAGGGCCCTATTAAAAAACATTTAATTGGTTTCCAATTTGTTGCTATTGCAACCAATTCTGCAGGAAACATTTTTCTTTTCTTGGTATATGTTTAAAGTATGTTTGTATGGTAAATTTCTAGCAATGGAACTGCCAGGAAAAGGGGCATGAGCTTTTTAAAATTTGCATAGGCACTAACAAATTACCCAGTAAAAAGACTGATCCATCGTACACTCCTATCAATGATTTATGCGTCTACTGTTTACCCACGAGCTCACCCACAGTTTGTATTATCAGTATTTTTAGTCCATGTCCATCTGATAGGTGAAAATGATTTCTGGTTTCTGTTTGCATTTATGTTTTTTTAGTATGAGTAGTGTTGAGCATCTGTTCATCATGGGAGCCTTTAGATAAAGTTCTACCCTGGACAGTAGCCATTGCTTCCAGCAGGGGCTACAGACGGCCAGGCATGTGTTCTAGCAGTGGTATCTACTGCGGAACCAGCCCAGAGCGCAGCTGCCAAGGTGCCAGTTAATACACAGCTGGAATAAACATCCGGAAGAACTCAAAACTCAAAATTCCAAACCTGCCACTCCAAGTGCTTGGTCACATGCCCACCCAAATATTAAAAATAATAATGTGTTACAACAATGATGGTTTTATTTATTTTTCTTTTTTCTATATCACAAGTCATCAAGCAAAGAAAGGACAGCAATCTTTTTAAAACCAGCCACCATATTATTGACTCAGACCTCTCATAGACCAGATGCCATTTAGCTCTGGTTCAGTGACACTGTCCCCAGTCAGATTAATGTGAAAAACTAAGGATGCTTCTAAGAAAGTGCTAATTAAGTGGAGAAGGTAGTTTTAGTAATAGAAGTGGTCTTACAGCAGCTGCCATTGACTCAACATAGCTTAATTATCATCATAAGCTGAGGCTTCACTTTCATCATTTACTGGGTTTGGTACAGTTAATTGGGGCATTGGGCAACACCATTTTTGATCATCCTCTTGGCTAGAAATTGCTCCCTCGGGGAGGAAGGCATTTATTTTTTATTCTGAGGACAATCTGTGATTGAAGGAAATAAAGCAGGGTGAGGACAGAGTAGTAGCCTTCAGTTCTTCAGCTCTGCTTTAGAGCAAAGCAGCAGCGGGGTGCATGAGCTCTGATGTGGGACACAGGCATTTGTGACAAGGGCTGAATGTTACCCTGTACTGAAATTGTGAATGATTATTCTAATATGAGTTAGGTGGCAGAATAATATATTGAGCTATTGATGTGGGTTTTGTTTTTCCTGTATTTTATTTCTTCTTTCCAAGCTGGAAGCTAGCCTTGCCTCAGGGAGGTTTGGCTTGGGGGCTGAATTCAGAAGTTGTTTGCGCAGACTCTCTGGTTTTTTTTTTGGTTTTGTTTGAGACAAGAGTCTCGCTCTGTCACCCAGGCTGAAGTGCAGTGGCGCAATCTCGGCTCATTGCTTGAACTCCTGGGTTCAAGCGATTCTCCTGCCTCAGCCTTTCAAGTAGCTGGGATTACAGGCGTGTGCCACCATGCTCGCCTAATTTTTGTATTTTTAGTAGAGACGGGGTTTTGCCATGTTGGCCAGGCTGGTCTTGAACTCCTGACCTCAGGTGATCCGCCCACCTCGGCCTCTCAAAGTGCTGGGATTATAGGCCTGAGCCACTGCGCCTGGCCTGACAATCTGCTTTATGTTTTCTGGAAGCCCGAAGCCTGGGGAAGGATTGGAGATTGGTGGCCCCCAGGCATCGCGGATGGGAATGTGCTCCCTGTGACAGTCTCATGGCAGGACTTCTGTGGAGAGGTTTTGTGGTGTCTCTCAGAAGGTCAGAGCCTTAGCCTAGGATTCTCAGCTTCAGCAAGATTCCTGTGTGTCAGCTTGGAAAGGAAGCGGCCACAAGCCCTTCCCTGAAGGTGCATGCAGGCTGGAGCCCCGGGGATTTCCACAGCGGTCTTGGTCTCAGAAGAAGAGTGGACCTGTCCCTGTTTTTCAGGTACCCTGTAACCTCCTGGATTTTCACATATTTCCAGGGAAGGGAAGCCTGCCCCATCCTGTTACCACACATCTAATTTTCATGCCAGGCTCGAGGTTGAGGGCATCAAGGCTGAGGTAACTTGAAATAAAGAAAAAAAGGGACCAGGCATGGTGGCTCATGCCTGTAATCCCAGCACTTTGGAAGGCCAAGGCGGGCGGATCACGAAGTCAAGAGATCGAGTCCATCCTGGCCAACACGGTGAAACCCCATCTCTACTAAAAATACAAAAATTAGCTGGGCATGGTGGCACCCGCCTGTAGTCCCAGCTACTTGGGAGGCTGAGGCAGGAGAATCGCTTGAACCCAAGGAGGCGGAGGTTGCAGTGAGCTGCGATCGCGCTGCTGCACTCCAGCCTGGTGACAGAGCAAGACTCTGTCTCAAAAAAATAAAGAGAAAGAAAAAAAGGACTATGACAAGTCTCACCCACCTGCGTTTTGGTAGTAAGATTCATACTGCACCACAATTAGAATAACATTCAAGGTGAACGTTAAGGTCGTGCTCCCCATGCCCTTCCCTGCCAGAATGCTCTCGAGTGAGGGAGAAGGGGAGGACGTCACCGTACAGTTACAGGGACATTGCCTATGGCCCTCCCTCGGGAGTGTGCTGTGACAGGAACCACCTGTCCTGCATCACTGCTGACACAGGATTGGACATCACTGCCTCCGAGGATGGAGGAGAGATATGTAAGATCTTGTTGCAATTCCTCAGTGGGGTCCACCTCATCATGAATGAAAATGCCACCTTGTCCCACAACCATGACACCTGTTGCCAGAGGGGAAGAGCGACCTGTGAACACAGGCCCTGTTCCTGCCAGGCTGTGTGGGAGCAAGCAGGGGACTCAGGAGAGTGAGCAAATAGAATCTATTCTAGGAGATTCCAAAACCACCTGAGCAATGAGTCTTCTCCCAACATGAAGAAGCTTGAATGCCTTACTCATCGCAGCAGCTGGCCCAGCCCTGCCCTGCCCAGCCCAGTGCCTCAGGAAGAGTCAGCAAGCTCTGCCTGTGCCTGTGGTTTTGGTCCTGTCCTGGCTTGACTTGTCCTGGTGGAGGGCGAGACCCAGAAGCTCCGCTCCTGGGAATGACAGCTGGCGAGGAGGTACTGGTCTCAGCACTCTGCCACAGCTTAGGCCGTCAGCACGAGCAGATGCCCCATTAGGGGGCCTGAGAACTGAGAACGGGGACTGTAATCTGCTATTTCTGTCCATTTGTTGTTGACCCAGGTAACCAGGAAATATGGGAAGCAGGCAGATTCTGGTTGTTTCCACAGGAGTTGAGACTTAACCAGACAACTAACTCTCCTGAGTGTTCCCTCTTGGGTGGGCACACCACAGTTCACCCCGTAGTCTGTGGTAGACTCAGCATTAGACACAGTGCTGGTGCTTAAGAAAAGTTTCCATGAACAGGCAGTGTGCTTATTGAGTGCCAGCTGTGTGCAAGGTATCGTCCCAGGTACCGAAGAGGATTCCAGGACAAAGTTTCCTGTCTTCAGGGAACTGTCAGTCAAGTGGATCAAAAGACACATGCCTGTGTGATCTACAACCCAGCGGATCATAAGGCACATGCCTGTGTTTTCTTTGACCCTCAGAGGAACAAAAGTGTTTTTATTTGACCCTCAGGGTTTTAAAACTTTATACCAACATTTAAAAATTGGCTACCATCTATATGGAAAAAAAGGCAGTGTGTGCTTGTGTATGTGTATGTTTGTAGGGTGTGTGTGTGTGTGCGTGTAAGGCAGCACTGCAGAAGAACCCGGCCACAGTGATGGCCTCTTCAAATAGGGAATCGGGGAGCAGGAATGGGTGAGAGACTTGTTGCAATGTTTTATAATTTTTTTAAATGTAAAATGTAATAACTTTACAAATAAAAAAGGATTGGGGAATTCACATAAAAATCCAGGTATTTGGCTATTCTTGACAATGCAGAAGCTCTAGCAGGACTGGGGAACATTTCATCTGGAAACGGGTTGGGGGAGGTCAGTATTAAAGGATTTTCAGCTGAGAGGGGGCATCAGGTTTGTATTTTAGAAAGTACCTTAGCAGCAGAGTGGAGGAGCACAGCTTGAGGGCGAAGTCAGGGGCGGGTAGACCAGAGAGACACGTCTGCTGCCGTCATCCAGGGAGGGGTGGGGAGGGCCTGAACCGGACAGTGGCAAGGGACATTAGTGTAAGAGAACCAACAGGTAGGTAACCAATTTGGGGGAGAGTGGAAAAGGCCAGGTGAACTGCCAGGTTCTGCAAGGCAGACCACAGTAACGGCTACAGGATTTTTAAATTAATGGGAGGGGAAAAGGGGGCTCAGGAGATTTCTGGGGGTCTGAACTGGTGATAGCAGAAATGCTAAAGGAATACATCTCCTGAAATGTGAGGGAAAACCCACAGAGAAAATGGGCTTTCATGAGTAATTGGCTCCTCTACCCCTTTCCAGGCTCCGAGAGCGTTTCACGGGTTTACCAGAGAAAATGGCCTCCGGAGACTGCAACGTGAGAGAACTGGAATTTCAGACAGAAATTGAATGCATGTGGCTTAAAAGACAAGGAAGCACCAAGTGAAAAGTAGTCGAAATCATATTCCTTCAGGGGATGAATTTTTTTGGATCTGTGTTCATCCTTTATGGCTTTATTAGTCATTGCGAAAGCCCTTTTGGGGTTGCAAAGCTGCCAGCAGGGTGCTGTTCCTGGAGGATTACCTTGAGCAAGAAGCCCCAGAAAGCAGCCCAGGCAGGCATGTCAGCAGGGAGGCTGTCCTGGCAGCATGCTGTCCAAGGGGAGAGGCCAACGCTCTACCCCTGAGGTTTGAGGCCAGAGGAAAAGAACCAACCTGGAGATTCTGCAATTCTGTTTTCTCTTAAGGTTGCTTTGGCCGTTTAGGGTTTTTCATGAAGGACAGAAACAGATCCATTCCTTGAAGGCAGAAAGAAGTTTGTACTGCCCCGCACTTGACAATGTTTAATTACATTTGCCACTTGAATCAGAGTTGAAAATATCTTCCTTTTTTTCTGTTTGAGAGTCTTGCTGTGCATCCCTCAGGCTGGCTGGAGTGCGGTGGCATGATATCGGCTCACTGCAACCTCCGCCTCCTGGCTGCTGGGTTCAAGCGATTCTCCTGCCTCACCCTTCTAAGTAGCTAGGACTACAGGAGCACACCACCATGTCCAGCTAGTTTTTGTGGAAATGGGGTTTCACCATGTTGGCCAAGCTGGTCTCAAACTCCTGACCTCAAGTGATCTGCCCACCTCAGCCTCCCAAAGTGCTGGGATTATAGGCATGAGCCACCACACCCAGCCGAAAATATCTTCCCTTTGAGACTTGGTGGCCAGCTGTTGATTTCATACTGGTGTGGCCTCAGACAATCTATGATGTAAGAAAGATAGTTAAAGTAAAATCAACCCAGTATTAATTACTTAATAATAACTAATGAACAGTTATGCACCAATAACTCAGCAAATTTAAATCTACCCGTAAGCCCAACTAGGTAGATACTGTCGTCATTCCCAATTTACAGGTGAAGAAATAGAAGCTGAGAAACTAACTTTCCCAGGGGCATATATTTAGTAAACTGGAAAACCCAGGCTTCTACCCAGTGAGTTCAACCACTAGGCTTTAATTGCTTTCAGGATCAGAGAAGTCTGTTCTCTGGTAGCTTTAAACTATGAACCCAATACAGAGTGTCTTCAAATTTGGGTTGATATATAAACGTTATTTTTCCCACAGTTGAGGCTGCACCGAGGACACACTTCTGGTGATGAATGGCATATGAGGGTGCTGGGCTGAGTGGGTGGGGTGACATCACATCACACCCGTGACAAAGAGGGAGCAGGTATTTACTGAAGATACAGGAGCCCTGGGTCAGGGCAGTAAGCATTCGTACATAAACAACTGTGCAGTCCCACAGGGAGACCAAGAGAATGGTGCAGTAGCCTCTGAGGAGTTTTATTTGGTTCATGCAGTGTTGGTCTTTCCAGGCTTTATTTTTTTAATGTTAAAAAATAGTTGATTTTAATTATGAAATATTTCAAACACACAGAAAACAATAAAGCAGATACCTAGTATCACTGAGATGAAACAGCTGTTAATATTTTCTCCTGACTGGGCGAGGTAGCTCACACCTGTAATCTCAGCACTTTGGGAGGCCAAAGCAGGAGGATTGCTGGAGCCCAGGAGTTCAAGACCAGCCTGGGCAACATAGTGATATCTCGTCTCTACTAAAAATTTAAAAAATTAGCCAGGCGGCGTGGTGGCATGCTCCTGTAGTCCCAGCTACTTGGGAGGCTGAAGTGGGAGGATCGCTTGAGCCTGGGAGGTCAAGGCTGTAGTGAGCTATGACTGTGCCACTGCACTCCAGCCTGTGCAACAGAGCAAGACCCTGTCTCAAAAAAGAAAGAAAGAAAGAAATCCCCCTATATGCTTCAGCCCTCTATCTCTTTGAAGAAATATGTTAGAAATACACATAAGGCCAACCCTGTTCCTTTCCTGCCTCTGCCCCCAGAGGTAATAACTGTCATGTGTATCATTCCCATGCAGATTTTTTTTCTTTTTTATTGTGGCATAACTTACAAGTGGTAAGTCGTACAAATTTTAATGATACAGTTTGATGAATGTTTGCTTATGCTATACCTGGATGATGAATTTTTACATGTGTATACACCTAAAACAAGGTAGAGGTCCAAATATTGAACATGTCCAGCACCACCTCAGAGAGCTCCTTTGCTTCACATTATTTCAAAAATAAGCAGATGGAGGTGCCAACATTTGAAAGTTTTAAAATCTAGAGATTTAATATAAAAATTCAAATTTCTGGCTCTTGAAGTTTTGGAAAATATGACCACATTAAGCCCACATTCTAGCATGGGGACAGAGTGGCAACTGCCCACTGTAGACACAGCATGAGTGCCTCAATTTGCATACTATGCCTGCCATGCCGTGTGGGTATATCCAGCCCACTGCATTCACTTACAGAAACTGAAAGGTGCCACTCTATTTGTAAAATTTCAAAAGTGCCACAAAAAATGTAGAGAACAATTACCTTAGCTATCTTTAGGAAGGCAGAGTTTGAGAAAAAGTGTCCTCCTCCCCACCTGCTAATGACTTAGGAAGCTGCTGACAATGTCATAAAATAAAAAGGAATCAGATTCTCTAGGTCCATGCTACTCAAAGTGTGGTCCTCGAATCAGCAGCATCCAGGAGCTTGTTAGAAATGCAGAAAGCTCAGTGCCTTCCCACCCACATGTATGAGTTTGCTAGGGCTGCCATAACTAAGTATCACACAGTGGACGGCTTATACAACAGAAAGGTATTTTCTCACAGTTCTGGAGGCCAGAAGTCCAAGATCAAGGTGTCAGCAGGGTTTGTTTCTTCTGAGGCCTCTCTCCTGGGCTTGTGGATGGCTGCCTTCTCCGTATGTCTTCACATGGTCTTCCCTCTGCATCTGTCCTCAGCTCCTCTTTTTTTTTTTTTTTTTTTTGAGACGGAGTCTCACTCTTGTCACTCAGGCTGAAGCGCAGTGGCATGATCTCAGCTCACTGTAACCTCTGCCTCCTGGATTCAAGCGATTCTCCTGCCTCAGCCTCCTGAGTAGCTGGGATTACAGGCACCCGCCACCACACCTGGCTAATTTTTGTACTTTTAGTAGAGACAGGGTTTCGTCATGTTGGCCAGGCTGGTCTTGAACTCCTGACCTCAGGTGATCCACCTGCCTCGGCCTCCCAAAGTGCTGGGATTACAGCCGTGAGCCACCACGCCCGGCCTCATCTCCTCTTCTTATAAGCACACCAGTCCTATTGGATTAGGACCTACTCTTATGACCTCATTTAACCTTAATTACCTCTTTAAAGACCCTGTCTCCAAATACATTCACATTCTGAGATAGGGGGATTATGATTTCAACATACGAATTTTGAGGGGTATGACCAGGCACGGTGGCTCACGTATGAAATCCCAGCACTTTGGGAGGCCAAGGTGGGCAGATTGCTTGAGCTCAGGAGGTCAAGACCAGCCTGGGCAACATGGCAAAACCCCATCTTTACAAAAATACGAAAAATTAACTGGGCGTGGTGGTGTGCATCTATGGTCCCGGCTACTCAGGAGGCTGAGGTGGCAGAATTACTTGAGCCCAGGAGGTGGAGGTTGCAGCGAGCCGAGATCCTGCCACTGCACTCCAGCCTGGGCAACAGAGCCAGATCCTGTCTCAAAAAAAAAAAAAAAAAGTGAGGGGTAGACACAGTTTGGCCCATGACACCTACTAAATCAGGATTTATATTTTAACAAGACCCCCAAGGGACTTGTGTGCACATTAAAGTTGGAGAAGGGCCAGGCACTGTGGCTTATGCCTGGAATCCCAGTACTTTGGGAGCCCAAGACAGAAGGATTGCTTGATCCCAGAAGTTCAAGACCAGCCTGGGCAACATAGTGAGACCCCATTTCTAAAAGAAAAAAGAAAATTAGCTGTGTGTAGTGGTGCATGCCTGTGGTCCCAGCTACTCAGGAGACTGAGGCAGGATAATCACTTGAGCCCAGGAAGCCGAGGCTACAGTGCGCCGAGATCGTACCACGGCACTCCAGCCTAGGTGAAAGAGGAAGACCCTGTCTCAAAAAACAAACAAACAAACAAAAAGTTGGAGAAGCTTGGTCCAGGTCTGCTCCCTGGTAAATAAAACACTAGTGGGTCCGACTAGGAATGGGGAGGAGAAAAAGGAGAGGCTGCAATGATTTAGTTAGATGAACTTTCTCTCCAGTCCATAGGTCTTAGAGGCTGGAAATACTGGGAAACTTGAGGCCAATTCCCTCCTGAGTGGGAGTCCCTGCTTCTCGTTGAGGAGCAGGGACCCTCTGCACTTTGGGGCATGTGAGCAGGTTAACAGGTAAGGATTGATGAACCAAGTGGATATGAATCAGCCCATAGGAGCTAAGAGGAGCCTCCTTCTGAAAATAGGTTGGAATGCTGGAAATGTGGCTGCTTTTAGCAAAAAGCTCATTTTTACCTAATCACCATCTGTAGATTTCCTCTTTTAAGGTGCAAAGCAAGTCTCTTGGATTTCCTGGAATGGGGACCAGGAAGATATTACCCTGCATTCCTCTTCACTCTTCACAAGCCCATTTTCCACCTCTCTCGTAGGCTTGATGCTATGGCGACAGTTGCCATAGAGATAATCCTATGCCTGGTTGAACCTAATCCATACCCATAATGGTCAATCATATGGTTTATACTAGAGATTTTCAAGCTGTGTCTCATAAACCTGTAAGGTGCTTCCAGGATTTCACAAACATTTTATTCAAATAGCAATTAAATATATGTGTCTTGCTGTGTTGCCCAGGCTGGAATGCAGCGGCTATTCACAAGCACTAACATAGCACACTATAGCCTTGAACTCTGGGGCTCAAGCAATCCTCCTACCCCAACCTCCCAAGTAGCCAGGGACTACAGATGTGTGCCACCATGCCCAGTACAACTAAAAACATTTTAAATTTATTTTTAAATGACAAAGAATGCAAACAACATCAAACCATATTTAATATAGTATTTGAACTAAAATGTGAATATCCAAATTTTGGTCTAACAGAGTAGAGTGATTTGTAGAAGGCTAACCCCTCCTACAGATCATAATTACAAACTCTGGACAAGGTGAAAATAAAAACCTGTTTGATGCCACTGGATGACGACCAGACTAAAGGAAGGGGACTTGTTCCTTGAAAGAAGGAAGACACTCCGGGTGAGGTCCACACTTGTATGACTTTCCCCTAAGGGCAGCCATTCTTGAACTTTAGTGTATATTAGAATCCCAGAGGAAGATAACAGAATCCAGTCTCTACAATATACCATTTACAATGTTCACTATATAAAAATTATTAGATATGTGAAGAAAGAGAGAAATGTGACCCATAATCAAGAGATATACTAGTCAATAGAAACAGACTCACAGACAACTCTGATGTCAGACTGGCAGAGAAGGGCTTTAAAATACCTTTGATAAATGTGTTAAAGAGTCTTTGGAAAAGATGCATATACTGGGTAAAGAGATGGGAAATTTAGAAGAGATCAGGAAACTGTAAAAAACTATATGGAAATCCTAGAACTGAAAAACATACTATCTGAAAAGTGAATCTCCTGCTTCACATCCTCACTCCCATTCCAACCTTCTGCCCTGGAGTTAAACACCTGTAGTAGTCTTTGGTTATAAATGATAAAGATCTTACTCCAGCTTATGCCAAGGTGGTAAGGTATAAGAGAGAATACCTAATGAAACAGTGGGGAGGGACAGAGTGGCACTGGTTTAGGGTCAATTGGCCCTAGGAATCCAAATGCTGGGAAGATGCTCTTGTTTCTCTCTCTTCCTGCCTCTGAGATTTGGCTGTATCCTCTCTCACTGTGAACATTATCCTCTGTGTTGTCAGAGAGATGGCTGGGGTCAGCTCTGGGCTGATAGCTTCACAGCTCTGAGAGGAAAGAGGTTCTCTTCCCACAGCACCGGTTAGAAAAGTCCCAAGGAGGGTGTCTGATTAGTCCAGTATGTGTTACAGGTGCGTGCCACCATGCCCAGCTAATTTTTGTATTTTTCGTAGAGACGGGATTTCACCATGTTGGCCAGGATGGTCTCGAACTCCTGACCTCATAATCTACCCGCCTTGGCCTCCCAAAGTGCTAGGATTACAGGCATGAGCCACCGTGCCTGGCCTATTTTATTTCATTTTTTGAAACAGGATCTCACTATATTGCCCAGGCTGGTCTCGAATTCCAGAACTCAAGCAATGCTGAGTAGCTGGAATTACAGGTGCTCACCACCATGCCAGCTTTTCGTGTTCATCTTAATACTTTTACCACAGATGTATGTATCCCTAAAATATGTATATTATGTATAGTATTGTTCTTTATGTTTAACATTTACATAAATGGTATACTGTCCATGTCTTTCTGCAACTTGCATTGTTTTTACTCACCAGAATCTAAGAGGTGATTGCTGATTTGTTTAGTTTTATTTCATTCATTCTTTTCTTTTTTATTGAGGTATCACATCTGTACATTGAATACACAACTCCAGTGCCCGACTCAAAACCTCCACCCAGATCAAGGTGGAGACCATTTCCAGCACCCCGTAGTCTCTGTGCCCCTCCTAGCTCATACCTCTCAGAGGCAACCACTGTCCTGACCTCCAGCACCATCAATTAATTTTGTCTGTCTTGAACTTTATATAAGTGGAATCACACATATGTACCCTTTGAGTGTGTCTTTTATTTTTGGTACAATATTGTGTCTGTGAGCCTCATCCAGTGTGTTGCATGAAGCAGTAGTTTTGTCTTTGTCATGGGTATATAGTGTTCTGTTGTGTGAATATAACATTTGTGATATTGTGAAATATATTTGGCCTTAGTCCTCTGTTCTTGACATAAAACTCCTAAAATATTTGGTATCTTCAAAGTGATGTGTCCTTTTGTATGCAAATGAGTTGACTGGTGGCTAGTAACTCTGGGTAGCTTCAGGATGGGGGCTGGTCACTGGAAAGACCAAGGCAGGATTAGAGGGTTGGGACTTTCATCCCACCCTTAACATCCAACAAGAGGAGAGGGTCCTCCATGCTGCTGGTCAGTGTCTACTGGGAGTCTTTCCTGCCCTCGGCCTAGGATGGGCCTCTGCTCTGTGTTCCTGAGGCTCCCTGTATTTCTTCTGGAGCACTACTCATCAGAACTGGACAAAGCCAGGTCAGTTCCCTGTGGTATCAATCCACAAGGCCTGCAAAAACATCACTGTGATAAATAAACTGGAAGTATGATAGCAGGTGGCTCGAGTTTCCACACATGTACCTCTATCTGTGTAACTGGTGAAATATACATCAGTGCTGCAGAAATTTGGGAGGAGATCAGGAGACACTCTCTTCTCCTTACAGAATCTAGAAGTAATTAATTGGCACTTTTTTTTCTTTTTCTTTTTCTTTTTTCTTTTTTTTTTTTTTGAGATGGAGTTTCGCTCTGTCGCCCACACTAGAGTGAAGTGATGCGATCTTGGCTCAGTGCAACCTCTGCCTCCTGGGTTCAAGCAATTCTCCTGCCACAGCCTCCCAGGTGACTGGGATTACAGGCACCCACCACCATGCCCAGCTAGTTTTTGTATTTTTAGTAGAGATGGGGTTTCACCATGTTGGTCAGGCTAGTCTCGAACTCCTGAGCTCAAGTGATCTGCGCGACTCAGCCTCCCAAAGGGTGGCATTACAGACGTGAGCCACTGCAGCCGGCTTATTGGCGCTTTTTGTACGGCAATGAGCAAAAGATTCAGAACTCTAAGAGTCAGATTTCATTTGAAAGGTTTTTCAATAATTATCTTTATGTCCTATTTCAGTCATTTATTCATTTAACAAACATTGAGTGAAAACTGGCTATGTGTCAGACATTGTTCTCAGCACTTGGGGGTGTGCCATGATGAGCAAACCAGGCCAACATCTATGTGCTTATAGAGTTTGCATTCTTAATGTTTTAGTAAAGTCATTAATTAATAATCAGACATTGTCTACATGGTTTCTTGGCTCTCCATCGACAAGATTTTTCTATTTCGATTCTAAGCTTCTGAGCAGTGGCCACCCCTCATGAGCTAGGCAAGATAGACAAATGGCCAAGAGTCTTGGCCCAAAAGACAGGGATTTTTCCAAGGGTCTCCTGACACAAATGGTCCAGTTCCTACCACAGTAAACAACACTCTTAAGTGGAAATGTAAAATCTTTCCTCACAAGCACCTCTCATCTCCAGGGAGTTTCCTTTTTTAAATTTATTTTAATTTTTAGAGATGAGATCTCACTGTGTTGCCCAGGCTAGAGTGCGGTGGCTATTCACAGGTGCGATGATAGCACACTACAGCTTCAACCTCTTGGGCTCAAGCAATCCTTGTGCCTCAGCCTTTGGAGTAGCTGGGAGTCCAGGTGTGTGTGACTGTGCCCTGCTCCAGGGAGTATTCTTGGAGTGTGCATGTGCAGGATGCTTTGTACTTGTAGACTGACCTGGACCATCAGCTCTGACCCCTGCCCCAAATAGCCCTTTAAATCAGCAGCAATCACCTCAGCTGCAAAGCCAATGTGCAAAAATGCATGGGCTAGTGCTGCTTACTTGGAAGGAGTGATTTGTTTTAAGTAAGTTCAAACCTATTAATATGCCTCCCAAGAAGTTAACTATTCAGAAAACTGATTCCTCTCCCCTGCAAAAAATACAAATAAAAAATGAAAAGCAACAACTCCAAAAATGCAGGAAACATCTCACCTCCATGAAAGTAAAAACAAACAAACAAAAACCCTTAAGATATCTTTTAAAAGACTTTGAAGCTATATTCATGTAAGTTACATCTATCTATGGTAAGCAAGTGAGTAACGTTATCCAGGTGTGAAAAACCATGAAGTAAAAAACGATTCAGAAAACATTGCTTTCAGTCCATGTAATAAATGCCTTATTTTACCTTGAAATTTAAGGAGAAACTCATTCTTAGATGCTAACCACACCCACCCACCCCATCCTAAGTCTTTGCATCCCCCAAAACTATAGCTCCTCCAGATAATCTCTCCTCCATGATTCCAACTCTCCTTGGACTGGCCAGCCTGGAGGATGGTAATGACTCACCAATACTGCTAATGTTTGCGTCATTGTCCCTTATTTATTCCCTTCCAGGCTCATGACTCTTGTCTTTGATATAGAAACCCTGTCTGATGAAGCATCATTTCAGAATTTTAAGTCAACTTACAAGTGTGCTATTATTCACATCTGAGCACAAATTTAGGACTACTATTATTTCTTGAGTACTATTATTTCTTGAGTATTTACAAAGATCACTATTGTTGTATAAGAACTGGTCTCAACATTAATTGGTAGCAATACATAATCCACTTTATCCAATAAAACCGTTTCAGTTTTCAAAAACAAATAAATAAATGCCTTACTTTAAGTGTACAGGAAGAGGCACACGCTTAACAGAACACTTATTTCTCCCAGGCTTCATTAAATTAATGCTGAATAAATATTTAAAGAATAGTAACTTGAAGGGGCCCCAATGTGGCCCTCATTCTTTGAATTGATTCCCTAAACAAATGTGTTGGTTTATGATCAAATTCACAGAACTCCAGCCCATGGTAATTGACTGGACAGGGTGGATGCATGACCCAAGCTGGGCCAATCAGATTCTTTTTCCCCAGCAAACTGGGGGAACTGGACTCCAGAGGCAGCCAGCGAGTCTTCAGGTGTGTCTGGAATTGAGAGATTGGTAGACACTTACGTGTTGTGGGGGCCTCCTGCTACATGAGTGAAGAAACGAGAAAAAGTCTGCAGTCAAAAAAGTAAATCAGGCACACAGTGCTAAGCAGAGATAAGGGATGAAGAAAATTATTATTGCTCATGTTCTTGAAGATTTGATACTTCGTGGTTCTACTATTTCAAGAAGCCAGGATGTGTGTGGATTCCATGAGACGCTACTATATATTGGAAATAAGCCCCCTCCCCGTTTCCAAGCTAGCTTAGCTCAATTTTTAGTATTTGTAAACCAACGAGTCTTAACTAAGACATACACTATTCATATGTTAGGAGGTAAGATCATAGCAATCTGCCTAGGGCAATACCTTGTTGATGACCATCCAAATCCCAGCCAGATTCACCCATGTAGGCAAAAGCCAGCCTGCTAAGGCTTTCTGTCTCTCACCTATTGGGTAAGAAAAGAACAAACTAGAGGGGTATCTTCTGCTTTAGATAGGGCAGGGCTTGAGCTGAAGCTGGACTTGACTTTGAGAGTCTTGAATCTTTCACCTGAAAGAGACGTGTGGATTCAAACAGGACAAAGAACAGTAATTTCTATGCCATTTCTGAATAGAGAATTGA
Organism: Homo sapiens; assembly: GCF_000001405.40. Taxonomy (NCBI): domain Eukaryota; kingdom Metazoa; phylum Chordata; class Mammalia; order Primates; family Hominidae; genus Homo; species Homo sapiens. The sequence continues at coordinate 103,860,489 of NC_000010.11, read as the reverse complement.
AAAAAAAAAGACAGGATAAAACCAAAACCAGATTCATATTTTTGGTTATTTGTGGCTTCAGGCTATTTTTAAAGAAACTGCCTTTGAATTCCCCCTGGTATTTTTCTTTTCTATTCTTTTTGTCTTCCAGAGGCCAACTCAGGGTTTGCTGGATTCTGGAAAATCCAGGGGATTTTGAAAAAGAAAATCTGTGGTGGTTTATCACTAAAACAGAACTATACAGGCTGATCTTTTATACCCAGATGATGCTGGCAACCCCCTCCCAGCCAGGAATACACGTCAAGGTGTGTTCAATTGTTGAGATAGACTGTATGAAACCACCCACACTCGTTCCTGAAGGTCTTAAAACACAATGCACTAGTTTGGGGGCCAGATGTCTGGTCAGGGTTAGGGATGCAGCCTGGAGTTATGGAATAATATTGTTTTCCTCTGTGAATCTAATTATGCCCTTGGCCTCTTTGGCTGTGCAAGTTCCCGGATTTCCCTCTGGTATTCCAGGGCGTGACCACTTGCTAAGGCTGGAATTTCAAGTGGTTCTATCAAAACCTGCTGCTGCACACGGACCCTCACCGGAATCCAGGCTAAGACAGGAGAGTGAGACTCTCAAGGGACCGTGTAAAGAAGCATGTTGAGATTTTGCTGATGAACTTACTGTGCTGGGTGTCAGACGGAGGCGGCTTCCACCATCTGGTAGTTTGGCAACAGGAGGGGCCTGTTAGTATGGCTAAAATTCGTGAACAGTGGGGCTGGGTGGTAGGGCAGTTCTGGGGCCATATCCTGGTCCTGTTCCCCAGCAAGGAGAGGAGAAGCCTGACAAGCAATTTACTTCCCTGGGCAGTTGGCCTTGCTGTCTGCTCCACACTCCGGTGGGACCGTCCTCAAGACACTCCCCAAACATAAGTCAATAAATATATCAGGGCTGATTTGAGAGAGAAAGGGAGTGGGGGAGAAGAAAAAGGAGGAGGAGGATGAGAAGAAGCAGAGACAGAAGCATGAGCGCTGGACCGCTTACAGTCTGTAGAAGGGCAGGTTATTCGTCCCAGGCCCTCCTGCCTGTCCCTGTGGCAGGAGGTAAAAGTGCTAAAACCACTTTGGCCAGAAGAGGGCCCCAAATTTCACTCAAATTTACACAACTCGGGGAGAGTCTTGCTAGACCTCAGTTTATGTAAGTTATCCACCACTGTACAGCATGGAAAGGGCCAGAAAGAGCACCAGAGACCCAGACGTGGGAAAGAACTTCAAGGTCACAGGCTGGTTTGTGGTTAAGCCAGGAGTAGAACCCAGGTTGGGTAATTCCTGCTCTGAGACTCCAATTCTTCTTCTTCTTAGGCATTACTTAGCCCCAGCATTATCTACAAATATCTGCTGAGATCCCAGTAATTTAAAAAGACAACCATTTATTGAGGGCCTGGCATGTATAAAGCTCTGCGCTGGGTGGGCAGGTGTGTGTGGCAGGTGACAGAGGTGCTGGATGATGGGGGTGGGGAGGGAAAGGGTGGTGTCCATGTCTAAGTTCATGGTCCTCAAGGCCTTCAAAGGCTTCTTACTGGTTTAGAAGGCACAACCTAAAGCACAGGAAAGTTAAATAACAATAAAAGATATAAATAAGGTTCAATACAGTGAAGGCTGAGCTGTCATAGGGTGATGTATGATTAGTAAACAAATGTATGATTAGCAATTGTCATTCGATTTCTGAAGAGGAAGAGAAGGTTCTCTTGTGCTTTCATATAGCCCACTGTGGTTTCCAGTACTTTCCTGCATGTTGTCTTCTTTGGGGGTGGTCACAAAGACCCTACATGGGAGAGGAGGTAGGGCGGGTTCTGCTTTAGGGGAGCTGATGGAATTTGCACGTACACAGAGGACCATGGAGACACACACGGCCTCTGCTCTAGAGGATTGTACAGTCCTCTTTATTGGGAAGTCCAGGCATCACGAGTTCATATGCTTGTGTGAATGGAGAACTGGAACCAGGGACTCCAGGGTTTGAGTGAATGCAACATTCTAGACCTGCAGGTGTGCTAAGTGTGCCCTTTAAACAAGCTCTTCTTGCCCTAGTATAGGCACATAAATGTGGAGGGGAAAGACAGCGGGCTTTGGACTAACTGGCTATGTGGCATCAAGCAACTTGCTTAGTTTTTCTTGGCCTTGGTTTCTTCCTCTGTAAAATAAGAGAAATAAATAACCTCTCTTGTCCCTTCTAGTTGGAAAGTTCTTTGATTCTAAGCATTCTACAATTACCTGTTTTCGAAAATCAGATTTTCAGGTATCAGTTTGCATCTTTATGTTGGCTTCTCTTTCCCTTACTTATCCTAAACTTAAAAAAAAATTTGCAATTATATTTTGTCATTTTTAACTCACACAATGTCCTTAGGTTGGAGTCATCTCCAGTTCATGGGCGGAGGTGGCAAAATAGGGGTTTCTCTAATCCTTTCTAGCACTAGCTCTTTGAGCAGATGTTTTCAACACAGGCCATCCTATATACCTACTGTGTGCCACGCATAGTTGGGGTATTTAATGAATGATGCACAGTCCTTGTTTCCAAGGAAACTTCCCCCAGTCTCTGTCATTTTTGGGGGATTGCCAGGCACATGTGAGGCATTCAATAAATGTGTATTGAACAGAAAGGAATTCCCAAGGCACTGTGGGAAATAAATCTGCATGAGGTTGAAATGTACCCAGAGAAGAGATAGCCTGCACCATTTCATACTTAAATCCCCTTGGACATACGGCCCCAGTACAGAAAAGACATTTTTCTCCCACAGGTAGAAATAACTTCTGCCCAGATCTTGGCACCATGGGGTTGAGTGGGGAGCACTCAGTTGCTCCCTCCAATAAAGGTAATTACGGAACAAAGGGGGAAGTTGGGAGTATGCTCAAGTCAGGCTTAAAGGCCTGAATTTATAAAATGTCAAGTTGCAGGGAGTCTTTTAGGCAGGAGAAAGGCTACCACTTTGTAGGCCGCTAGGAAGTGGGGAAGAACTGGGCCCTCTCTCCTACAAATTTATTGTGCTTGGTGTGTTCATTGTGGATCTGGGTCCGAAAGAAGGGTAATAAGGAAACCACTAGTGCTGTTTTAGATGAGCTGACTGCTTTGATTCACAAGGGGACCCAAATCAAACTAAACCCCCTCCTCTTCTTCCCCCCACAACAGCTAAACACCAGCTCCCCTCGCTGGTGGCTTCTCAGGTTTTATTAGCACTTCCAGAAGACTTTGCCATCCACAGAAGACGAGTTATCCGAGAGCCATGATGAATCTCTTCCTCACAAACTCACAGGCTGTCTTGATCCATCATCAGAGAGGACCTGGAGCTGGCCAGCACCCTCCCAAGTTCGGGAGCTCAATATGGAGGGCCCGTTCCAGGTCTACCTCTCATCCCTTCAGGGAATAATCCTTGCTCATGGAGGTAGTGCCCTGTCCTCCCATTTTCCCATCAGCTGAGCAACATTACCAGGTGCACCTTCCCCCAGGACTCCTGCTCCAACATTCACAAAGGTTTTCTGTCATCTTCTCTGACCAAGAAGCTCTGGCCTGGTGCCAAGATCTCTCACAGTCTGAGCCCCCTAGGCCCATCCATCTTTTTTTTTCTTTGTCCCGTGCCATCGTTTGGTGTCCTAGCGCCCTTCCCCAGGAAGGTTGGAGGAATAGTGGGTTACTCTGTATGGAGCAAATATGTGAATAAATAAAGCCTTAGATCTGTGCCTGGGTTCTGACAGTCTAGAGAACGCGCAGAAGAAAGTATTAATGCAATTAGGTCACAAAATTATTTGTCCTCTTTTCAGATGTTTCACATTGGTCCACAGTCACAAAGCTTTATTGTGATTGTGTAACAACTGGAGTAGTTGTGAAAACACTACCCTTTAAATGTTTGAAAGCAGAATGGGAAAAAAATGTTGAACTAGAAGGGGGGAAGCTACATTGAATTAAGTAGTAACTGTGCTCCAAGTCCAGGGACCACGGACAAGTGGCTTGGAAAGTGGGTTTTCCAGACTAGAGGGAGGGGTGAGAATGCCAGAGCCTGGGGCTCACGGTGAGCTGGCCTCCAACCGGGTGGGTTTTCCCACCATTGTATGCTCCTTTCCCTGTCGCCAGCTTGGGGAGGGTCCCCAGGGGAGCCCTGGGCTTAAGGCAGTGGTGTTATGCAGAGTCTGTAACGTTGTCATTGGTAAATGATGCACAGGGTAGTTACACAAGCCCAGATCGATGGACGACTCAGGCAACGAATCGATCACTTTTCCGGGGAGAATTCACCCTTTATGACCTGCAGAGGGTCAGGTGGTTCGTCCAAAGAGGCTCTGGCTTGAAGGATTTAAAGCTGGCCTTTTCCCCATTCCCATCTCCTCCTCGGGGGCCTGGGCAGTAACAGCCGGGTAATAAACTACTTCTCATTAAAGAGATCTGGGGGTGGAAGTTGTAGGGGGACATAAAAGTGGGGACAAAAAGGCACAAATCCGCTCCGAGGCGGAAAGCCAGGATGGGGGCGCGCGGGGCTCACTTTCCCCGCTCCCTCTCCCCCCGAAGCCACCCTGAGTTTTTGTGCCTAGCGAACTAGCCCGGTGCTGCGCCAGGCCGCTGGCTGCGCGCTGGGCTCGGGTGGGGGCTCGTCGGCCCGCCCCTGCCACTGGGGCCGGGCTGCAGCCCCCTCCCCGTCGCCCCGAGCCCCTCCCCCGGCCCGGAGCCCCTCCCCGCGCGCTTCCCCTCTCTCCCCTCCCTCCCTTCCCTTCCCTGCCTGCCAGGCCCTGCCTCCGCCTCCTGCGCCCACAGCCTCCGCCAGCGCCGATCCCCCCGGAGCCCGAGCCGGAGAGCGGCGAAGGGGAGCCGCCGGCCCCTCCCCAGGACGCTGACAGCAGGCTCCGGGGCCCCCGCCCCGTCCCCTCGCCGACGGGACACACCCCCGCCCCTCCTCTGCTCCGCCAGTTCCCGCCGGACCCACCGGGCGGCGGAGAGAGCGAGCGGGCGAGCGCAGCGCGGCGGCCGCGCGGGAGTGAAGGGGCGCGCGGCAGGCCGGCGGGGAGTCCCCCGGGGCGCACGGAGCCCGCGCGCCCTCCGGGACCCTCCCCCGTCCCTGGGCCGGACCTGTGGGCGCCGGGAGTCCGGGCAGCGTTCGGCGCGCCGGGCCGGGGTGGCGGGCGGCCCCGGGACCCCGGCAGCTGGAGAAGGAGCCGGAGCCCGGCCGGGATGAGAAGGTGACGCCGCCGGGGGCGCCACTCGCTTTGTGGGGGAAGATGCTCGCCTACTGCGTGCAGGATGCCACCGTGGTGGACGTGGAGAAGCGGAGGAACCCCTCCAAGCACTACGTGAGTACAGCCCCCGCCGACCCTGCTGGGGGTGGCCCGAGGTCCCGGGAGGGCCCCGGATGGCCCCTTGCCCCTCCCAGCTGTGAGGTCGCGAAGCTAAGCGCCCACTGGGCAGCCAGCAGCCGTGGAGTTTCTTCGCAGGGCTGTGATCTCCAGGGAAGCCTCTTCTGTCCTTCCTCCTTCGCACCCCCGCCCCCCCGGTTTCTTTTTTTGGCATTGGAATTGGCAAGTGGCTGCCCTTGTCTGTTACAACGGTGAAGTCATCTGTCCGCCTTTGATGGATGGTGGGGGGAGCTTTCGTCAACCCCTCACAGAGCAGCCCCGTCGGGAAAGCGCATCTCCTCGGCCCTCCCCAGGGGCCCTGGGCGCTCACGCTCACACAGCCCGAGATGCTTTCAGAGCTCGCCCTGGAGAAGGAAGCCTCGCGCCCTGCCTCCCACGCCAGCTCTGTCTCTGCCTTCCTAGGCCTGGGGCTGGGGGCAGAAGGAAGCCGCCGCCCCCTTGCCCAACCTCCACCCTCCGCGCTAAGCTTTGATTTCCCTCATAAAGCCATTGTGTCCGTCGGTGTGAGGAGAATTGTGGCTTTTCCTTTTATCCCTCCTCTGGACGTGACCCTTAACCGGGTTCATTTCCTCTTAAGTGATGCTCCATCTCCAGACACGAGGAGGCGAATGTTTGCTGTGGTCTCCGAGGAACCGCCCCTCCCCCTTCCTCCCCCAAACTTTAATGAGAAGGGGTTAAGGTTGACTGGGGCAGCTCCAGAGCCTATGTGACAGTTCCCCTTTCATCTCAGCCGGTCCTGTCTTCCCATCCCTCACACCTTAGGAAGTAAACACGGTGTCCTTGACCCCTCTGAGCGTCTGTGCTCCTGTACTTGAGATAGAAGAGACCCAAGCACAGAGGACTGCATGTTATTTGCAAATTGGGTATTTAGAGGAGCAGTTCCAGTGCTCAAAGCATTAATCTTAACAGTTAAAACAGGCGCTGGTTGCTGCCCTGGATTGTACATTGATCTCTGAAGTGCCTTTTCTTCCACTGTTGCAAAGGGACTGGGGTTTGTGGCAATGTCAGCCTCGGGCTACTCTTTTTGCCTTTGTCACCAGTGTAGCTCTGAACTTTGAGTTTCTTTACAGCTGAGCAAATGCGGCTGGGCTCATATGGGGAGGAGGTAAATGTGGAGGCAGGTTGACTAGGCAGGGAGGTGGGTGCCTGTCGGGTCCAGTCCCTGACACCCTTAGAGAGTTGTTTCTTTTGTGTCATCTGGTCCAGCAAGCATTTTCTGCTGCTGTTACAAGAAAGCTCTTTTTGGAGGGCTTGGGTCACCAGGTGGTCAACCTGCTCTGTGGACAGATGTCCCTTTGTATATCCCAGGGTTTATTTTTCTCAAATGTTGCAGGCTAAGTTTTAAGGGTTCTCATTTGTAGTCCTCAGCTGAGCTTGGCACTGCATTCAACAGATGGCACTCTGCTCTGAGACCCAGGCAGGTGCGTTTCCAACTCTGGATTTTAAATGAAACATCACATTTCAGCTCCCACCGATGGTGCCCAAGGTTGCAGATGCAGGACACACTGGTAACAAACTAGAACCGGGGCCCACTGCAGACAGGATTGAAAGGCAAGATTGCGTGCTGGGGTTCTGAAGTTAGACGGTCTTGCTCAAAGCCTGGCATGCAGCCAGTAACTAGCTGTGCCACCTTGGCAAGTTATTTAAACCTCCCCCAGCCTCAGTTTACTCAATTTCAAGTAAGGATAATAATAGTATGTACTTGTTGGGAGAATTAAATGAGATCATCTATGTAAAGCACTTAGCCCAGTTCCTGGCACGCAGTAAGCTCTTATTAAATGGTAGCTTATTATTGGTGAGATTCTGACTAAGAAAGTATTTTTGAAAAGCAGCTATTAATGGTCTGGCAAAAAGGAAGAAAGATTTTGGGTTTTAAGATTGATAATAACTTGTTCTATGTGAAAAACACAAAAGAAGTCCTGTCCAGTTCCCTCGAAATGATCATTTCCTTCCTTTTTACAGACAAAGTGTTTCCCGGGACATCTCCGCTTCCCGAGTAAGAATCGATGACATTATGTTTGGGGGGGCAGGGAGTGATGTCACTGAACAGATGGGGCCATGCAGAGTTCTGAACTAGAGTTCTGGAAAACACTGAGAGGAGAAAGTGTTACATGTTGTGGAATTGTGGAACGGGCAGAGACCCGAAGACTCATCTGGCTCAACTCCTTCATTTTACAGATGAGGAAATGGAGAGCCAGATTGGGTAAAGTAACTTGCAACACAGCTGCTCACAGCTGGGTTTTTTTCATTGCATGTACCCTAAGTCCAGTTGGGTTTGGCTAAGAGGACAAATAACTGGTGGTCAAAAAGTTTCTACCCATTTGGGGCATTGTATATATTAATACATAACATAAGCATATCCAATAATTGAAAGGGGGAAAGAAAGCAATAGAAAGGGCCTGGTGGGACAGACAGGGGCAGGAGGAGCGGGTTTGGGGAGGCTGCAGCCTCTTCCTCTCCTGGCCCTTGCACGGTGAATACCACACACCAAAAGCTCAAGTGTTGTGAGTAAGGCCCTCTGGTGTGGTCAGCTGGCAGGACGTGCTGCACCCATTGCCTGTGTTCTGGAAACCCTCTACACTGGAGGAGCAAGCCTCCTTCCAGCCTTTCCTCTGCTGATGGTGAATTCTGAGTCTGTGGTTTGGTAAATTGCAGAGCAGAGAGGTTTTACGGGATGTGCGTGTTAGCCAGAGCTAGCCGATGAGAGGCCTGGGGCCCACGCAGGAGGAGCTCTGCTGGCTCCAGAGTGCTGGGAACACACTGCAAAGGTTCTCTCAGGACATTCTGCAAAGGGTTTGCTCATCCCCACGGGGAGGGGGAGCTGCCTGAACACGAAGGGTCCTGTGCTTTCGGTCAGTTCATGAAGGCACGCAAGTAGCTTCCATCATGGGGATGGCACTCAGCCCTGGCTTCCTTCTTCTCTGCCAGGCCCCTGCTTGGGGTGGGGTTGAGAAGGGCAGGCAGCTGCTACTAAGGTCAGGCTCCCTGGCATGAAGCTAGGCTCCTTTCCTGGCTTTCTGAGCTGTGCCTGGGGAGACCCTAGGTAAACTGGCTTTGGCCTCTGACCGCTTGTCTTGAAAATGGTCCTGATGATGCTGGATGCAGAATGCAGATTCCTTCGTTTGAAAGTTTTTCAGTAAAGATTTGAATTCAGGTCCACCGGGTTCTTTGTGCTCACAGGCAGGTATAGGTATATATCAATTCATGTGGTAGAGAAAAGCTCGTTTATCTAAAACAAACAAGAAATTGTATCTATTTGGATTTGGGAGGTATTGCACTTTCACAGTTGTTTTATTTCCTGATTGTTTATTTCAGACAAATACCAATCATGAATGTTCTGATCCTCTGCAGGACTCTTTGGGGAATGCAAATAATAGCCAGTTTAGCAGTTACCATCGATGGTGAAACATACTTAACACTCGTGTTTTCGTGTGATTCCTGCAGGTCATTGAATGTACCCTAATGTGGGGTAGGTTTTTGGATTCTGTTTTACAGATGAATTAACTGCAACTTGGAGCAATTCACCAACTTGCTTAGGGTCTCGCAGCTGGCACAGGGCAGAGCTAGGGCAATGCAGGTCAGGTTAGCTCCAAAGGAGGATGTGGATATAAGGTGGGGCCCTTCTCTTCAATTAGAATCCGGGCAGGAAGGCCAGGCTCAGCCCTGTTCCATGGTGACAGAGCAGTACAGGGTTGTCTTTAGGACTGCCTCACTGTAGAGACATCTACCATGTGCCCTGCAGGTGAGTTCATGGTGGGCAACGCAGGCGGGTCACTGTGAGGCAGGAGGAGTAGAGCAACTTCAGGCTGGTATCTGGTCCCCAGTAATGCTTAGGGTAATAAATTAAGGGTTGACCTTGTGGACATAATATATTCTTCCTCTGTTTAGATCATCCCAGATTTTATTCTTGGTCCTGGGAGCTACATGCTTAGGAATTGGCCCCAAACTCATTCATTTCTGTGCCCTTCTTTTTTTTTTTTTTTCTCAGCCCTTAGATTGTGACTCCAGCCCCACAGGAATGAGAATGTGCAGCCACAGCCTGCAAGGGTCTTTTTCAGGGCCAGTTCCATTATGGAATGAGTATGGTGTTGGGCAGATCAGTGCTTGAATCCTACCTGTGGCACTTCCTAGTTGTGCAACCTTGGGCTGTCACTCTGAGCCTCAGTCTCCTCACCTGTAACTTCACAGGGCTCTTGGGAAGTTGGCCTGAGATAATTTGGGGTAGTGTCTACCCAGTGCCTGACCTCACCATGGACATGCACCATATACTAGTTGCCATCTGCTGTTCCTGATCACCAAGGCACTGCAGGTGATTTAGGACCCAATCGGTCAATCTGAGAGAAAAGGAAAGACTGAGGCAAGAAGGACGGCCCAGCTTTTCACAGTCTGATGGGGAAGTGGGTTACACGCCCCATGGAAAACACCCAGCCTCCAAGAGGAACAGATAAACACAGAGCAGCTGTTCAGACCTGGAGGGGTTCCTGGAGCTGAGCATTGGGATCTGGTGGTGGCTTTCTGGTAAGCTGGGAAGAAACAGAGGTTAGGAGAGAAGGAAAGAGGTTGCTCTGGGTAAGGGCAAGGTCAAATAGGATCCTAGCCCCAAGGTCAGCACCACACATGGGTTAACACTCTTGCCTGCTCTCTCTGTCCCTCTGTCTCTCTTACACATGCACAAGCATGGGAACGGTTTCTTCTCTGGGGAGGGAAGTGATCGAGGGGTGATTCACGGGTCTGACAAGGCTCCCTGCTCATGGAACAACCAACCACACCCTTCAAGGCTGTTGGAACAGGGAGCACAGCCAGCCATTTATCGCAACCCTGTGTTGAGCTGAGTGAGGGCTTTTGGGGGGCAAACCAGGGTAGAAATTACCATGTGTGGTGGCAGGCAGAGGGGAAGGGAAGAGAAGGGAAAAATAAACCTATTTGATGTCAGAGGAGACCGATTCCAGCCCAGAAATACAAGCCCCAGCTGCTGCATTTTCCAAAGAGATATTCCGGGGCCAGCATGAGTTAACTGACCGTGGAGGCTATGAATTAGGGAAGTGTTGTTAGGACTTCTGACTTTGGGTTTGCACAGCAGTTCCCTGTAAATTGCCTTCTAATTGCCTCAGCCTGAGTCACTGACCAGACTATTTCTTGGCCAGAAAAAGTCTAATGGGCAACTGTGTTCTCTTTTACCTCTTAATTAAACAAAATGAAACAAATAATAGAGTTATACACATGGTAGTCCCACTTACTCCTCTCGAGTTCTGAGAATCCAGGAAAGGGATAGTAGATTAGGATAGGGACCCAGGGGACAGGAAGGACAAGGGGTGTGTGTGGGAAATGAGGTGGAGATTCTGGCTTTGGAAATAGGTTCTGAGTGAGGGCCAGAGGTGTTCTCTGCCATGACAATTGCCAAAAATAATGGAAGCGCCCAATAGAGTGATCAGGGCTTCCAGAGGCGGATTCCCAGAGCAGCGTGCTACTTCCTGCCTGGCCCGGGCTTCTGCTGCCTGTAGTGCAGCCAGTCACAGGTGGGCAGGTGAATGGAAGGTCAGGAGCCTAGCTGTGAAGGGGATGGGGGTCACATGAGGATCCCTCTTGTGCCTCTGGGTAACCCCCAGGCAAGTCACCATATCAGCCGCAGAGACTGAGCCCCTGCTGTGTGCATGGTGCCGGTCAGAGTCCAGCAAGGCTGTCCAGACCCCATAAGAAGGGGGAGAACTAACATACAAGCACCTACTATGTGCCAGGCAATGCAGAAGATGCCTTTAGAGGCGATTTTACTTGAACCTCATAACAACCCCATGCGGTTAGGTAGGTGTTTTTATTCCCATTTTATAGATGGGGAAATTGAAGCTCGGAGGGTTCGTATCATTCTACTCAGAGTAATTCTGTGGCAGGGCTGGGATTCTCACCCTGGTCTCTGACACCCACATCTGTGAGTGCCACTTCTTCCCCATCAGAGCTGGCTTGGTGAGAGAGAAAATAACCAGTGAGTCCAGGCAGCACCACCTGGGGATGAGGGGTGCACCTGGGAGGCTGTGTTGTCCCAGAGCACCTGTGTGCCGTATCCCTTGGCTGAGCATTGGGATATCCTGGCCCCACCACTCGCTGCCGTGGGATACAGTGCAAGTTACTTATGTCTCTGAGCCTCAGTTTCCTCATCAGTAAAAAAAAAAAAAAAAAAAAAAAAAAAAAGAATATATGGGGAAAGTTGGACCTAGCTCTTAGGGTTATGATGAAGATGAAATGAGTTTGTAATTGTAAAGAGCTTAGACCGGTACCTGGCGCCTTATGGAGCTCAGCATAAGTATTTGCTTTCACAATCACTAAGTCCTGAAGCTGTTCAGAGGAGGGAGAGCACTCTGTGAACTGGAGTTTCCAGGGAAGACCGACTGGAGAAGGCAGCTTCATGATGGACCTTGAGGTGTAATTAGGATTTGGCTGGGAAAGAGTAGGATTTAGATGGGAAAACTGGGGAAGGGCATTCCAAGAAAGAGAAAAGCAAAGGTGCTGGAGGTGGAACGTGCAAGGAAAAGCTGGGCAAAGCCGAGGGTGGATGAGGGAGAGAAGGATGACAGGAAAGCTCAGGGCCAGCTCTGAGAGGCTCCGATGGCAGCAGAGGGAATTCAGTTTATTCTGTAGACACCTTGGAACCTTCCTTTTCTCCCAAGGGCTTGGCAGGGAGAGGGAGCTAAATAGTCACTTTGAGGTCCTCCCGGTGGGCTCCAGCGCTGTTTTTGCGACTGTGCCTGGAACAGAGCTAAGTAAGGACTGGAACCTTTTTCTAGCTCTGCCTGGGGGACTCTTTAGTTGGCCAGCTGGGTCCCACCCCTCCTGTTTACAGCTCTCACTCCTAGGGGTCTGGCTTCCCCATAAAAAGTTGATTGCACCCAGGCTCCTGGGGAGGAAGGGTTGAGGAGGAGGAGGAGGAGGAGAGGGAGCAGCAGGAAGTGAGGTGTCAGCTGCTTTGGGTCTTAACTAGCTTGGGAGGGCCTGATGCAGCAGCGTTTCAGGTGGAGTAATTTCCATCCACACTCCCCCAGTGGCAAGAGCGAGAATGCGCCCATCCTCGTAGGTTCTGGGGGCCAATACCTCACAGTCTGAGGGGAGCCCAGCATGTCTGTGTCTTCTGAACCATCTACACTAATGTTGCCTTCTACTTCAGGATCTCTCTGAACTTGTTTTAGTTGGTTTTTTTTTTTTTTGAGTTGGGGTCTCGCTCTGTCACCCAGGCTGGAGTGCAGTGGTGCGATCTCGGTTCACTGCAGCCTCCGCCTCCCGGGTTCAAGCGATTCTCGTGCCTTAGCCTCCCAAGTAGCTGGGATTACAGGCATGCACCACCACACGCAGCTAATTTTTGTATTCTTAGTAGAGGTGGGGTTTTGCCATGTTGGCCAGGCTGGTCTCGAACTCCTGACCTCAGGTGATCCACTCGCCTCAGCCTCCCAAAGTGCTGGGATTACAAGTGTGACCCGCTGCGCCTGGCCTGAACTTGTTTTAGTTTTAAATGCAGTGCTTCAGCTGGGCATGGTGGCTCATGACTGTAATCCCAGTGCTTCAAAAGGCCAAAGTGGGGAGGATCACCTGAGGCCAGGAGCTCAGACCAGCCTGGACAATGTAGCAAGACCCCATCTCTACAAAAAAATTAAAAAATAAGCCAGAATAAGCCAGGTGTGGAGGCATGCGCCTGTAGTTCCAGTTACTCAGTCGGCTGAGATGGGAGGATGGCTGGAGCCCAGGAGGTTGAGCCTGCAGTAAACCGTGATCACACCACTGCACTCCAGCCTGGGTGACAGAGTGAGACCCTGTCTCAAAAAAAAAAAAAATTCTAAAAAGCTAGGCATCGTGATGAACACCTGTAGTCTAGCTACCCGGGAGGCTGAAGTGGGAAGATCACTTGAGCCCAGGAATTGGAGGCTGCAGTGAGCTATGATTATGCCACTGCATTCCAGCCTCGGCAACAGCAAGACCCTGTCTCTAAAAACAAATAAGTAAATGCAATGCTTCAAACTACCTCTTCATTTATTTGACCTCTACCACACTCCCAGATAGTCTAGTAAACCTTATTCTTAGGGAAAATGTAACAATAAAAATAACAGCTGACCTTTCTAAATGTTTTCTATGTGCTAAGCATCTCATATGGATGTTCTCAGAACAGCCCCACGCAGCATGTAGCTCCCACCAGCATCCATACTGTACAGGTGACAGCACAAAGGCTCAGAGAGCTCAAATGAATTGCCAGATGCCACGCAGCTGATGAGCTGCATGTGGAGAGGCCTGCACTGACCCAGGTCTGCTGGCTCCAAAGCCTGCCCTGTCCCCACAGAGACCGCTTAATGACACATTACACACCCAGGATGCCTGGGCTCCATGGTTCCACCTTAGGCCTAGTTGGTTGGCTCCTCAAGCCGTGAGATCTTCCACATGTCACCTCCCCCTTCTAGAACTACATTTGCCCATCTAGAAAATGGTGCAACTGTTTCTTTTCAGGCTTGCCTTGCAGAGCGGAGGGCAGGTATAACAGCTGCTTTGGAAAGCACTGAGCCCAGAGATGATAGCTGTGTGAGGAGGTCCCTTGATCCCCCAGTCTGGGTTCTTAATTATCTAGGGCAGGGATGCTATACAAAGTGAGTTGTTCCTGACCCCAGGGAATTTTTAAACAAGGTTCACCTGCCCAGCCACCTCTCCTGAGAAGCCTCATAGACAGAGTCGACTCAGGAGTACTTAGGCTCTTAGTGAAGATCTCTTCTAGAAAACGGCCTCTGGTTTTCCTTCTTTCCAAACCAATCATTTTTTTGTGAACAGGAAAAGACAGAGTTATTCCCAGTCCCATCTCTCCCTGCTGTTACCTGAGCGGAGGAAGTGATATCTAAGTGGCTGAGTTAGCAAAGGGGAAACAGCTGTGGTTTCTGCCACTCCACTGGGCTGCTTTCTCTGTCCCTGTGCTGTCATTTCCCTTTGGCTGGCGAGGAAGCCACCCTCCCCAAGCCTGGGCGGAGGCCCATGGCTGGGTCGGGGTAGACTCTGTGTGTGTGTGTCAATGCAGCATAAATTATGCAGTGGGGCGGGTGGGACAATTTAGCCTGTTTCTGGGATCCCTGGAGCATGAACTTTAGACCTGTTGGAAACTGATCACTCTTACCTGATCTGACCACAACTTCAGGGAGTCAGGAATGGAAGTAATGCCCCATGTTGAGAATGAACTTGCAGGGTGTACCAGGTGGGGTAGGGATTGATGGAGTGTGGGCTGGTTTGCACTTTTGCCTATCACTGTGTGGTCCCTGATGGAGAACCTACGTTGTTTTCCTTTTTTGAGGCGTACTCTCACTAAAGGAGACCTTGGCACGTATTGTATCACCATCATCATCATAGAGCTGTTACAGGAAAGGGGTCCCGATCCAGACCCCCAGAGAGGGTTCTTGGATCTCCAGCAAGAAAGAATTCAGGGCAAGTCCATAGAGTAAAGTGAAGGCAAGTTTATTAAGAAAGTAAAGGAATAAAAGAATGGCTGCTCCATAGACAGAGCAGCCCCGAGGGCCACTGGTTACCCATTTTTATGGTTATTTCCTGATGATATGCTAAACCAGGGGTGTATTATTCATGCTTCCTCTTGTGAGACCATATAGGGTAACTTCCTGACATTGCCATGGCATTTGTAAACTGTCATGGTGCTGGTGGGAGTATAGCAGTCAGGATGACCAGAGGTCACTCTCGTTGCCATCTTGGTTTTGGTGGGTTTTAGCCGTCTTCTTTACTGCATGCTGTTTTCCCTTTTTTTCTTTTTCTTTTTCTTTTTTCTTTTTTTTTTTTTTTGAGATGAAGTCTCGCTCTGTCGTCCAGGCTGGAGTGCAGAGGCGCAATCTTGGCTCACTGCAACGTCCACTTCCTGGGTTCAAGTGATTCTCGTGCCTCGGCTTCCCGAGTAGCTGGTATTACAGGCGCACACCACCATGCCCGGCTAATTTTTTGTTTTTTTTTTTTTGGTGGAGATGGGGTTTCACAGTGTTGGCCAGGCTGATCTCGAACTCCTGACCTCAGGTGATCTGCCTGGCTCAGCCTCCCAAAGTTCTGGGATTACAGGTGTGAGCCACCACGCCCAGCCTACTGCATACTATTTTATCAGCAAGGTCTTTATGACCTGTATCTTCTGCTGACCTCCTGTCTCATTCTGTGACTTAGAATGGCTAAACATCTGGGAATGCAGCCCAGTAGGTTTCAGCCTTGTTTTACCCAGCCCTTATTCAAGATGGAGTTGCTCTGGTTCACATGCCTCTGACACAGCTACCACATATTGAATTCCCATTTTGTGCCAGGCATTGCATGGCCTTTGATTTATAACCTCTGGCCCCAGGGTGGCCATGAAGGTATGCATTTTTAACCCCATTTGACTCATATGGAACCTGAGGTTTGGAGAGTGCAGGTAGCATTGTTAAGAAAGCACAAACCCAGGCAGATGTGACCTCCCTCCCCTTCCCCAGCCTGCGCCTGGTTCTACACCATCACTGTGTCTTACACACTTGGTCCCTTTTCAGGGCACCCAGGGCTACAGGGGCTTCTGTGAGAAGGTGCTCCTCATGGGGAACTTGCCCTGGTTGCTTTTGCCCATCTAAGTGTTCAGAGCATATAGGGATTGTCCCTGTCCTTTGAAGTGACTGCTTTGTAAACTCTTTCATGATAGGCCCAATTCTGACCCAGCGTTATCCCATTTCCTGATGGCCCAGACCCAAAAGGCTATTTTAAGGGACTTGCCTGTGTGGGAGAATTTCTCTCTGTAACAACAGAGGAGGAGGCCTGGCCGGCCTGGCATGGGGCTGGCAGTGGAGCTCCGAGAGGGTGAAACTCTGTCCTGAATTCTGCCTCCTGGGCTGGAACAGATTAGTTGAGCCCTCAGCGCAGTGCCTGGCACCCAGAAGGGATAGAATCACTTCTTGATGAGTGTGAGATTCCCAGAGGTGGCAGCCCAGGGATTTCTGCTGGTCAGAGCCTCAGTGGGCTGGCAAACTGATGCTTCTCTTGCAGAGTTAAGGTCCGTAATAGAACAATGTCTGCACTTTGGTCTCAAGCTGGGATTAATTACTGACTTTAGTCATCACTCATTGGCAACTTGAAGCAAGCAGCCTCATGTTTTTTGTTATTTCTGAACGTGGCAGCTCCCAGGCAGGGGAAGTGGGGATGTCAGGTTAGAGAATGTATGGGTGGAGTCCATTTTAGATGCAGGCACTTGTCTCATTTAATCCCCACAGCAAACCCTGGTCATCATCTGTGTTTTATAGGGGAGGAAACTGAGGCTCAGGGAGGTGCAGCATCTTGCCCCATCACTGGCAGCAACAGTGGGAGCCAGGGTTGCATCCCAGATCTCTTCAGGAACAAAGCCCGACGGCTTTATCTGACAGCTTCCCTAGGGGATGGGGAGCTAGGGAGCTCGTCACATAGGTCCTGGATAAAACCCCAAAGGGCTGAATTAAACCCCAGGTCACCTGCCCATGTGACCCTCCCTCTGAGCCCCTCCCTGAAAACATGATGTGGTTGGAGCGGATGTTAAGATATGATAACAAGCTTGCTATAGGAACAGATCTGTGCCAAGGTCTGGCCTCTATTTGCAGGTTCAAATTTGTATTCCCCTTGAACTCTTGCCCAGGGCCACTTTTGAAGGCCTGGCCCTTCAGAGGGTTCAGCTGCCAGTCTCCACATCCTCCTCTTGGGGATGGTGGATAGCATGGCACTGTGGTAGGGAGCATGGAGGAGTTTAAGTTCCTGGTATTTTCAGCCCCATGCTTGCTTAGGCAAAACCAGGCTCTGGAAACCAGAGTAAGCACTAAGAGAGGGACTTGGGTGCCAGCAGTTGGAAGTTGAGGGCAAGAGGATAGGGGCAGAGCATCGGCAGCTGCTGTCATGGGCTGTGGCTCTGAAGCTGGCTATGAATCACAGCCCTGCCACTCATTAGCTTGTTTCACTTGGCCAAGTTTCTTCACCTCCTGGGCCTCAGTTTCCTAAGTAAAATGGGTATAATAATACTACTACCTAACCCATATGGTTGTTACTCATATGATAACTGTTCCATAAACGGCACTATTGCTATCACCAGCGTTATCATCCTTCTTGATTTTGCTCAGTTTCTGCCATCTCCTGGAAGCTTCCCTGACCTCTCATCTTAAAATGACATTTCCAGTCTACGAATTTTTATAATGTTAACTGTTTTACCTCTCATTTAACACTTACCAAGAATGACCTTGGATTGTTCAGCCTTTGGCAAGCTGATACTTACTCATATTCATTCATTCATTGTTTCATTCAGTCAATATTTGAATGTTTACTATGTGTCAAGCGCTGGGAACACAGCAGGGCAGATAAAAATCCCTGCCCGTTTAGAGCTTACATTCTGGTGTGGGAAAGGAAACAATAAACAAACAAATGACACCCTGTCATTTGCAGCAACGTGGATGGAACTGGAGGTCATTATGTTAAGTGAAATAAGCCAGGTGCGGAAAGACGGAAAGACGAATATTGCTGTCCTCACTCATAGGTGAGAGCTAAAAAGAGTAGATCTCACAGAGGTAGTGAAGAGTAGAATGGCGGCTACCAGAGGCCAGGTGGGAGGAATAAAGAGAGGTTGATTAATGAATACAAAAATACAGTTGGGTAGAAATAATACGTTTTAGTATTTGATAGTACAGTAAGGAAATTGTAGTTAACAATAATCTATTGCATATTTTACAGTAACTAGAAGAACTGGAATGTTCCCAGTACAAATAAAAGATAAGTGTTTGAGGTGATGGATATCCCCATGACCCCGATTTGATTATTACACATTGTATACAGGTATCAAATTATCACAGGTACCCCCAAAATTTGTATAACTATTATATATCATTTAAAAATAAGAATACAATAACAAAATAGGTCAAAAACATAGTGTATGAGATGGGGGTTGAATGGCGTAGGGAAAACTAAAGCCAGGTGAGGGAGACAGGCATGTTGGTGATGGTGGGAGTTGCTGTGCTTTTTTTTTTTTTTTTTTTGAGACGGAGTCTCGCTCTGTCGCCCAGGCTGCAGTGTAGTGGTGCGATCTCGGCTCACTGCAAGCTCCACCTCCCGGGTTCACGCCATTCTCCTGCCTCAGCCTCCCGAGTAGCTGGGACTACAGGCACCCGCCACCACACCCAGCTAATTTTTTTGTATTTTTAGTGGAGACAGGATTTCACCATGTTGGCCAGGATGGTCTTGATCTCCTGACCTCGTGATCCACCCGTCTCGGCCTCCCAGAGTGCTGGGATTACAGGCGTGAGCCACTGCACCCGGCCTTGCTGTGCTATTTTATAGAGGGTGGCCAAGGACAGCCCCACTGTAGAGGTGGCTTTTGAGTAAGACTTGAGGGAGGTGAGGAAGTGAGCCCTGTGGCTATCTGGGGGAAAGTGGTTGAGGGAGAGGGAACAACAGGTGCCAAGGCCCCGAGGTGGCTGGTGTGGCCTGAGTGGAGTGAGAGAGGGGAGAGCAGCAGGTCATGGGGTCAGATAGGGAAAAGGGTCACGTTGAGCCTTGTATCCCTCCCCACCCTGCACAGCATGCTCTGCTCAGCAGTGAGGCCTCATGATGACCTAATGGAGACTGAAACTGGCCAAAACACTGCCAGAGAGGTGGCTTCAAGGACTGCTTGGGGTTTGACCCTGACCCCCTTTAAAAGAGACCTCCTGGGGAAACACAGTCTCCATCAGCAGCGTCATGGGTAGGAACTCCAGGGCCCCAAAGGCAGGGTACACACCAGGAAGCTTCACTGGCTGAACATTATTTTTGTGCCTACTGTGTGCAAGGTGCTGTGTTGAAAGCAGTGCTCCAGCTGGGAGCCAGGAGGCAGGTAGGGGCGTGAATTCCTGCAAAAGCAGCGACCACATCCTTTCATCTTTAACGCCCCCTCCTCATGCTAGCAGAGGGTCTGGATCATGGTGCGTCCTGGATCAGTGTGATAAATCCCTGGACAAAGGCTTCATTCTACTAAAGCCCCTTCCCCTCCGACCTCATACTCCTATTTTTACTGAAGCTTCTAACTTACAGTTGCTGAAGTTAGTTGTTAGAAACTCAAAACACATGTTCCTATCAGTATTGTATCGTAAATGGTGTTAAGATTCTCAAGTCAGCCCACCAAAACTTTTCTCATCCTCAGAGTAGATTTGTATCCCTGACAACCAGATATCTCTAGTTCACCTACAGCATAGGCTAACCTGGGAGCCTAAATGCTGTGTGTAACATCCAGGGAAACTGTCTTCCATTGTTCACAGTGAGAAGGAAACCCTAAGGCTACATAACAATAACAACCGTAACAACAGCAGCATGAACGATGTGCCCGCCACTAAGCACATCACTCATTTAATCCTTGCAACAGACTATGAGAAAAGCACTATTATGGTCCTTCCATTACTCAGAGAGAACAGAGGCAGAGAGAGATGCATGAGATGCATTTACCAATGGTCACAAGCTAGGAAGGGGCAGAGCCGGGTTCAGAGCCAGGCAGCGGGACTCCAGAGTCCTTCGCGAAACCTCTTGTTTCCTGGCCTTCCGGGAATCCCGCCAGCCAGCCTTGCTGCAGCCCAGGGTGGCTGTCTGTAGACCTTACGTTCAGGACACTTGTCATTAGGTGTTAACAAGTGTCAGGGTGAGGGAACAAAAGCCACGGGTGGCCAGTATGAGCAGTTTCTCTTTCTTCTCCCAGACAGGAAAAACCATTTGTTTCTGGAACCTGACACTGCAGGGGGTGGGCTTGGTGTATGTGGCCGCCTTCCTGGGCCATTTACAAGTGCAGCACATGGGTCTGGGGAGGGGGCTGGGCCGGGGTGGCGATGTGTTTATTGGTGGAAGCTAGATTAGGGTGTCTGGCAAGATGTTTTTGACACCTAGACCATTCCACTCAGTGAAACCCAACAGGTGGCCAGGCTGTTGCTTTAGCTGGAAGCGGGGCAACCTCCCCGCCCTGCCCTGTTCAGTTTATTGTTGGAATGAGATGGGTCCTAACCAGTCCTTCCTCTCTTCCCTGGCCCCAAAATAAACAGCAGCTGTTGTTGGCGCCATCATTTCTGCCTCTGCCAGTCTGTCAGCAGCGCTGGGCTCTTGCCTGGCCTTGCCCTTTTTGATTTGATGGCACTGGGCGTTGGGAGCCCTTTACCTTTGCCCTACGGAGCCTGCCCTGCTGACCAGCTGGTGTGCCCTAACATGCCCTCTCCCAGGCCTGGTGGCTGCCCACTGGCACTGTCCTCTCCGGCCCTGTAGTGAGGCATGTGTGCATGGCGGTTGCAAACTCGGACTCCAGAATCTGACATCCATTTGCCCCCTGGTTCGGCTGCTTAGTTGGTGACTTTGGGGAGGTAGTTTAATGCTGAGCCTCAATTTCCTTCTCTGTAAGGGCAGCTGTTAGTATCTGTATCATGGGATGTTGTGGAGATTATGTTGAGGCAGCCAGTGGGAGGCCGACTGCCTGACGGGAATCCCAGCCTTGCCACTCAGGGGCTGCGTGGCCTCTGGGGAGGGGCTGCGTGGCCTTGGGGGTGGGGCTGTGTGGGCTTGGGGGAGGGGCTGTGTGGCCTTGGGGGAGGGGCTGCAGCTTTCTGCACCTCGGTTTTCTCATCTGTAAAACGTTGATAATAAAAGCATCTCTCAGGCTGGTGATGAGGATGGCACGGGTTAATTAACGTAAAACAGAAAACACTCAAAACACTGCCAGGCACAGAGCAAGAGCTCAGTGACTGGAATAGCATATGCTCTCCGTCAGAGAAGGCGGAGCATCCCCTGAAAGAATCCTTCGCATGTGCATGTTCAGAGCTGACACAATTGCTGTTCTCCTGACCTGACTTTTGGGTCTGTACTACCGAGCTAATTTGCTTGGCCTCGTGTCGAACCTGTGATTAGAACTTCCACTTCAGGGTGTAGGGGTGTTGGTGGAACTAGTGATGAAGGAGGCTGGAGGCATGAAAAAAGAGAGTTGGGATTTCTATTCTACTTGCTAGTGGTTCTGCTGATGTAATGTAAGAAATGGAAAGAAGATTATGTCCACAGCCAAGGGCCGCCTTCAGAGCTGGTGAGCAGATCCCACGCGGGGTTGACCATTTATCTGTGCTGATGTGCACGCCCCAAGACGTTCTTCTAGGTCTGTATGTATGTTGATGTTCTGGACACCCTCCCTGTGGGCTGGCAGCTGGGGCCAGCTCATTTTGGCCTCTTCCTGGCTCTGTGCTCTGGGAAACTCTTGCTGTCTTTGGCTTTTCCTTGCTTTTTCTCTCCATTTTGGAAAGATTGTACTGGGAACCCCCATTAGAACATCCAAATGGAAAAATCTTTATTCTCAAAAAGAAAAAAAAGTCATTGGCCCTGATTGTGTTGGGCCACAGTGCCAGATGCCGCCGTGGGCACACCGATGCCTGGTAAAGATCCCCCACTTAGGACCGAGCTGTTACACGGTCTCCCCAGGAGCCTGGTCCTGTAGGAGAGGTGGCTGCCTGTGCTGTTTTGCCTCCCTGGCCTTTGGCAGTCCTTGTCCAAGGAGAGAGGGCAATGGTAGCTCCATTCCCAACATTTGGGGTGCTGCCTTCTGACACATTAGTGAAGAGAATGGTCTGAACCTTAGAGAGGAAAGCAGCAAAGTAGTTCAGAGAGGGGGTTCTGAAACCAGACTGCCTGAGTTCAAATTTCAGCTGTGCCATTTATTGCTGTGTGGCCTTGGGTGAGTCACTTACCCCCTCAGTGCTTGGATTTCCTCTTCCGTTAATATGAGGATAATAGTACCTTCCCCATAGGGTCGTTAGGAGGATTAAATGCCGATGATGGCAAAAGCCCTGCTAAGGTGCCTGGTGCAGAGTTAGTGCTCCATGTTGCTGCCATGATTTGCACCCACACCGCAGGTGAGTCTGCTTCCCATCAGCCCAGAGCCCCTGGGGCCTGACAGGTATATATTTAGAGCCCTTGAGAGGGCCACATGGTGTTTGTGACAGAGGTGTCTTGGATGGAACCTGTGGCATGTTCTAGAGGAAGGGCGAGTGTAAAGATTCAGGCCAGCAGGGGATTTCCTAGCTGAGTTCTGTGAGGAGTCCTTCACCCTGGGGGCTCAGTTTCCGCAGCTAACCATGCCCATGCCTCCCTTGTTGGTTGGCTGCAGAATCAGAGACACCATGAGGCATCCGGTAGTCACTTTCCTTCACGGTGGCTGTTCAAACAGCTGTGAGGCTTGGCGAGGGCCCCAAGAGGCGGCTCAGTGGGCTCTGGCCTTTCCCACTCTTTCCTGCACTCTCCTCTCGAGAGCAGCCCTGAGTTGTGCAGGGCTGTGGGTGCAGCAGGTGACGGTGTCTTCTGCAGGTACTGTGTGTGTCCTAGTTTGCAGAGCTCCTCACATCCACAACTTCTCTGAGGGGTGCTGCTGGGAAGTGCTACAGTTCTCCTGCCTATTTCACAGACAAGGAAAGGCTCAGAGAGGGTCCGTGACTCCTGGAAATATGGTGGGCACTGTTGATGCCTGCCCCACGTCCCCTGGGCTCACCTGAGTTCACCTGCAGTGCCCCAGCTGTGGCATCCAGCACACTGACAGCTCCCCACCTCACCTGTCTGTGTGAGCACTCCCTCCTGGGCCATGGCCCCAGGGAAGCTTGCTCTGCCCAAGTGGGTGCACCTGAGAAAGACTTGGGGAAGGTAGGGGGCTAATTGTCATCCCTGGAACCCACCCTCAAGTGGTGGGGAATGGGAGTTATCAGCCTGGATCCAAGGCCTTGTCTTAGGGTCGGCTTCAGGAAGAACCCAACTAGGATAGCAAACTTCTCCTGCTAGCAAGTGGTAGAGCTAGGACTGAAAACCTCTGTCTGGGACTCCCAGGTCCCCACACCAGGCTGCCTGTCCGGTGGTGCCTGTCTGGAGGTTTATGGGTTTCTCGTTAGAGAGGAGTCAGATAAGAAACTTGTTTGATGAGGTCTTCTTGATAATAAGAGGGCAATTTCCTGAGTAGGTAAAAGAATAGAGGGCTGAAGAATACTTGATAAGTACAACAGCTTCTAGGGGCCCACCAGGGAGGAGCTCAGTCAGTGCAAACACGATAGGCGGGCCTTGGAAACAAGGGAACCCGGCCTTATGTAGACTTGCCTCAGGAAACAAACGAGAGACTTAGGGATAATAGAAATCTAATATCTTCATCCGTCACTCATCAGGCTGGGAGGAGCAGCATCAGTAAGTGTCTAAGGAAACGGAGAGGGGCTGCCGGCTCCTGTGCCCAGGTGCAAGGTGACATATATGAGCAAGACGCTCTGCTTGTTTGTAGTAAAATTCCCTCTGTAAAATCGGGCTAGTTGGCAGAGCATTGGACATTATGAACATGAAAGCTTCTTGTGATGGTGTTTCAAATTGTGGAGACACTAGTGTGTTTTTAGAGATGGTGAGAACATCTTTAAGAAAACAAAGGGAGAAAAGAAGGGGTGTGTGTGTGTGTGTGTGTGTGTACATGTCTGTGAGTGTGGAGTGTGTGTGCACTCGTGTGTTGGGGAATGTTGCATGTGTATGGACATGTCTGTGTGGGGGTTTGAGTGTGGACTGTGTGTGTTGGATGTGTTGTGTGTGTATGGATGTGTCTGTATATGAGTTTGAAGGTGGAATGTGTGTATTGGGGGATGTGCTGTGTGTGTATGGATGTGTCTGTGTGTGAGTTTGTGGAGTGTGTGTGTTAGGGGATGTGTTATGTGTGTATGGATGTGTCTGTGTGTGGGTTTGAGTGTGGAATGTGTGTGTTGGGGATGTATTGTGTGTGTATGGACATGTCTGTGTGTAGCTGTGAGTGCAGTGTGTGTGTGCATGTGTGTGCTGGAGGATGTGTGTGTGTGTAATAAAAGCTGTTGGCATATTCCTGGGGCAATCTTTTATCCTTGAGAGCCCCCTATGATCAGGCTAGGGGGTCCAAGAATACTTAGATTTTAGTATAAAAGGGTCTCATAGATCTTTGCATATACTTACAATAACCACCTTTGATCTTTTCCTCCATTGCCTCTTTGGTGCCAGGCAGGTGCCCATAGACCTCATTTCATGCTCTCAAAAGAGACTGTGTTTCTCCCCTTTATAGATAAGGGGCCTGAGAATCAGAAAGGCTGAGTCACTCACTCAAGGTAACACAACTAGGAAGACGCGGTACTGGGATTTGACCAGCCTTTAGTCCATCCTTTGCTGGTTCCTCGTCCAGTGAAGGGGGAGCTTGGTGAGATTCAGCCAAGCCTTTGCTCATGCTGAAAGGGGCCTCCCTCTCCACTTGGGGCACTTGCTCTAGAAACGTGATTTCTGGCTTCAGTGAAGGCCAAGGAGGAAGTATAGGGAGCAGAAGGCTCTGAGGCCTGGCTGCATGAACTATAGAGTGGTGCAGGTGTGCTGTGAGGACCTGCTTCAGGGAAAAGTTGTTGTGACCCAGAGGAGGGTAGAGCTGCACGGGAGACTGGAAAATCAGCGAAGACTTGGTGAGGGGTTGGGGGGGCGGCCAAAAGACCAGGACGTCCTTGAGTTCACCCCCCTGGGCCTCCAGGAGAAGAGACTGTAGAAAATTCTAGCTGGGTAAAGAACTTTATGTCTAGTTTTCATACCCTGTGAGCATCTGTCAACCTGTTTGTTTACATGGTCTGATTTCTCCACCGTGTGGAGATTCCATATCCAGGTGTGTGAGGATGGGGCAATGCAGATCCATCGTTGTCTGCTAAGCGATTTCACTTCGAATAAGGGAATGGCAGAGAAACAGACCTTCCCAGTCTGGATTCCTGGAAGGGATCGCGGGTGGACATTTCGTCATTGTGAGTTCTTGGCAGACAGAGGCAATGGGGCCACCCGAGTTGCCTGGCTGCTCCCACCCCTGCGAGCTCACGTCAGAGCAGTGGGAAATCCCACGGAAGCTGCAATCCCAGATGCAAGTCTGCATGGGGCATTTGGGATTTACTCCCAGCCTGGGCCTTTCGTACCCTTTGGTTTCCAGAGCTGCTGGGAGAGGGCTTCCTGGTACCTAGCCAGCTTGTGACTCCAAACAACTGCTTGAAAGCAGACAGCTTCTGCCAGTGTCCCCAAGAACCTTAAAGGGCCACCTCTGCCCCACCTGTGTGCTCCAACATCAGCCAAGTCTGGGAGGCAGGCAGACTCATTCAAGGCAGCCTGAGCAGCACAAATGTTGAAAAATTATCCTGCAATAAATTCCCAGGCCCAGAACTATTAAGATAAGTGTGAACCTACTACAGCATTAACTTGCATGTTGGTTCAGCTGTCTACTGACTTAGATTAGGTTGTAGCGGCCCACATAGTGGTTACAGGCCGCAGGGCTGCTTGAGAGAGTTGGAGTTCACCACCGGCCATGTGACTTTGGGCAAATTACTTAATCTGCCTGGGCCTCAGTTTCTTCATCTTTAAAATGAGGATGATAAAGTAGCACCAACTCCTAGAGTTGGTGGCTGGCATAAAAGCAACGTTAATGGTAAAAATACCAGAGACAGCAGGTGCTTGGCATCCCCACTGTGCTCCCTGAGTGGTGGCCCATGCCGAAGCAGTTGGCTCCCTCCCTTTTTGGAACAGCTTTATTGAGATATAATTCCCATACCATAGGACCAATTCACTTAAAGAGTATGATTCCAGAGTTTTTAGTATATTCAGAGTTGCACAGCCACCACAGTCAATTTCAGAACATTTTCATGTCCACCAAAGAAACCCTGTACCCTTTAGCCATCACCTGTGACCACCACCCTAGGCAGCTATGAACCTGCTTTCTGTCCCTGTGGACTGGCTTGTTCTGGACATTTCATATAATGGAGTCATACACTACCTGGTCTCTTGTGACTGGCTTCTTTCACCAGCATAACATTTTCATCTACCATCAGCCCCTTCATTGGCTCGTAGGGTGAGCTGGATTCCTTCCATGTGGTGGCCGAGGGGTCCTGGACACAGCCACTCCCCATGGCCCTTGCAGGGCTGGCCTCTGCTCCTGAGTTCAGGTTCCATGAGAGCATTTCCTCTTGCCACCTTGCAGAGTGTGTGGATTTTCTCCCCTGCCCCAGCACCTTAAAGCTGGCCAGAGCTGGGTCTTTCAGGAAGTGTTGAACTCTCCTGCAGTTTATTCCCATTGCTTCCTCTGGCCTGGTTAGAGACGTGGGGGAGGGGTGGAAACTGGGCAGAGCCTTTACTGATCTGTTCCCCAGGGACTCTCTTTCCGGGAGGGGGAGGGGAGAGACAGACAAAAAAGCATCTTTATTTGTTTTTAATGTTGACTAACTCCCCAGCCCTCTTACCAAGTTCTGGTGAAAGTTGCTGGGTTCCTGGTCACGCTGTCCTCCCTCAAAACACAGGGTCATAGGACTTCTCTCTTGGGGGCAGCTAATAGGGAAGTGGCCAAGTGTTCCACACACAAGAGTCAGGCTGCATTTCTTTTCCTCTAGCAAAGGAGATCCAGTGCAAAACCAGTGAATCGTTAGGAGGCGTTCAGTTGCAAGCAACAAAATCCCAGCTGAAACAATCTCAAGCCATGTGGAAATTTATCATCTCACTTTCAAGAAAGTTCGGGTAGATAATAAGGAATTATAACTTTTAAAAAAAGATTCCTCTGTTAATGAACATTTAGACTGTCTCTAACTTTTTCGCCACTTCAAACAATGCTGCTCTAAACATCCATATATAAATATAAATATATAGATATAAATATATATATATATGTCTTTGGGAACTTGAGCTACTATTTTTGTAGGATAAATTATTGAAGTGACATTAATAAATAAGACAGGTTAGGATTTATGTCAGATGGGTCAGTTCACATTTAATCTGTTGTCCTATACCATCTGTATCTAAATCCATCAAATGAGAAGTGATGTTTACAGTGAAGACCATTGTGGATCCCTCATACCTATGGAATCACTTCATGGACATTGTATTATTTTGCATTTTTTCCCACTTATGGCTGGGCAGCAGGCTAAAATAATGCTTAGATGGAAAAGACGTAACATAAAGGGCTTCCTGGTTAACCACCAGATATTTAGAATATTCTATACCCTTGAGTGCCATAGTTAGCAATTTTGTTCAAGAGAGTTTGTGATTCTCTGTTAGAAAGTACAGGATGAAAAGCCTAATAATGCTAAGTGTTGGTGAGAATATGGGGAAGTGGGAACACTTACGTAGAATTTTAAGTGGTGTAACCACTTTGGAAAACAATGTGGCAATATCTAGTAATTTGAAGGTGTGCTTATCATGTGACCTGGTGGTTCTACTTCTATTTTTTTTTCTTTTTATTATACTTGAAGTTCTAGGGTACATGTGCACAATGTGCAGGTTTGTTACACATGTATACATGTACCATGTTGGTGTGCTGCACCCATTAACTCGTCATTTACATTAGGTATATCTCCTAATGCTTTCCCTCCCCCACCCTGCCCCAGTGTGTGTGTGATGTTCCCCTTCCTGTGTCCAAGTGTTCTCATTGTTCAATTCCCACCTATGAGTAAGAACATGCGATGTTTGGTTTTTTGTCCTTGCGATAGTTTGCTGAGAATGATGGTTTCTAGCTTCATCCATGTCCCTACAAAGGACATGAACTCATCCTTTTTTATGGCTGCATAGTATTCCATGGTGTATACGTGCCACATCTTCTTAATCCAGTCTATCATTGATGGACATTTGGGTTGGTTCCAAGTCTTTGCTATTGTGAATAGTGTGTAGTATTTTAGATATTATTTAGAGAGTAGATAGAAATTTATTATTTCCTCCAGATCAGCTGGTTGAACCTTGTTTTCTTTTCTTTTTTTTTTTTTTCTTTTTAGGTTCTACTTCTAAGTGTATACCTTAGATTCTAGGGTGTAGAGACTATCTCCCAAGTGCACATGAGAAGACACGTGCAATGATTTTTATTGCTATGTATTTGTAAGACAGACAAATTGGTTTATCAGTCAGAATGGGATAGGTTAAGTTACAGGAACAAACAGCCCCCAAATTCTATTTCTTGCTCATACTGCCTGTCCATTGGAGTCATTAGGGGCTGCTGCTCGTTGTAGGCACTTGAAAACTGAGACTTGCAAAGGCCTAGAGTGCTTCCATGGTCCCTGGGGCATGGGGAGAGAGTGTAGCAGTGTCCGGCAGTGGCAATTAAATGCTTCTGTCCATGAAATATAATTCTGCCATAAAAATGGAATGAAGTGCTGATTCATCCTGCAACCTGGATGAACTTTGAAAACATTATGCTAAGTGAAAGAAGTCAGACACAAAAGGCCACAGGTTGTATGATTATATTCATATGAAATGCCCAGAACAGTTAAATGCATAGAAACAGAAAGTTGGTTAGTTGTTTCCGGGAGCTGGAAGTATTGAGGAATGGAGAATAACTACTAACTGCCATGAGGTTTCTTTTTGGGGTGTTGAAAATGTTCTGGAATTAGATAGTGGTGATGTATTAGTTGCATAATTCTGTGAATATACTAAAAAAACACTGAATTGCACACTTTAATTAGTTAATTAATTAAATTTATTTTTGTAGAGACTGAGTCTTATGATGTTGCCCAGGCTGGTCTTGAATTCCTGGGCTCAAGCAATCCTCCCACACTGGCCTTCCAAAATGCTGGGATTATTGAGCCACCCTGCCCAGCCAAATTGTACACGTTAAAATGGTGACCTTAATAGTATATGAGTTATGCCTCAATTTAAAAAAAATGCTTCTGTCCAAAAATAACACATCCCTTGGCCAAAGAGGTCACCTGGCCACACATACCTTCAGGTTGTTGAGGAAGCACAATTCTACCATGTGCCTGGGAAGGAAAAGAATTGGTATATTCAGTGAACAGCCCTAATGGCTACCACTTGGAACAGTACAAATGCCAATGGTTGGATAAATAAGGTATAGGATATTCACTGATGGAATTCTGTACAGTTAATATGAATAAGATCTGTAAGTGTCAACATGAAAAGATCTCCAAAACAGTATTGAATGAAAAAACAAGAAGTAGAATATTATCTCTGATACCATTTATGTAAATATTATTTATGGAAATATCGATCCATTTATGTAAATTAAAAATTATTCACAAAACAATAGTGTGTAATGTATGGTTACATATGTTTGTAGTAAAAGCATGCAAACACAGACTGGAAGGATGCTTCGCACCTGTCTTGTATTATGACTGTTCCCACCTAAAAATGTAGATCATGTGTTGGTTCTTCTGACCAACTGGGGAAATTCATCCTATTTTTCAATTTATTGCGTATTCTCACCATTGCAAACCCTCATCCTGACTTATTTTTATTTTTTCTTTTAGCCCTAATCCTCAATCCTATCCCTTTTCCTCTTAGCCATCCTCTCTAATTTGTTTAACCTAAGCCTGTGTGTCCTCAGAAAATAGGTTATGCTGTTGGTGTGTGTGGTTGGTAATCTATATACATGGTGTTATGCTATTGATTTTGTTTGGTAATCTCCCTTTTTACTCAATACTATATTTATAAGATCCATTTAAGTGGTTGTATGCCTCTACTTTATTGCTTCTGACTGCTGCATGGTATTCCATACTCATGTCCACCACACTTACTCATTCTCCCTCTTGATGGACGCTGAAGTTGCTTGCCTCCAACACCCTCTACTGCAAACATTGCAGCAGCAGACATCCTTATATATTGCAGCCCTAAAACCTCCACAAAGATTTCTCCAGGAGTGGGATTGCTACTGAAAAGCCATATGACAGTATTTACTTAAATGCAGTCTGTGTGCATGAGGGTTCCCAGCTCTCCTACATCCTCATCAACACTTGGTAATACCCGGAAGACCTTCCAGCCTATTGGCACTTCTCCCTAAGGACCGATTCAGCCTACATTGGAAGACATAGTGAGTTTTAATCTCTTCCTATCATTCCTTCCTGGCCTGTCTCCCTTGTCTGGAATGAAAGTTCTTTTTATAATTTCCTACCCAGTTCTCACTGATAGGACCAGAAACCCGAAACCTTCCTCCATTATCTTAAGAACTCAGCCAGTTTTTCAAAACTAAGCCTCCTTTGTTTTTTTACTTAATCCGAAATAAACCTCTCTTATCTTGTTTTCCCCTCTTTGCTCAGGGCCTGGAAGCCTCACTGGCCATTCTTGTGGATTGCTCCAGAAATGGCCCCTGAGAGGTATTGCTTCACCTGAGTCTACCTGGGGTGGGGGTGGAGCTGCAGACCTTCCCCAGATGTCACCCATTCACAGAAGCCAGTTTTGGGATTTAGCTCTGTTTAAATTGGGACCTGTAGCTTTGCTTGCAAGTGGAAATAAGTTGGTCTTATTTGCTGGGGATAATTATATGTAAAAGAATCCTACCTAATGCAACCCGACTTTTGGCCTGAGCCATTCAATGGATAATTAGTCCTAACTGTATTGCTGGAGTGGACCATTACTGAAGTCTTACCTTTTTTGTCCTTGCTTTTACCTTGCCTTGTTCCAGCAAGGCTTAAGCATAGCTTTAGGTCCTATGTTATGCGCATGTTATGTGATTGTCTGATTGATTACATTATAAACTCTGCACAGGCGGCATCACGGTCTTTCTGCCCTTTCCTGCCTCCCTCCGTCCTTGCACTGCCTTGCTTCATGGAGCTTTGCACTTAGCAGGTGCTCAGTAAATACTTGCTGGGTGGTTGACACAGGATTACATGTTAATCCATCATCTTCAAAGGCTAGAACCAGACCTATTTAAAAAAACAAACAAAATCCTTCCTTTTAAAAGTGGCATTACCTTCTTACCCTCACAAATGTTCATTTTAGTCGCCTTTATTGCTTTCTGGGGTAGGGGGTCTTAAGGGAGTAACTCAGAGAGCCTCTTTAACTTAAAAGAGGCATAATAAATTACAGTCTTTAAGAGAAGATCGGATGCCTGCGTGCCTCCCAGAAGTGGGTTAGGAGCACAGAATTCTAGATGGCTCCTTTGTTTGCACCCCACCCTGTCTGCAGGGCTGGCCTCCCACAGCAGTGTGTGGTATCCTACAGATCACTATTAAATAAACAGTCCCTTGAAATCACAACATTAAAAAGTGCTGTCTATGTATTGTACCAGGAGAGCCAAATATTATGGAAAAGGCCAAATATTTCCACTGTGTTAAGAAAATAAGAACCCAGCAGCATGGAACTTCCCACTCAGTAGGCAAAAGATGTGGTGGAGACTTCAAAAGGGTGGAAGAACCATCAAGACAGCTTGAGCTGCAACGGGTGACTGCCCCATTAAAAAAAGCAAGTGTGTGTGTATTCCAGATGCAGCTGCAGAAATCGCAACACCACCTTTCAACTGGGAAATAAATGAATGCACCAACGTATGTATCGTGGCTCACCCAAGCAATCGTCCAACTGTGACTAGGGCTGGGGGAGAGGTTAGGAGGAGAGAGGACGAAGTACAGAACACAAACAGTCTTTGTTCTCCAAAGACCCAAAAGGCAGATTCACAGGAAGAGATTCCTCATCCTGGTCTGAAATGAAGATAGACACTTGGCCATAGGGCTGATGGCTCTAGCAGAGGCCCTGCCCTTGGGATCTCGGCAGCATCTCAGCCAGGAGGGCTCCCTGACTCTGGAAGTGGAATATTGAGTGATAAGAAGTTTGGCTTCTCCCACCCACTTTCCACCACCAGGTAGAGCTTGTGAAGCCTGAAAAGTCTGTAGGGCCAAGCAGCCTGACTTTCATGGAAGGAGACCCAGGAGTCAACTTGTTTTAATTAAAAAGTTAGGTTGGGTTATCTCAGGGCCACCCCCAGGGAGGGTGATGCTTCCAAGCTGACCAAATTCTGAGCTGCTGAGCTGCTTACTTTAATGAGCTTGGGGAAGCTCATTTGAGGAGTGGTGGTAAAATCGCTCACTGGACTTGCAACATGAGAATGTTGTTCATGAATCATCAGGAAGAACTCCCAGGTGTGGAGAATGGACTCTTGTTCCTTCAGCTGATTTGGGACCTGGCACTCACACTCGCTTACTAACTTTCTCTCCCTAGCGTAAGCATTCGCTTCCTGCCTAGAGTCTGGCTACCTACCCATCATCCCCATTACCCAAAATACAAAAACAGAGAACTGTAGCATCTTATTACGTAGACTTTCCTCTCTCCCAAAAGATGTGCCAGTGCCCCTGCCTGCCGTGCCAGGCCCTGCAGGGATGATGATCATGGTCTCCAGCATTTACCGAGCTGTAATTCTGCACAGGGAACCAGGCCAGGCTCTGTGCACCTTCCTAGAGCCTCACAGCAGTCCTCTGCGGGGCACGACTGTTCTCATCCACTCTTGTCATCCCCGTTTTACAGCTGAGGAACCAGTGGCTCTGGCAGGTGTTGGGACGTCTGCCCATGGTCACGTAGACTGTGTGGCAGAGCCGGAATTCAAATCTAGGCCCCATGACTTCAGTACTGCTCTATCTGAGGACTATGCAGAGATGGCATAGCCCCTCCTTCAAAAGCTCATAGTCTAGTTGTAGAGAGCAGAGCTCCTTGCATGGACAAATAATCCACCAGGCCCAGCAGAACTGGGTACCACAAACCGCATGGGATGTCTAGGAAGGGGCTGGAAGGAAGTCACGGTGCACTGAGAATGTGGTGTGCCAGGCGGTGTGCTATGTACCTATGTGTCCATGACCTCTTTAATTCTCAAAGCACTCCTGTGAGGTTCACTTTACAAATACAGGACTGAGGCTCAGAGAGTCATGTAGCTTGCCCAACACCACACAGCTCATGGGTGGTGGAGCTGGGCCTGAACCCACATGTCTTTCTAACTCCAAACCACATTCTCTTTGCATGATACCATGATAGACACTCCATTTCCGTAGTGTTACCGGGAGTGAAGGCCTTGAAGGATGGGTGAGAGGTGAGAAGGGAGAAAGGAGGGAGTGGGCATTCCAGGCTGAGGGAAAGGAAGAGGAGTGGGCCTGAGGAGCAGCAGGAATTCCACCAGCCCCGCCCAGAAGTGGCCCAGTTTTTATCACCATCCCAAATACATCGCCTTGGTGTACATGAACTTGCTGAGGGCCTAGTTTCCATGGCTCCGAAGAGGTGACATCTCCCTCCCACCCCTCATCCACCCTGAGCTCCCTGGCTGATTTATTCAATGTGGTCATCTGCAATGGTTGTGGACCTGTCAGGATGACAGATTCGCCTGGGGACATCCTCCTGTGGAAGGAACTGGATTCATCCCTTGATCACTTCCATGCCCTGTGGGTCTCTCCCTACCTCTTGCTCATTCTACGAGTTATCCCTCCATTAGCCGGGCCGAAGCATCCTCCAGGCAGGGTTTCCTAATTACCTAATGGTGACCATGCTACCCTTTGCCAACCTTATGAAAAGCATGGCCATGTCCGTTATCTCATCTGATCTTTTGCTCTTCCAACCAGCATTTATTAAGTGCCTACTGTGTGCCACACACCATATCAGGTGCTGAAGATTCACGGGTGAACCAAAACAATTTCATGCCTGGAGAGAAGGGATGTTACAGAGTAGCTGAGATGACTGACATTAACCAGAATTACAAAGTGCCCGGCTCTAAAATGTGCTCCGGGACCTGGAAGGAATTACACTCACTAGGGGGAAAATTCTAGCATGGACAGCCAGTTCCATCAGAATCCTGGGATCCTCTGTCTCCTAGGATCTGCATGTTTCTCAGTAGATCTGAAGCTGTTTGATCACCTGCAGGAGCTGGGGAGTCTGCTGGAGGCCTGGGATGGAGTTCTGGGCTTAGTCTGGAGAGAATATGTAAACAGGTGCAGCCTCCTTAAGGAAACCTGAGAGGCAGCACCACACAGTGGAAAGAACAGTTTTGGAGTCCAACAGACCTGGACATGCATCTGGGTTTATATCTGTGTGACCTTAGGCAAGTCACCGAACCTCTCTGAGCCCAAGTATCCTCACTTGGAGAATAGGGATGATGATAGCATGGATGTGCCTGAAATGCCCAGCCAGGAGCCCAACACATGGTGACCTGAGCAAACATGGGCATCTTTATTAGCTAGAGGTCATGAAACTCTGGATGTGCAAAGCAGGCCAATTTGTGATTTGTTTAATTTACAAGATTTCTCATTTTATGAGAAAACTTGCTGACAATACTTTCATATTGGGAGCTCCTCTTAGGTTTGAAAAATAAAATAATTGGCCGTGCACGGTGGCTCACGCCTGTAATCCCAGCACTTTGGGAGGCCGAGGTGGGCCGATCACGAGGTCAGGAGATTGAGACCATCCTGGCTAACATGGTGAAACCCTATCTCTACTAAAAATACAAAAAATTAGCCGGGCGTGGTGGCGGGAGCCTGTAGTCCCAGCTACTCAGGAGGCTGAGGCAGGAGAATGGCGAGAACCCGGGAGGTGGAGCTTGCGGTGAGCTGAGATTGCGCCACTGCACCCCAGCCTGGGTGACAGAGCGAGACTCCGTCTCAAAAAAAAAAAAAAAAAAATTTGTTACGGATGCTGTGTTTTACCCAGGAGCACCCTGTTCTCAGCTTCATACAGAACTAAGCCAAGTGTGTCAGTGCTGTCCGGAAGGAGAGTCTCTAGGGGCATGCCACAGGACTCTATGCTCTGTCTCTGACCTGGAATGTTGGTCAGTGACTTGGATGATATTTTGATGGCATCCTGTTCACATTTACAGGTGACCAGGGAGGAAGGAGAGAGAGTGCTTAGAACTGAACAGATGTAAATGTAATGAGTTTCGAATGAACAATTCAAAGAGGAAATTAAGAAAACAATTCCATTTTTATTAGCATCAAAAAGAATAAAACACCCACCTCTTGCAAAATTGAAACTGTATCAATTAAATAATAACTCCCCTTTCCCTCCTCCCTGCAACGCCTGTTAACAGCCATTATACCTTGAGTAAATTCTCAACAAATGATACTGTCCTAGGAAAAGAAAATGTAATGGGCGCTGATGAAATCAGCGGCCCAAGTGTAGGCAGCAGGAGGTTTGGTTTTCATGGAAGCAGGTGTGTGAGGTGTCAGGGTTGGGGTTGTTTGGGAGCCAGCAGAAGCCAGCAGTATAAATGCCTCTCCAAATCCTAGGGATGCATTCACAGAATTCACATTTCTTGGAATGCATTTGTAGAGGTTTAGGATTTAGAAAGTTTAGAGAGAGGCTGGGCACAATGGCTCAGCACTTTGGGAGGCCTAAGCCGGTGGATTACTTGAGCCCAGGAGTTCAAGACCAGCCAGGATAACTTGGCGAAACCCTATCTCTACAAAAATACAAAAATTAGCCAAGCTTGGTGGTGCACTTCTGTAACTCCAGCTACTCAGGGGGCTGAGGCACGAGAATTGCTTGAATCCGGGAGGTGGAGGTTGCAGTGAGCAGAAATCGTGCCACTGCACTCCAGCCAGGGTGATGGAGTGAGACTGTATCTCAAAAAATAGAGAGATGACATGGCAAGAGTTGCTTCCATTCTGCCCTCTCTGCCTGTCTACACCTGGTCTACACAGGTGAAGGTTGGATTCAGGTCCTGGTGTACATTTTATGAGAGCAGGGTAGGAGGGCAGCCTGGATGGTGGAGACACAGGACTGGTCACCAGAAGCCACAGGAAGTAGGGCTGGTTATCCTCAAGCCGAGGGGATGCCGGGAGAGGGGCTATGTGAAATGTCCTCTTTCAGGAGAGGATTTTGATATGTTCTCTGTGGCCCCAGAGGCAGAACTAGTGGGTATGGGCGGGCATTAGCAGGAAGTAGATTCAGATCAGGATAAGGAAAATGTTCTCAGAGGCTCGGTGGATGCTGTGTGGCTTCCCCTCCGGGTTGACCCAGCCTCTGTGCTGGAAGCTGGACTTGCCTGGGCAAGGGCTGAGTTCGGGACTGCTTCAGCATTCCTCCAAATAAACCTCCCCTGGCCACAGAAAAGCCCAGAGAACAGAGAATATTAGAAGCTAAGGGAGAGCTTGCAGTTATTTCCCAACTCTGCCCTTCCTCATGCCTTCCCATTTTAAAGACGAGGAAATCAAAGCTCCAAGCCACCGAAAGAAACAAACTCCATGCCTGCCCACCCTCCCCTTGGGGCCACCTGGAGGTTTCTGCAGAAGGAGGGTGCTTGGTCTGAGCCAGTCAGTGGATGAGGGGTTTCCCAGGGGAGTGCCAGGTCAGGCACATTCCTCAGAGCTTCAAAATAGCCCCGCAAGCCAATACATTTCCTCCCAGGGGTTGGGGAGTGGCCGTCAGCTGGCAAGGGACAATATGAGGGACACATCTCAGGGGACACTCTCGAGTGAGGCATTAGGGTGTGGGTGCTGAGATGTCTCTTTTCATTGTTCTGCAGGAGTGAGTGCGGCCTTGACACGCTGACTGGCCTGGCATGGCTGTCCCAGCTGAAGCCTGTCCCCTGCCCGCTGCCCTTCTTTCCCTCATCTCAGCCATGTCTGCAGGCACCTCCCTGCCTCCCACTCCCTAGGCTCACCAAGCTCCCTCAGCTTTCCAAAGTCTGTGAGTTGTAGTGTGAGGCCACGCCATGAGGCAGGGACAAAACACAGGGTTTGGAATCAGTCCCACCGGGACTGGAATCCAAGCTCTACTGTTAATACATCCCAGCTGTGTGACCTTGGGCAAGTCACTGATCCTTTTGGACCCTCAGCATCTTCTTCTGTTAGATGGGCTTGTACCCATCCCAAGGATTTGTATATGGGTTACATGGGCTTAATGATGTATGGCTGTCTCCAGTGCAGAGCCTAGCACATGGAACTTGCTAGGGTGGCCTCCCTCTGTGCCTCAGTTGCCATGAAATGGTGGAGCCCAGTGATGAGGCCAGCCAGAATAATGCTCCCAACCCTGTAAGGGCAGTGGTTAAAGCCAGTCTCAATCAAGGTGGGTGTTAAGGGTCAACTCTGGCCTGAATCAGGAATGCCACCTTCTTACACAAAGCCAGCATTGCCTTCAAGGTGACTTCTGCAAAAGAGACGGATTTTTCTGCACGCTGCTTTTCTCATGGCATCCGTGGCACATCCTCTCTCCCTGTCAGCAAACCTAGGCTACCTAGATTTTGAGACAGTTGCAAAGTATTTATTCTGAGGATTCCCAGGACAACTTGATGGATCCTGCCAAAAACATCTTTGAACATATAACTTGACACACTTTTGTGAATTTATTCCCCAAGATAAATTCCTAGCAGGGGAATTGGTGGGTCAGTTTGCATTTCTCATTTTGATATATGTTGGCAAATGGCCCTCCTGAAAGAATTCAGCTCCCTCCCACGAAGTCTGAGACCTATCTATTTCCTCATAACTTCAGCACCTATCTGACCAAACGTGATTGTTTCTGTCAGCCAGATAGAAAAGAAATAACATCTTGTCGTTCTGATTTGGCTTTTTTCAGTTACACATGAGATGATGGAGTGTCTTAGCATGTATGGGTTAGCCATATGTATTTCTTCTTTGGTAAATGCTTATTTATATTCTTGGTCCATTTAAAAATTTTTTTGGGTGGTTCAGCTTATTACTTTGGGTTTAGAGGATTGTTCCTTGGAGAGAGGGGGTATTCTCTAAGGGGGCTTGGTGGTGGTATTCAGATCAGTTTCCTTTGAGGCTGTGAGTTAGTTAGAAGTAAGCTTCTTCACCCTCCCTGGGAAGAGGCTGCCCTGAGCTTGCTCCAGGCTTCCTGGGGTCCTCGTTAACAGGCATGAAAGTGCTGCTCCCCCCCCACCATGCCCTCATGGCTGAGTGCTGCATCAGGGCAGAGCTTGTGTGAGGCTGAATGAGAAGTTTGGTGTTAGATTTAGGGAATGGGGGGCCATGGCAGGATGCCAGGGAAGAACCTGTGTATGTGTGCAGCTGTGTGAGAGCTCCAGAATTTCTGCAGGGAACTTGGACAGCTAGGGGTTACATCTGCATAGGAAGCACCCTGTCTTTGCTTAGAGTGTGTATTCCAAATAACAAAAAATAGCAAGTTTAATAAAGTTGCTTTTGTGCACAGTATGTATAACATCCAGAAAAGGTCAATGGCCTATTACTCAAGAGAAATAATTACACAAATAAGTCAAATGAGAAGGATGAAATAAGGCCAGGCGCAGTGGCTCATGCCTGTAATCTCGGCACTTCGGGAGGCCGAGGCAGGCAGATCACCTAAGGTTAGGAGTTTGAGACCTGGTGAAACCCTGTCTTTACCAAAAATACAAAAATTAGCTGGGGATGGTGGTGCATGCCTGTAATCCCAGCTACTCAGGAGGCTGAGGCTGGAGAATTACTTGAACCCAGGAGGCAGAGGTTGCAGTGAGCCAAGATCGTGCCACTGCACTCCAGCCTGGGTGACAGAGCAAGACTTTGTCTCAAAAAAAAAAAAGAAAAAGAAGAAGGATGAAGTAAGAATAAAATAATAACAACAGGGCCAGGTGGAGTGGCTTATGCCTGTAATCCTAGCTCTTTGGGAGGCCGAGGCAAGAGGATCACTTGACTCCAGGAATTTGAGACCAGCCTGGGCAACAGGATGAAACCCCATCTCTACAAAAAATACAAAAAATTAACCCAGCATGGTGATGCGCCCCTGTAGTCCCAGCTACTGGTGGTGGGGGGCAGGGGAGCTGAGGCAGGAGGATGGCTTGAGCCCAGGAGGTCGAGGCTGCAGTGAGCAGAGATCATGCTATTGCACTCCAGCCTGGGTGACAGAGTAAGACCCTGCCTCAAATAATAATAACAAGAACAACAGATCTCCCACTTGTGTCTGGAGCTGGCTGATGGAGATTGTCAAGGTGGGGATTAAGCCTCCCTTGGCACTGCCACTGGTGTTAGAATTCCCAGGAAATCTAGGAAATAAAAAGAATGAACGCCAGGTGTGGTGGCTCACGCCTGTAATCGCAGCACTTTGGAAGGCTGAGGCAGACGGATCACTTGAGGTCTGGAGTTCGAGACTAGCCTGGCTGACATGGTGAAACCCTGTCTCTACTAAAAATACGAAAATTAGCTGGGTATGTAAAATTAGCTACTTGGGAGGCTGAGGCAGGAGAATCGCTTGAACCCAGGAGGTGGAGGTTGCAGTAAGCCGAGACCGCACCACTGCACTCCAGCCTGGGTGACAGAGCAAGACTGTCTCAAAAAAAAAAAAAAAAAAAAGAATGAACGACCATACATTAAATGTTTTCTGTGGGCCAGGCACGTGCTAAGTGCTTTGGATGCATTATCCCATTTAATCCTCACTGAAACCATCAGAGGCATACCCTCTTATTACCCTCATTGTCTAGGCGAGGAAATGCAGGGTCAGAGAAACTCGTTGATTTGTCCAAGATCTTACACCAGTTAAGAGGCAAAGCTAGGATTGAATCCCTGAATTGGTTTTGGCTGTACACATTGGGCTTCCCTGTGTTTCTCCCCGGCCCTGACCCCTTGGTTAAAGCTGGGGGAGATGCCACTTAGAGGGTAGAAGACAAGGGAAGTTCTGGCCATGTGCGCCAGCCCCTAGCCACCCTCTGGAGCCCAGTTGGCATCTCAGAAGACATGGCTGGGAGGGGCGCCCAACCCCCCCGCCCCTTATCTGGGGGCTTTGGTGTGCAGCCTGGGAGGGCTGGAATCTATAGCTCACGCCTTTCCCTGCATGGGCCTGGGTGTGAGCAAGGGTGTGGGGAGGGGACAGGCTCACTGGGGGTGGGCTCTGGCCAAGCAAAACAGGCTGAGGTCAGAGGGAGGGGGCCGCCCTCCCCAGGGAATGCTTGGATGACGTGACTTTGAGGGGGCACTGGGGGAGGAGGGCTGGCTGTGTGTTTCTCCTCTCACCTCAACCTCAGCCTGATGAGGAACCGGGGAATTGGGGCGGGAAGCCCGACCAGATGCAGCCCCTGGCAGGCTGCCCTGGCCGCTGCGCAGGACTCTTCTCCAGCCAGCTTGGCAGGTCCCTTCTTCCCCTCCTGAGGGGACCTGGGAGCAAATGACGTCCTGGAGTTGGCTGTGGCAGAGAGGAGGGTCCCCTCTGGCCACACGGAAGGAAGGGGCAGGGAGAAGCAGCTTGGGGGCTCAAAAGAATCCCCTTTCCTCATTCCAGTTGCTCCACATTTTGAGCCAAGTTTGGGAGCAGGAGGGGAGATTTAAAAGGTTTGCTCTCAGATCCGGTGCCTGGGAGCGAATTGAGCGTGAAACAAAGTCATTGACTTCTGGCACTTAGTTTCTCTCATTTTTCAAAAGTCGCTAACGCTCCCTGCATTGAATGCCTCAGGGTCTTAGTCACTCTGAACTGTCCAAAAATGAGCAGGTGAAGCACCCTGTGCCCCTCCAGGAACTAGGGTCTCCCTGGGGAACCCACTCCCACTCTGAGATCTATTCTAGTCACTCCACTGCATCCTGAGTGTGGACCATCT
Source organism: Homo sapiens (assembly GCF_000001405.40). NCBI lineage: Eukaryota > Metazoa > Chordata > Mammalia > Primates > Hominidae > Homo > Homo sapiens. Next base: position 103,819,907 of record NC_000010.11, on the reverse strand, counting down.
GGGGGCCCAGAGCCTTTGGGGTGAGATTTCTTGATCTCTAAGCAGCCCCTCCTGGGCTCCCATCTCCCCCCCTCCTCTAGGGACCCCACGCATTTCACTGCCCACACTCTCTCTCATTGCCAAGCCTGCTTCATCGTCCTGCCTGCCCCCTGCTCCAGGGCCCTTTGCTCCTTCTGGGCTCCCTCACATGCTCATCTATTCCTCCTTCAGCCCTTAGATCTCCCCGACACCTGTTCTCGCCTCTCTCTCCAATCCCAAACTATGCCAAGTTCTCCACCGAAGAAACACTTCAGCTGGCTTTGACCTTGTGCTTCTTCGCCCCCTTGCCCTCCTCCCTCTTCTGCCCCCATCATTCCCTCGAGCCTCAGAGCTGGGACTCAGTTTACCTCCTGCCTCTCACTGCCTTGGGCTCCAGGCTCCAGTCACCCCAGCTGGCCCTGGCTCTCCCAGGGAACTCAGGCTGTGTCATGCCCCCTCCCCTAGCCCTCAGCCTTTGCTTATGCTGTTTCTTTTGCCTAGGGTACCCTTCCACCACCACAACCCTCACCTCTTCACCCAGCCTACCTTCCTTATCTGTCACTCTGGCATCACCTCTGCTAGGAAGCCTTCCAGAGTGGTGCCTCTCCTGGGGTTCCCTGGGAACAGGCACAGCTCTTGACCTAGCCTTACAGCACATTGTCCCTTAGTACTGCTCTTTCTCACCACACCAGAGCTCCCTGGGACTGGAGCTGTGTTTTATTTGACTTTGTGTTGCCAGTGTCTAGCACAGAGCCCAGCACGTAATAAGCGCCCAATCCTTCTTGACGGGACTGGACTGAATTTTATCAGACAAGTAACATGGCTTTACTGAGGATCTACCAAGTCATTAGACGTTGTAGAGAAAACAAAGGAAGCCCGGATCAAATATTTGCTTTCAAGGACTTTGTAATCCAGTCAAGAATGATTCTGGGAATGGGTTGGGGGAACGGTCAGGCATGAAATTGGCCATCTGAGTCTCCAGTGCTGCAGTGGGCACTATGGTTGCAGGTGCCTTGTAAAGGTTTCAGAGAAGGGGAGAACTGTGAGTAGAGGGGGACCCAGTGAGGTCTGGAGAAGGGGTGGAGGGTGGGTGAGATCACATGGGAGAAGGCTGGCCCAAACCCACAGTCAGGACTGGGAACTAGGGGAGAAATGTGTTTCCAGAGAAGGTGAGCCGATTTCACCTAGCCATAGGATCTTCCAGTGTCAGAACAGGGTTAGTGGATTTTAAGTGCAGTTTCTCTATCCTGGAGGCCAAACAGGAGCTGATGGCATTCCCCGTTTTGCCGCATGATTGGGAAATTTTTCCTGCACATCAGGGTCTACCGGGGCCAGTGATCTCTCCAGGCAAAGAGAGCAGGATATTTTAGGAATCAGTTCTTTCCAATTCTCAGTGTTAAAGAGCCGGTTTCTTTGTTGCTGAGCCTGGGGAACCAGGTGTGTTCTCTTAAAGTCAGCCTTTCTCCTTAACCAGCCAGGCACAGCTGCTGCTGTGTGCCAGAGTTGGTGATGGGCAATGTGATCACTGCAGAGATGATTGCAGAGGTCCAGCATACATTTCCCCAAGATTAATGGACATAGCATGGCGTCTACCCACACAAGCATGCTGTGCACCGGAGGAGGGGGCAGAGGGAGCACCAGGGCTGAGGCAGCCCAGGGAGATTTCTAGGAGGTGGTGGGTCTTGATTGGCTCTTGCAGGAATTAGACAGGCTGAGAAGATGGAGAAATAGAGTTCTTTCTGACAAGAACCCCTTAACCAAGAGGTACATTGTCTCCCTTCTAACTTTTTAAACAATAGCTTTGCTGAAATGGAATTCATATCATACAATGCAACCATTTGAAGTGTACAATTAAATGGTTTTTAGTTCATTCACAGATAGTGCAACTCTCAACCACAGTCATTTTTAAACATTTTCATCATCCCAGAAAGAGGCCCCATTAGCAGTCTCCTTATCCCTGACAGCCACCCACCCACCCCACAGCTCTCGGCAACCACAAATCTACTTTCTCCCTATATATGTTTGCCTTTTCTGGACATTTCATATAAATGGAATCATATAATGTGTGGTTGCTTGTGTCTGGCTTCTTTCACTCAGCATAATGTTTTCGAGATTCATCCATGTTGTAGCATGTATCAGAACTTCATTCTTTTTTATAACTGAATAATATTCCATAACACAGGAACAGAAAACCAAATACCATGTGTTCTCACTTGTAAGTGGAAGCTAAATAAGAACCTATGAACACAGGTAAGGCATGGTGGCTCACGCCTGTAATCCCAGCACTTTGGGAGGCCAAGGCAGGCAGATCACATGAGGCCAGGAGTTCAAGACCAGCCTGGCTAACATGGCAAAACCATGTCTCTACTAAAAATACAAAAATTAGCCAGGTGTGGTGGTGCACATCTGTGATCCCAGCTACTTGGGAGGCTGAGGCAGGAGAATTGCTTGAACCTGGGAGGCAGAGGTTGCAGTGCGCCGAGATGGCACCACTGCACTCCAGCCTGGGTGACAGAGCACAAGAACTTATGAACACAAAGATAGAAACAACAGACACTGGGGCCTACTTGAGGGTGGAGGGTGGAGGAGGGAGAGGAGCAGAAAAGACAACTGTCGGGTACTGGGCTTTATACCTGGGTGATGAAATAATCTATACAACAAAGCCCCACGACGTAAGTTTACCTGTATAACAAACCTTCACATATACCCCTGAACCTAAAATAAAAGTTAAAAAAAAAAAAGAATAGACCGGGCATGGTGGCTCACACCTGTAATCCGAACACTTTGGGAGGTGGGCAGATTGTCTGAGGTCAAGAGTTCAAGATCAGTCTGGCCAACATGGTGAAACCCCATCTCTACTAAAAATACAGAAAAAAAAAAAAAAAAAAAAAATTAGCCGGGTGTGTTGGCACACACCTGTAATCCCAGCTAGTCAGGAGGCTGAGGCAGAGGAATTGCTTGAACCAGGGAGGTGGAGGTTGCAGTAATGGCACCACTGTACTCCAGCCTGGACGACAGAGCAAGACTCTGTCTCAAAAAAAAGAATAATATTCTATTGTATAGATAAGTCACATTTTATTTGTTCATTCCTCATGTAGTGGACATTTGAGTTATTTTCATGTTTTAGTTATTACATAACATTACATAATGTATATATTTTATAATATAATGCTGCTACGAACATTTGCATACAAGTTTTTGTGTGGATGTAAGTTTTCATTTCTCTTAGGTAGATGCCTCAGAATAGAATTGCTGAGTCATCCGGTGACGCTACGTTTAACCATCTGAGGAGCTGATAGACTGTTTTCCAAGGTGGCTGCACTATTTTACATTCCTACCCACGGTGTATGCAGGTGTGAATTTCTCTACATCCTCACCATCACTTATTATCTGCGAGTTTGATTATAGCCATCCCAGTGCATGTGAAATGATATTTCACTGTGATTTGATTTACATTTCCCTAATTGCTAATGACTTTGAGCATCTTTTCATGTGCTTATTGGCCATTTGTACCTCCTCTTTGGAGAAAAATCTATTCAGATCCTTTGCCCATTTTAAAATTGGATTACATATTTTTATTATTGAGTTGTAAGAGTTCTTTTTCAATAAAAGTTGCATGTATTTCAAGTCTACGACATGATGTTTTAATACACAATACATAATGAAATGATGACTACAGTCAAGCAAGTGACCACATCCATCACCTTACGTAGTTCTTTATTTTGTGTGTGTGTGGTGTGAGCACTAAAATCTACTCTCTGGGCATACCTCTTGCATGCAATACGGTATTAGTGATGGTAGTCCTCAGGCTGTACCTTAGATGTCCAGACATATTCACTCTACATACTGGAAATTTGTATCCTTTGACCAACATCTGCCATTTTCCCTACCTCCTCACCCCTGTCACCACCCTTCTCTTCTCTGCTTCTATATATTTGGCTCTAGAATCCATATATGAGATTATACAGTATTTTTCTTTTTCTTTTTCTTTTTTTTTTTTTGAGATGGAGTCTCGCTGTGTTGCCCAGGCTGGAGTGCAATGGCATGATCTCAGCTCACCACAACCTCTGTCTCCCAGGTTCAAGCGATTGTCCTGCCTCAGCCTCCTGAGTAGCTGGGATTACAGGCGTGTGCCACCACACCCAGCTACTTCTTGTATTTTTAGTAGAGACGGGGTTTCACCATGTTGGTCAGGCTGGTCTCGAACTCCTGACTCCGTGATCCGCCTGCCTCGGCCTCCCCGAGTGCTGGGATTAGAGGCATGAGCCACCGCACCTGGCCCAGTATTTTTCTTTCTGTATCTGGCTTAGTTCACTTAGCATAATGTCCTCCAGGTTCATTCATGTTGTCAAATGGCAGGATATCTTTTGTTAAAGTTGAATAATATTCCACTGTGTGTGTGTGTATATTATATATATAATATATATAGTATATATATTATACACTGTATATGTGTGTGTGTATATTGTATATAAATACATATAGTGTATAATATATACACTGTATATATTATACATATATATACCACAATTTCTAAGAGTTCTTTATATGTTCCAGATATAAGTCCTTTGTCTAGAATATTTGCAAATGACTTGAAAATATTTTCCCCCATTCTGGGGATTCTCCTTTTACTTTCTTGCTGATGTCTTTTGAAACACAAAAGTTTTTTATTTTGATGAAGTCCAGTTTGTTTATTTGTCTTTGAGCTGTGGTTTTGGTGTCATGTCTCAGAAACCCTTGACTAATTCAAGGTCATGGAGATTTGTGCTATGTTTTCTTCTAAGACTTTAATAGTTTTCTCTCTCGCATTTAGGTCTCTCATCTATTTCAAGTTAATTTTTGTGTGTGATCTGAGGTCCTTCTCATTTTGTACTGAGTCAAACTGAAGAGCCCCCCACCTCCCCAGTTGGCCTGCCACACTTTGCCTTCTGCATTTGGGTCTCAGCTCAAACATCCTCACTCCAGGGAGGCCTCCCCTGTCAATCTAAAGCAGCTGCCTCCCTGCAGTTTCAGTCACCACCCCATTTTATTGGGGCCGTCAGAAATGGTCTGACATGTTGTCTGTTGCCTCCCATATAAGCTCCATGACAACAGACCCTGTCTAGCTTACTGCCTTCGTTTCTAGCACCTAGCGCAGTGCCTGACACTTAGCCAGAGCTCAGACTATTATTTGAAAGCTTCTTTTGGTTAAAAGAAACATTCCCAGTGGATTTTGCTTAAGACTTTGTAAGTGTCTCTGGCCTCATGGAGTTGGAGGGCTGAGTGGGAGGGGATCTACCAGCATCACAGTCACAGGTGGTCACTCGTCCCTTGCCCCAGCCATCCCATTACTTCACAAGACAGCCCCTTCCATCCTTGGACAACTCTGATGATTAGAAAATTCTTCCTGATGTTGGACAGAGACCTGCTTCCCCATCGCTGGCACTCGTTATCCACTGCCTTCCTTTAGGGACAACTGGAGTTGAACTTCACATTTTGACAGTCCTTTAAATATTTGAAACCAGCTATCGTATGTCTCTTAAATACCTCCTCTGGGCTGAGTGCTTCTAATTCTCTCAGCTGTTCCTCCTGGAGCCGAGAAGGGCTGGACTCTGACCCCTTAGTCGCTGATGAAGGCCTGCAGACATGGGGTGGGCACAGGCTGCCAAAGAAAGCCCCAGCACAGCCACAGCTCAGAACGAAGGAACTCGAGTCTCCTTGTTTGCTTTCCCCACTTTGAGCTGATGAATTCCAAAACTGGAAGCAGAACTTTGAGAAAAAGCACCCAGTACAAACTCCCTAACTAGATATCTTAAAGGCAGAGCTGACTCTTAGTAGTACAAATTACTCTGTAATATTGCTTTCTATTAAAAGGGTGTGGTTTTTTTTTTGTTGTTTTTTTTTTTTTTTTAGCTAGTCCAGTGGTCTTTTTGATGTTGGTTCAGCTTAGTGGTTCTCAACCCTGGAACAACCCGTAGACCCACCTGGGGAGCTCTTAAAATTATCAGTGCCTACCCCACCTTCCAAGATTCTGATTTAAATCCTGTAGTGTTTTTAAGGCACCCCAGGTGATTGTAATGTACAGCCAGGGTTGTAGACCTTGGCTTCAAGAGCTCAGCATTGAACCTGAAATTCCCTACAGCCCCACAAGAATGAGCAAATGCTGGATGTCAGCACAACATCCAGGAGCTGGCATGAGCCAGAGGACTGGCTAAGAGGACTCAATTATTTTCTAAGATGGAGATTATGAAAGCTATACATGTTCAAAAGAAATGAAATAATATAGAAATGTTGGCCAGGCACGGTGGCCCACACCTGTAATCCCAGTACTTTGGGAGGCTGAGGCAGGAGGATTGCTTGAGGCCTAGAGTTTGAGACCAGCCTGGGCAACATAGCAAGACCCCATCTCTACAAAAAAATTAAAAAATTATCCAAGCATGGTGGCACATGCCGATAGTCCCAGCTACTGGGGAGGCTGAGCGGGGAGGACTTCTTGAGCCCAGGAGGTCAGGGCTGCATTGAGCTATGATTGTGCCACTGCACTCCAGCCTGGGCAAGAGAGCGAGACTCTGTCTCTAAAAAGAAAAAGAAAAAAAGAAATCTATAAAGTAGAAAGCAAAACTGTTCCCATTTCTCCTCTCTCTCATTCCATGCAAATAACCATGATTATCAATTTGTTGTATTTTTTTCTTTTTAATGTGCATAGACACACACATATGCAAACTTCCCCCCATACAATCCATCCCCCAGATAGATTTAATCATATGGTATACATAGCATTATAATCTTTTTTTTCTTTTCTCAAGATACTATAAACCTTTTCCCATAATGATATAGAAAAGTCCACCTTATCTTTAGTAGGTATATGAACCATAATTTATTTGACCTTTTTTTATCAATAGACATTCAATATTCCTTATCTTTATATACATACACACACACATATATACACACACATACATGCATACACACAATTGTGTGGATAAATTCTTAGCGGTCAAATTGCTGAGTCAAAGGGAATGCAAGTTTGGCGACAGAAATTGCCGAAAAGCTCTCCAAAATGATTGTTCTTGTCTCTCTCAAGCAACGAAATTTCTAATGACAGCTATTTGCCTTGTGTCAAAAGTTGAGCTTTGCTGAGCACAGCAGAGAGGAAGGTGTGAGTGTGTCAGATGGTGGGGAGGAAGCCCAGGGGTCATTTCCCCTGCAGGCTGTGTGTGGAGGCGGCTGCTGGCCTCTGACTGCTGTGTTTCCCAGGAAAAGGAAACCAAGCTGTGTGTGTTAACCTTTGCCATTCTCTCCAGGGTGTGACGATGGAGTGGGGCACATTTTCAGGATGTGTGTGTCGGGGTCAGTAGGCCTGGGTCAGTCATTGATTTGGGAGTGTGTGGAATGAGAATCCCATTTTCTGACCCTTTCCTAGACCCACTGGGTTGTTTCCAAGCCCCTTGGAAGCCCAGGAGTGTAATTTTTTTGATGGCTCAGGAGAGGATATATTTGTTTAATTTCTAGGACTCTGGCTCCTGAATGTCTGGGAGCATTGAGCTTTTCCCCCTGATTTCCATTGCAAGGTTAGCCTTATCACCTCAGCCTAGGCACACCATCGCCCTCTCTGGGCTCCTGGGCATTACCCAAGATGTCCACTGCCCACTGCTGGGCCTCTCCATTGGAGTGCCTGCTGGCTCGAGGTGATCAGACTTGTTTGCTCTGCCAAGCTGACTTGGGACCAGAGGGTGGTGGCAGGATTGGAAGGAGGAAGGTACAAAGGTCCAACCGCATGCTCTCAGGTACTCTGGAGAATGTCCCAGTGGTGACATGCCCAGAACTCTGTGATTGCAAAGTGGGCTCTTGCCAGGCCCAGCACTTATTGGTGCCCCAGAATCTTCTAGGGGAAGAGACTAAAATTCATAAGTGCAAAAGACTGTGCTAGGCACTTTGCAGGGGAAGGGAAGTCACATTTATTAAGCGCCTACAGTGTCCAAGGCACTGTGGTTGTTCTTGCGTTCTCATTAATCTTCACTGTGAGGCAGGTATTCTTAACACTATTTTATGTGTTTATTTTATGGGGTATGGAGGCTCAGAGAGAATAATAACTTTTCATGAAATTGATCCGATTGATTTTAAACTATGCAAAATAGAGTGCTGATCCCCGCAAGGATCCCTAGCCACCTGCCTCATGGGCGGCCTCAGTATTGACAGATAGATCATTGTCTCTGTCACCAACTGACAGAGCTAATTGAGCCACCAAGGCAAATCTTGTGGCAGGGACTCTGTCTTGCTCCAGGCAGTCTGCTGTCGTTATTAAAGAAGACAAAGAGTTCAGGATATAGAGTGAATGGCTGCATTTGAATCTGAGCTTCATTACTTGTTACAAATATGATGACCTCGGGTAGACCAGTTACCTCTCTGGGCCCTAGTCTCTTCACTTATGAACTGGAGACGATAACAACACTTTTCTCATAGGACTATTGTAAAGAGTAAGTGAGATAATTCAAACAAAGTGCTTAGCAATGCCTGGAACATAGTCAGTACTCAATACATTGGCATGGCCATTAGTGTTTCTTTTACTCCTGATCAATCAATCCCATTGTGCGTGTAAGAAGGTTTGGCGGAGCTGACTCTTTGGACTGTTTTTCTTCTCGTTCTGGGGGCTGTAAGGACAGAGCTGTGACTGCCTAACTTTTGAAAGGTCCATGTAGGATTGTGAATCCTGGGAGTTCCTAGTTTATACACTCATTTCCCCTCCAGGAAACATGAAGAAAAGAAAAAGTGTCCAGCCCCAGAGGGGCCAACCGCAGCACGTTCATCCTTTCAGCGGACGCTCCTGGGGACCGTCATTGTTTTCCCAGCCCTGGGCAGCAGAGCTATTTTTTGCTCCTCTGCTCTCCCAGGCTGGCCTTGGTATTAGTAGTGGTTCCACCACTGCCGTGTGTGTGTGTGTGTGTGTGTGTGTGTGTGCGCGCGCGCGCCTGTGTCCATGTGTGTGTCTCCGTGTGTGTGTGTCCATGTTTCTGTGTGTATGTGTCCCTGTGTATGTCTGTGTCCCTGTATGTGTGTGTCTGTGTGTGTGTGTTGTGTGTGTTGTGTGTATGTCTGTGTCCCTGTGCCCTACTTCCTGCTCCCCTCCTATTTCTAGTCATAGCCTCATGATCCAAGTCTCACGGCAAATGGGAAGAAGTCAGTTCACTTCCTGAGTGTCTAAATAGCCCACATTCATTGGGCCACTTTGCACATTGCTAGGCCCTGTGCTCGGTGCCCCATGGGTATCACCACATTTAACGAGACACTCCCGTTAGAAACCACACTTCGCAGCAAAGGAAACCCTCACTCAGAGGGTCTAAGACACTTGCCTAAGCCCACGTAGCAGGGACATGTATGGATTGAAATTCAAATCCATCAAGTGGATAGATTTGAATTTGAAGTCATCTTCCTCCTGTGTGAAGCCAAGACGGCCTCTGGTCCCTTCTGAGGCTCACTTCTCGGCACTCCATTACTCATCTTGCACTGTCCCTCCGTGATTTGTCAGTGTGCGTCCCACTGCCCCTGCTGGGCTGTGAGGGCCTGGAGGTTGGATGCTTTGCCTCATCTTCTCTTTAGCTTGTCTCTAAACCAGGCGCGAGGTCAGCACTCACTGGATATTTGTTGGTTGCTTTGTTCTTTCACTGATGAAGGGAACAGTAAGTGAGCATCTCTTAGGTGTCAAGTGTGGTGCTGGGCACTAGCATGCCACCAACCACCTTCAGGAGGCTTCCATTCTAACAAGGAGACACAGAGTCAGCTCCCTGAATCCTCACAAGAGCCTCCAAAAGGTAACTACTGTGATCTTCATTCTGCAGGGTAATAAGTAGAGGCTCCAGCAGTAGGGAGGCTTCCTCCAGACCCTCTCACCTACTCATTACCCTCCCATTTAAATAAATAGTGGGGCCGGATGAGGTGGCTCATGCCTGTAATCCCAGCACTTTGGGAGGCTGAGGCGGGTGGATCACCTGAGATCAGGAGTTCAAGACCAGCCTGGCCACCCATGGTAAAACTCATCTCTACTAAAATACTAAAAAAAAAAAAGCCTAGTGTGGTGACACACGCCTGTAATCCCAGCTACTCAGGAGGCTGAGGCTGGAGAATCACTTGAACCTGGGAGGTGGAGGTTGTAGTGATCTGAGATGGCGCCACTGCACTCCAGCCTGGATGACAGAGCGAGACTCTCTCTCAAAAGAAGGAAGGGAGGGAGGGAGGGAGGGAGGGAGGGAGGGAGAGGGAAGGAGGAAAGGAGACCCATGATTCCTGCAAACAAAGGCAGGCACTGAGTGTGATGGGTACCTGCTACACACTCTTGAAGGATGCTCCCTACTGTAGAGGCATTTGCCATTGTCCCCTCCTCTGAGTCTCTTTTAAAAACCCTTTTCCCCAGAGAAGGTCCATCTGGCCCAGGTCTGCAGTAGAAGCGTCTGTGTTTTGGAGGCGACTGGTGGATGTGTGGTTCTGGGAGGAACCTTCTCCTAGCACATTATACCCCCTCCAACTCCCAGAGCCCTTCTGGGGTTCGCTTCTGCTGCATTTACTATGACTGATTCTGAATACAAAGTCCTGTTGTCAGATGGTCTCAGGACTAGAAAAGTCCTGCTGCCTGGTCATTAGCCTTATAGTCAACCCGTGAGTGTGTACTACCATGGAGGTCACCCTCCACTACATCCAGGCTTCTAAGTGGTGGTTGTTCCCCAAATCTGCAGCGTCACCTCTCTCCCCACCCTAAGAATGAACACCCACTCTAGAGGAGGGGTTGGAATTTTAATAGGGCCCTACCCTGAGGGTCCTCATCGTTCTCAGGCTGAGCTCAGAAACCTTAGCCAAGTGGCCACAGGCTGTTGAACTTGATTTTGCTGGCAGGGTTTTAGGTTGGCAAAGATGTGTTTGTATTCTGCTCCTAGGCCACCAGGGATTTGCTTCTGGGAATGGGGACAGTCTCCAAGTGTTGCTACTAGCCACCTCTTTGGCATTTCAGAGCCAGTGAATTTGATTGGCATTAGATCAGCCAGTCATTATCTCAGTGTGTCCAGCAGACTGGCAGGCCTAGTGAGCCTCGGGGGAGAAGAGGAAGATAGTTTGCATGGATAGGGAGACCTGGGAGGAAGACAGACTCACCTGTGTTGAATAGAGACCAACACAGCCTGTGTCAAGCTGGGTGTTCTGAGCCAACAATTAGCAAACGAAGGCAGATATAATAATTGACTAATCATGGAAAGCATACTATGAGCACCACAAGGGATGGTCACAGACTCGCCAGGCTAGTGGGGGTCCAGATCAGATGTCGGAAGTCTGGGGAAATTTTTATCTGGGTGCAGCCATGTCAAGAGGGGTCTTTAGGCCAGGCATGGTAGCTCGCATCTGTAATGCCAGCACTTTGGGAGGCTGAGGTGGGCGGATCACTTGAGGCCAGGAGTTACAAACCAGCCTGCCAACATGGTGAAACCCTGTCTCTACTAAAAATACAAAAATTAGCCAGGTGTGATGGCAGGCACCTGCAATGCCAGCTAGTCAGGAGGCTGAAGCAGGAGAATCTCTTGAACCCAGGAGGCGGAGGTTGCAGTGAGCTGAGATCACGCCACTGCACTCCACCCCGGGTGACAGAGCCAGACCCTGTCTCAAAAAAAAAAAGAAAAAAAAAGAGGGGTCTTTAACACCAGGGCCTTTACTGCTTCCCGGTGGTGTGCAGTGGGCCACAGCAGGGAGGAGATGGGGCTCTGGGCCGGCGTTTGATGTAGGCACTCTCATGGGGAGCTGCAGCCCTGGAGTCCTCTGCTCTGCTGGGTGGGCTGCATCTAGGGGACCAGCCTGTACTAATTTGGAGTATATGTGCCTCCTTCTTACCAACCCCCCCATGATAGAACCTTGTACATGGGGGCACTTTGAACAGAAGGTTAGAGCCTATTAGTACCTTAGACGGGCTGGCAGCATCTTCTTGGGTAAGAGCCTGACAATGATGAACTCCACCAGGAAGCCAGAGCGGTGATCGTGTCCCCACACGTGAACTCCCTTTTTCTGGCTGCTCAATCGTGTTCATTTTGATTTCTGGGACCATATGCTTTAGCAGTCAGTCCCAAATGTTAGCTATCCCTGCATCCCCAGACTCCGAAGATTTGGGTAAGTTAAAGAGCTGAGGGTCTTGAAGAGATCGTATGACCTCAAGGACCCTAGAGAGCATTGACAGCCCACCCAGGGGAACAAGGAGCATGTACATTAGAATAAGGCACACTTTTCTCAGCGTGGCTGCAGTCCTGAGCCAGGGTGCACAGTTTGGGATGTAAAGTATAGGTTAGATTTCACACCTACATGTCCACTTGACCAGGCAACCACTGGGCAGTGAACAACTTGCCCAACTGTATACAATGGCCCTAGTGCAGCCAGCTGATCCCAGCCCCATGGTCATGTGAGCAAGTGAAGGAAGATTGCCATTGAGTTTCTGTTTGGCCTGGGGCCTGGGGCCAGGGGCAGCTGGTAGGAGTCCAGGGAAAGTAAGGCCTTCCTCAGTAAATGGGACCACAGTACCATGGAGATATGCAATTTCCTCCATAGCTCCTAACTCCTTGCCTCTCATTGTACATTTTGTAGCCAAGGGGGCAACAGGTACTTACCAGCACTTTCTAATTAAACACAAGGCGGGTCCTAGGCCTTCTAGGAATGGTTGGGCTGTGTATTTGCAGTTTCTAATTGGTCCCAGACCAGATCAAATCATGGACATCCCTCCACAGAAATGGGCTAGGCTTCATTCTCAGTGCTCTGGAGCTGCGCTGTAAGTCTGGTTTGCATCAAGGCCATTTTCTTGTTGAAAGGAGCAAGGCTAATAGAGGACAGAAGCACCCACTGGGAAGGCGATTTTGGAAACCTCAGACATTGGTGGGCCTTGTGAGCTGAGCAGACAGAAGGCAGCCCAAGATGACCTCTGGATGGGTGGGACTGGTTGGGCCAGAGCGTTGCGCTGGGTGTGTAGCGAGAGTTCCCACGCAGTGTCTGTGGTGATGATTCCACTCCTCCATCAAGAGTGAGCATGGTGGGAGGGCCTGAGCCCCTGGGTCCCCTCAGTCTGGACTGACCCAGGGGAAGCTGGAAGCAGTTGCTAGCCTCTAGCGAGCCTTCATAGACGCCTACCATCTGCCTGAAATGGCTGGAGACAGGGGAAATAGAATCCATGGGTTTTTAAAATCCAGAAGGAAGAGAAACTCCACCCGTGAAACATAACCCCAAGTAAAGCGTTTGGAAGCAGGATATTTAATTGCCAAACTTTTCTTGAGACCCAGCTGCCGGGTAATGTTATCTTGACTGCTCCTGAGGCTGGAGGAGAGTCTATCTGGGCCCCCGATGCAGGCTTGTAAACAGAGCTGGCTTTCTTGGATGACCTCTGCCCTGTCCCCCTTCCCTGTCACCTGTTCTTTCTCTGTGGTTTCTCTCTGAAGTTTCCAGTGCTGGCAAGGCCAGCTCAGGGAGACTTAAGAAGCTCTGGTGTTGAGGTTGGGAGCTAGGCATGGGCTGGGGTGGAATTTTGTGTGTCCATCACCCGCCTGGAGTGATAATCTAGGATGTCCAAGGTTTGGAAGAAAGCAGACGAGAGAGAGGGGTCTGGAGATTGTCCTCGTATCTCTGGGCTTATCTCCAGGGAGGTCTCTTGCTATTTCCTCAACCCAAGATTTAGACTCTGTCCAGGGGGGTAGGCTGGGGGGCCTCTGGCAAATCCCCGAAGTTTGGGAGAACCTGGGAATGGGGGCTCGCTTCCCCATCCTTCACACTGAGTCACATTCATGGCTGCTCAGGGCATAGAAAGTAGGGTGCAAGATGTTAGCAGGAACAATCCTTTGCCAAACAAGGAAAGAACTGCTTTTTAGGGGGAAGTGTGGCTGTATCCTAGCCGGGTGGCTGTGGCCGGCAAGGGCCACAAGGACAGCTCTCTGTCAGCTCTTCCCTCTGGCTGGCTCTCCAGCGGGGTGTATCTTTAGTATGGTTTTAGGCCAAGGGTTAAACAGAGATGACTTCGTGTGAATTTTCAATTTTTGTTTTTAAAATAGAGACAGAGCCTCACTATGTTGTCCAGGCCAGTCTCAAACTCCTGGGCTCAAGCGATCCTCCTGCCTTGGCTTCCCAAAGTGCTGGGATTACAGGCATGAGCCACTGCGCCCTGCCCTTTTATTTTTAAAATAGAGACAGAGCCTCACTGTGTTGTCCAGGCCAGTCTCAAACTCCCGGGCTCAAGTGGTCCTCTTGCCTTGGCCTCCCAAAGTGCTGGGATTACAGGCATGAGCCACCATGCCCTGCCAGTTTTCAACATTTCTGAAGAGTAGAGGGCAAAGAACTTTTCCGAGGGGGGATGCTCTGGTCATGTGCAGAGTAGTCCTAGGCTAGGCTGGGAAGTGGGACATCTGGGTTCCTGTCCCAGCTCTGCCACCAATGGATGTGAGCACACTCCAGTGATAACCATGTTTTCATCAGTACTGGCAGCCCTGAAGGTTGTGTCCTTTGTATAGAGAAGGAGTCTGAAGGCCTGAGCGGCTGGGCTGGGGTCTTGCAGCCAATAAGGAGGGTGCTGCACCCACATGTGGCTAACTCCAGAGTCTGCTGCTTCCTACCTGGCCATGCCCTTTCCTCGGCAAATCACCACCCTGGCCCCTGGGTTTCTCCTCTGCTAAAGGAGAGGTCTCCCTGTATCCTCCCAGCTGCCAGGGGCTGTGAGCCTGTGATTGATTCTCTCTGGGAGGTGAAGGGAAGCCTAATTGCTAGTGGGATGGAGGATGTGTGTTAAGCCTCAGTTAAGCCCTTCCCCTGGGCTCCGCTTGGTTGGTTCCGGAGAAAGGCTGATGTCTAATGTCCTGCAGGCGAATGCAGCCCTCTCTCCAGGGGCGGATTGGCCTCTTGGGCCCTCCTCACATTTAGCTCCTGGGGTGGAGGTCAGAGAAACAGCACCTGGTGTGGGCTCAGCCTCTGCTCCTGCCCCAGGGCCTGTGGGAAGCAGAGATGCAGGTGGGAGGGGAGATGGAGCTAGGAGTCAGCAGGGGGACCAGGGTAGGTAATAACCCCCAGGAAAATCCCACAGCATTGAGTTTGAGGGGGTCCTCACCGTCAGTCGGTTTTGTAGCATTCCTAACCATTTGCTTCTGTCTGGGCCCCCAGTTCTGTGTCTTCTTGGTCTCAGGCTCTTAGAAGGCGCCTTTGTTCCTGCATGTTCCTCTAAGGTGCACTCCCTCAGCAAGAGCACCGCAGGCTTCTCAGACCACCCACACCTTTATTTAAAAAGATGGTGTCAACCGGTCAGATGAGGTGGTTCATGCCTATAATCCCAGGACTTTGGGAGGCTGAGGCAAGCAGATCACGAGGTGAGAAGATCGAGACCATCCTGGCTAACATGGTGAAACCCTGTCTCTACTAAAACATACAAAAAATTAGCCGGGCGTGGTGGCGGGTGCCTGCAGTCCCAGCTACTTGGGAGGCTGAGGCAGGAGAATGGCGTGAACCCGGGAGGCGGAGGTCACAATGAGCCGAGATCACGCCACTGCACTCCAACCTGGTCGACAGAGACAGACTCCGTCTCAAAAAAAAAAAAAAAAAAAAAAAAAGATGATGTCAACCAAAAATAAAATTTGAAGGCCCCCTGCAACCATCTGAATGTACTCCCTCCTCAGCCCGGGCACCCTAACATTGAACCTGAAAGACTGGTTCAGGCCATGACAGGAAGTGGGGATCAGACATGATTCATTATACTCCTGCAGCATCAATATCAATGCAGACCTAAGATCTGATAAGAAACATTTACAATCTGTTCTCTCTGAAGCCTGCTGCCTGGAGGCTTCATTTGCATGATAAAACCTTGATCTCCACAAACCCTTATCTTAATCCAGACACTCCTTTCTAATGGTAGTAACTCTTTCAACCAATTGCCAATCAGAGTATGTTTAAATCCACCTATGACCTGGAAGCCCCTCGTCCCCGACTTAGAGTTGTCTCACCCTTCCAGATGGAACCAATGTAAATCTTATATGTATTGATTGATGTATTGTATTTCCCTAAAATGTATAACGCAGGCTGTACCCCATCCACCTTGGGCACATGTCATCAGGACCTCCCGAAGCTGTGTCGCAGGTGTGTCCTTCACCTTGGCAAAATACACTTTCTAAACTGATTGAGACTTGTTTCAGATACTTTTTGGTAGACAATGTCATTCAGTCCTGATCAAAGTAGTTCAGTTTAGATAAATTTATGTACAGGGAGATAGTCCAGTTCAGTTAAGAGCATAGGTATTAGAACTCAGCTAGACCTGGGTTCAAATCTTTTGCTCTGTAATTTATTAGCTGTGTAACTTCAGGCAAGTTACTTAGCTTCTCTGAGCCTCACCTTCTTCTTGTACAATATGGGAATAACAGTGGTAGCTACCTTATTGGGCTGAAGATTAAATGAGCTAATGCATATACATGCTTTATGCTGTACTGGTAACTAGTTACATTTAGTTGCTTAAACATTAGGTAACATTAAGTTATCAAAATGGTTTTACAATGTATCATGTGATACCTATTTACATATGATGTAAAGCAAAGCATACCCCCATTTATTATAATAATAGCCAATAGTCTATTTTGAGCTGATGAAGATAGGGGTGGCCTTTTACCTTATGTTCTGTATCAGGGCCACATGTCATAAATGCCCCATCTCTGGGTGGCAGCACTCAGACCTGTTTGCTTTGGCTTTATGGCCCTCTCCTTGGTTGCGTTTCAGAAAAAACTCGCCATGGCATGAGTCTGCCTCTGTGTCATAGAGATAGGAAGGGAGAAGAGACTGGATTCAGCTCATTTTCCTGTGTATCACCGGAGCAGCCAAGCACAAAGCCTCACCACGCCTGTGGCAAACCCTGTTCCAGGCACCTGGGAGGTGGGCCAGTCTGATGGCAAGGTGTCTAAATGCCACTTCTCTTTGCTAACGTTCCTCCTCATCTTGGCCCAGATCCCTGGCCTCACTGGCTATTTTATTCTTAGGGTAGAGTCCCCCCAGCCCCACCCCTACAGACCTACAGGACACAGTGACTAGGCAGAGACCCCGGAATCTGAATTTTTATGAAGCCTGCCCCCGGCCCCAGGTGATCCTAAAGGGCACCCTGGCCTGGGAACCACCATTGAGGACCTACAGCCATTGCCTCTCTCCTGAGGGAGGAAAGGGGGCAGAGGTCTTACCTGTGTCTTATCAGTGCCCTCCCTTAACTGTCCTCCTGGAGACACCCCTGCAGGTGTCCTTCCCAGGGAGAAGTTCAACAGAAAAGCCCTGAGGCTGTGGGAGGGCACCCATTCCTCTAACTCAGGCCTTTCCCAGGAAGGACAGAAATAGTGGGAAGAGCAGGCCAGATTGTGTGGACTGGGGGCTTTCTCTCCTTCTCCAAGGATTCCTAAGTCAATTCAGCCTTCCAGAGTGGCATGAGCTCTGGCAGAGCCTGATGGAGACTTGGGAACCGGGGTGACAGCCTGGCCCTGAAATGCCTTCATTGTGAGGCTCCCAAAGAGAAAAGTTTTTCCAGTCTCCCACGTGCTAACGCCTCTTCTTCAAATCCGTTTCTCATCCAGAAGACCAGTGTGTTTGTTCAACATAGCAAAGTGTTTTCTGAGCACCTGCTCTGTGCCAGGCACTGAGCAAAGACAGGGATGCTGAGATGAATCACACATCTCTGAGCACTTCTGGTCTCCTGAAAGGCATTTCAGAGTGAGTTCTGAGGATCCACAGTAGCAAAACAAGCTGGGGTTTGTTAAAAGTGTAAACATCCGAGCCCTCAAAACCCAGGTCTGCAGAATTTCAGAGAGCGGGGTCCACCTGCAATTTCGGAGGGCCTCTTATAGAGTCTCATTCACTCTAAAGTTTGTGAACCAGTGGAAATTAGCTATCTAAAAAGGCCAGGCGTGGTGGCTCATGCCTGTAATCCCAGCACTTTGGAAGGCCAAGGCAGGTGGATCATCTGAGGTCAGGAGTTCGAGACCAGCCTGGCCAACATGGCGAAACCCCGTCTCTACTAAAAATACCAAAATTAGCCAGGCATGGTGGCAGGCACCTGTATTCCCAGCTACTCGGGAGGCTGAGCCAGGAGAATTGCTTGAACCAGGGAGGCAGAGGTTGCGGTAAACCGAGATCACACCACTGCACTCTAGCCTGGACAACAGAATGAGACTCTGTCTCAAAAACAAACAAACAAAAATGTAGTGACCTCAATTTTATGTTTATTGTATGAAATATATACAAATAAAAAGAAGGAAATTAAAACCACTCATTCTGATCCTACTTTCCTAAGATAATCATTGTTGGCATTTGATGAAATATCCCTCTAGGGGTATGTGTGTGTGTGTGTGTGTGTGTGTATTTAGACATATATTGTAGCATCTACATGGTAGCTGATACTGTGCTAGCCCCTAGGGACAGATGAGATGAGTAAAAGAGTGGTCCTGCCATATGGAACACCTGCAGTCATGTTACATGATGCCTGGCACAGACAGCTTGAAATCCAGCCTTGCTCACCTGCTCTTACCTTTTTCCCACAGGTATACATAATCAATGTGACCTGGTCTGACTCCACCTCCCAGACTATCTACCGGAGGTACAGCAAGTTCTTTGACCTGCAGGTGAGTTTGTCAGAGCTCGGACAGTGGCCCAAGTCTCTCTGGTGGGCTGGCCTCTCTCATACCCTCGCTTATCCAGGGAGCCCCCAAGAGAGCTGTCAGGGTCAGAGTCCAGGTGGGAGCAGAGGGACAGAGGAGGGAAGCTGGAAGGTGGAGCTGGGCTCGTCTCAATCTTGCATACTGCAGGCAGACACTCAGGACTTTGTTGGCCTCCTCTGATGGTCTTAACAGTAACGCTTTGTCACCCTCCCTTGCCTGCAGGGTAGGAAACTGTGGTGAAGAGGCGGGAGGATGGTGGGAGGTGCTGTGTGCCTGACCAGACGTGTGTCTATAAACATCCAGGGTGAGACAGAAGCCACTGCATCATTGCAGGCAAAGAAAAGCAAACACTCAGGGAAGACCGAAACAGAAAATAAGCAATTTTTTCAACTACAGGCACAAACTAGGCATACATACCACGGTGTCTGTCTGACCGAATGAGGCACTTGCCACCCAGTTTGTACATGTACGTGGTAGGTGTGTGTCTCTAAGACACAAAGGCATGTTCACAAGGGAATGGTAGTATGGGTCCCACAGCTACCCCTGCAGACACCCCCCTTGATGCCAGCTAAGTTAGTCAGGCCTCTTTGGGTTGCAAGTGATAGTTTTACAATTGCACTGGCTTAGACACAAAGGAGATGTGATTGGAAGGAGGGACCAGGGAAGCTTGTGCAGCCGACCACATGGTGAGAAGGGCAGTGAGGCAGAGGCTTCAGGAATGCCTGAAACCAGGATCTGCTCTCCCTCTGTCTTGTCTCTGCTTCCCTCTGGCACTGCCCTCAGCTTCTGTTACCTCACACCCTGAGGAATATGGCTGTCAGCAGCTCTAGAATTTTATATCTTTTGGCTCCCAACAGAGGGGAAATTGACTCCCAGTTCCAAGTTGAAAAATCCCAGGGACGATTTTGATTGGTCTGGCTTGGGTCAGATGCCCTCTCTGGACCAATCAGTATGGCTGGGAGTTGAGGGTCTTTTAGCACAGACATGGCCACTAGGGAGCCCACCTCTGCGGATCACAGGCAAGTACTAGAGAAGGGAGAATCAGTGTGAGTTGAGCAGCAGCCCTTTCAGGTAGAGCCAAGATGTTCTAGATTCCTCTCGGGGTTGTGAGCCTGGTTTAGGCCAATAAAAACACAAAGAGACACTCACTTCTACCCTCACAGCCAGGGTCCACTCCTTTCTTGGCAGGCCTTTGGTTGTCAGTCATCTTGGAGAGGTCATCTTGGGTACCGTGTGCTTGCCCCCAATACCTAATTCTATCTCATTGTCCTCATTGCCCTACCTATGAGACAAGCCAAGGGTGACCTAGCTTCCTGTATTACAAATCCTTTCTTAATCCAACAATGTGGGATTGAATATCCCATTGAATATGGGATTGAAAGCCACTCCCTACTCTCCAGCCTTCTTCCTCTTCCCTCCTCAATTCATGTCCAGTCTCCTTAATTCCAGTGTAATCTGGTGGGGTTTGCTGATACCCCATCAATGGGTGCAGTGTGCTGGACAGGAAGTGATAACTCAGTTGGGGAGAGGGAACCCTGAAAGGACTCATTGATGAGCTGGAGGGGGCCTGAAAGCCAGTGGAAACTTCCAAATCAGAACTTTTCTTCCCCCTCTTCCCTTATGGTCCCCCACCCACTCCTGCATTGCAGAATCTCAGGAGAAAGGAATGCTGCTCCCCCACCACCACCTCCCTTGCCTGGAGGGCTCATTCCCTGTGTGTGGAAAGGGGATACGCAAGCAGGGAGCAGCTAGTGCAGTGTGCTGGCCCTAGCTTGGCAATGGCCATGAGCTTGGCCAGGCTTGTCCACGTGGGTCATTGCTGACCTGTAGATGCAGTTTGGGAAGGGGTTGGAATCGTTCTTTGGAAATTAACTTATGAGCCAAGCATAGCATCTTTACGAACCCATTTTACCTGCCATGATGAGTTTTAGTGGCGTTCATTTTGAAAAGCCTTGCTTATTTATCAGGTCGCTGATTTTGGTATGGCGGATCCTATAGAGGAAGAACAAAGGGAGTTGCTAACTCCATCTCTGGTCATTGGTGCACCTCAGAACTCATGTCCCTGAGAGATTGTGTAAGAGAGCAGCTTAGAGTTTAGGCACTGGGGGCACATTCCCTGGGACCGGTTACTGGCTGTCACCACGTAACTCCGGACAGGCTCCTTCACTTCTCTAGGCTTGCTTTTCTCATCTGTAGTGTGAAGGTTCAAATTGCCTGCCCGGTAGGGTTGTTAGGAGGAATGAATGAGTGAATCCACGTTTCTCCCAACACTTAGTTGCCTAGTGAGTTGCCTGGTGTTAGCAGGTTGCAGGGATGTTGGGCTGCATGGCTGGGGGGCGTCTAGGGGCTGGAGACCCACTCACTGATGTTGCTTTGTGGCTTCCCTCACTTGGCGTCACTCTGTGGTGAGCTCCCTGTGCCCAGTCCCTGCCGGCGTATTCAGAGCCAGGTAGGCCTCAGGCTCCTCTCTGAAGCTGTCCTCTGGGGCAGGGTGGGAGCCCGCTGGGAGCTGGGGTGTGGCCCAGGGGCAGCTCTCAGAAATGTTTTGCTCCTTTCCTTTTTGGCTGACTCTGAGAGTCCCAGGCTCACCAGGCCCACCTCCAAGGAGCTGCTCCCCGGGTTTCACCAACTCGTGGTTCTAAGCCTCCTGGGGGCCACAGACCCCTCTGTGAATCTGATGGAAGCCCTCTCCCCAGGAAAAGAGTGGATACATACAATTTTACTTGCAGTGGCAAGTGTTCACAGACCCCCTGTGGACCCCCAGTGAAGAACTAGCGAGGTGCGATGGTGTGCCTGTAGTTCCAGCTATTCAGGAGGCTGAGGTGGGACGATCACTTGAGCCTAGCAGGTCGTGGCTGCAGTGAGCTATGATTGCACCACTGCACTCCAGCCTGGGTGACAGAGTGAGACCCTGTCTCAAAAAAACAAAAAGAACTGCTGAGCTAAACCAGTTTAGGTCGTGAAGCATACATTCACACCCGGTACTACTTGGGCAGCACTTGGGGGTCTATTCAGATAACAACAGGAGGCCTGGACACCCCTTTGACCCCTTTGATAGACCCTTGGTTCCCCCCTGTACAAGTTGGTTCCCTGCACCCCAGCGTGGGTCTCCCCGTACTTCCCCTCCCTTATGTCTCCCTCTTCAGATGTTTTCCTTTGTTCCCGAAGGCCAGGCACCCACGAGGCGGCCTCGGGTTCCCACCTGTGTCACACAGCCCGGGAACCACGTGCAAAGCGATCCCAAGCGGTCGCTGACCCTCTCTGGTCATGAGTTGAGGGCCATACAGATCCAGTTTCATTCGGAACAGCACATGGACCCTCTGTTTCTCCCTCTGGGAGCACACAGGGAGATGGACACTTGCACCCTGCCCTTCACACTCTGCAGCCATGAGGCCAGGAAGCACTTGAAGGGTGCTCTGTCATCTGAACAGAAACCCCACACTCTTTGGTTTTTCCATTTCTCTCCACAGTAGCTTCCACATCAGCACAGCCCTTCCCCACCCCCTCACCCCCACACTCCCCACCCCCTCCCAGATTCTAAGATCTGAAGCAGAACATTTCTCTGGTTATTATCTTCAAAGCTCCTGCCTGGACCTAACTGCCCTGCATGTGAAGCCCTGCATGTAGATCCTTGGAAATGAACAGTCTCAGGCACACACCAGCCCTGAGAACAGCAAGCAGGAGGGAGCCAAGAGCCTGAGGCTTGTCCTTGGAGAAGGTTCCTTGTCCCTTTGGGGTGACTCATGGCATTAAGGACAGGGTACTTAGAACTCTGATGGTGCATTGAGGAGCTGTTCACCGGAAATGGGGAAAGTCAGAGGGTTGGGAGAGATGGAGAGAACCTCCCCCCGCCACCGATCACCTGGTAACTGCTCATTCCACGCTTTCTGAAGCCTTAGGACCGTGCAGAGCAGAGCCATTTATCTCAGCGTCCCCTTCCCATCCCACCACCCACCTTCTTCTCTCACAGCTTACCTGCTACCTGTGAGGTCTTGGATTAGGGTTGCCAGATAAATATGAGATGTCCAATTAAATTTACATTTCAGATAAACAGCAAATGCTTTTTTAAGAATAAGTGTGGGCACTGGGCGTGGTGGTTCATGCCTGTAATCCCAGCACCTTGAGAGGCCAAGATGGGAGGATTGCTGGAGTTCAGTAGTTCAAGACCAGCCTGGGCAATGCGGCAAGATCCCGTCTCTACAAAAAATAAAAAAAATTAGCCGAGTGTGGTGGCATGTGCCTGTAGTTCCAGCTACTCAGGAGGCTGAGGCGGGATAATTGCTTGAGGCCGGGGAGGTCCAGGCTGCAGTGAGCTGTGATTGCGCCACTGCACTCCAGCCTGGGCAACAGAGTAACACCCTATCTCAAAAAAAAAAAAAAAAAAAAGATGTTCCAAACATTTCATGGCATATACTTACACTAAAAAACGTTATTTGTCGTTTATCTGAAATTCAAATTTAATTATGCATCCTGTATTTTCACTTGTTAAATCTGGGAGCCCCAGCCTGGCTGAGTGTGAGAGGCGAGGGTGGAAGTAGAAAGATGAGAGTCCAGGCTGGCTCCGGGTAAGAGTGGATGGGCCTGTGCTGAGGCCCCCCAGGCAGCAGCTTTTGTACAGAGCAGAAGTGGCGCAGGCTGAGGAACACACTTTTGAGAAGGACAAGGTCTCTTCCTGCCAGGAGTCTACATCTCGTGAGGAAGGCAAACTTGGAAACAGTTAAGTCCACTGTAGATGAACTAAATACTAGATTGAGGTACAAGCAACATGCTATGAGATGAAGAGGAAGGAAAGAGCATTCTTGGGAGAGGGAACAAAGAAGATGCCCATATGGTCTCTCTCTCTCTCTTTTTTTTTTTTTTTACTTTTATTTATTTAGTTTTTAGAGACAGGGTCTCGCTGTGTCGCCCAGGCTGGAGTGCAGTGGTGTGATCATGGCTCACTGAAGCCTCAGCCTCCCAGGTTCAAGAGATCTTCCAGCCTGAGCCTCCCAAGTAGCTGGGATCACAGATGCATGCCACTATGACTAGCTAATTTTTTTTTTTATTTTTTGTAGAGACAGGGTCCCACTGTGTTGCCCAGGCTGGTCTCAAACTCCTGGGCTCAAGTATCCTTCCGCCTCGGTCTTCCAAAGTGTTGGGATTACAGGCATCAGCCACCACACCCGGCCCCCATATGGTCTTAATTAGTGACAGCAGCCTAGGGTGACATAGCCAAACACCCACACTCTAGTTTGGGGGGATTTGGTTGTTTTTTGAGAATTCTTATCAGGGTAAAATATGTCTCTGGTTTCCTTCCTTCCTTCCTTCCTTCCTGCCTTCCTTCCTTCCTTCCTTCCTTCCTTTTCCTCCCTCCCTCTCTCCCTCTCTCCCTCCCTTCCTTCTTTCCTTCTTCCCATCCTTCCAATATTAAGTGTCTGCCTTGTACATCCAGGCGGTGTGCCAGCTCTGGGACACATTGATGATCCAAAGCAGATCTGGTTCCTGCCTTTATGGGTCTCACAGCTTAGTGAGGGAAGACAGATTTTAGTTAAAAAACAAAGACAAACAATATTGTTTTACACCATTCCAGATGTAACAAAGGAAGGTGCCATAGACATATTATAGGGAAACCTTATACTCTGGGATCAGGGCAGGCTTCCTGAAGAAGTAAGTTTTATCTGACACATCAGTGAGTTATTTTATCTTATTTTACTTTTGAGATGAGAGACTCTTTTATGCTTCTAATGAAAGCCAAAGACTCTCTCCCCAGACAAGTGCATGAATGTGCACCTGTAATTCTAGTAACCTTTTTGGTTATCCATACCCTGCCTGAAATCCATCCATGAGCACCAGGATAACACCCTCTGCTCTTCTCCAGACCTTCTTCTCTCCCCATATCTCCTGCCACGAGCCTTCAGACCCAGACTCACACGCAGGGGCTGCCCACTTAGAACCCCCAGGTACGGAGGCTTTAAAGCTGTACTGTCCAACGCGGTGGCCACTAGCCACATGTGGCTATTTAAATTAAAGTTAATTAAAAATTTTTGAAATTAAATTTTAAAAATTAAATGAAATAAAAGTAAATGTTCAGTTCCTTGGTTGCACTTGCTAGATCACAAGTACTCAGTGGCGGCCGTGGCTAGTGGTTGTGTATTGGGCAGATATGGAACATTTCTATTATCACAGAAAATTCTATTAGACTGGTAGCTTAGACAACTTTGAACACACAACAGGCTTGAGCTGGCTTTCTGGCCACCCTACAGTGATCTGTCACCTCCCAGCCCCTTCCTGAGTTGCCCCCTGAAATCTTCTAGGGCCCTGGCAAGAAGAGGGAGATTATTCTCCTGCACAGTTTGCCCATCCTTAGGGCTTTTCAGCTCAGCGGCTATTCCAAACACTTCTTCTGGAAACCAGGTCAGGTTCCCGAGAGGGCTTCTAAGAGCCTTTCAGATGTGAAGTTAAGAACAGGGAAGAGGTGAGGCTCTTAGTCTCCAAGTGGAAATTGGTTTCTTCTAAAAATAACTCACCACTCAGCCCTATCTGACCAGGAAAAGGACCTGTCCCAGGGAAAGCTGACCAGGACAGGGCCTAACGTCGAGGCCCATTTGGTGATTAAGGGCCTGGGTTGCTTGGAGGTGCAGTTGAGGTGGGAGGAGGGGCGGCAGATGCCCTTTTCAGTTGCTTTCTCACGGGTGGCTGGACCACGTTTCCAGCCTTTGTCTATTTCCTTGCACAGCTCCTTCCTGGTCCCACTGAGGAGGGGCCGGAAGACTCTCTGAAGCCCTGGCTCCATGGACGGTTGTTTCACAACCTGACCTACAAAGCGCTGGGCTACAGTAATTGCTCTGCAAACACCGACTCCACCATGCTGCTATTGCTTTAGTCTGAACTCTGGCCAGCGAGTGCACAGGGTCAATATTTGATCAGAACTGGGAGAGGCCCTTTATTTTCCCCTGCACCGCTTGGAAGATAGAGTTAAGAGGGTTGTTCAGGTTTGCTCATTGGCTCTGAAGGACTTAACCTATTTTGACAAGCTTTTCTCTCTATTCCTTATTCATCTCTCCAGACTCTCCACCCATGCACCCCACCCTGGGGTCACACTCACTTTCCAGCTCCCCAACAGCCCACCTCATGATGGGTGGAAAAATTATAATTCCTGAATCACTAACAACCAGCCTTGGAATGAATGTGTATATGGGTGTGGGTGTGTACTGATGTCACTTACGGAGCTTTATGGGATCATTGCATTTTTAGAGTTAGAGGAGTTCTTATTCCAAGTGCCTCACTTTGCAGGTAACAAACTGTGTTAATTTTTCTATTCATTAAATTTATATAAGCTTTCATTTGGTTTAATATCCAAAGCAGGCCTCAGCTGAGATCAACCTGGGGTGATCCCAGTGTGTGCCAAGAACCAACCTGAAAGCAGAAAAGAGGAGGAAATGTCTCTTCCGCAGGCACTCTGCCTTTTAATCATTGAGGGAATTTGTTCGAGATTACTGACCCTAGACTAAAGCGATGAGGCCACAGCCTGGGGAGGTAACCTGCTAAGTTCTAAGAATGATCTTGTACCAAGGATTGCAGAGAGCTCCAGCACACCTGGTGTGGCAGTGCCAGCTCCAGAATGTGCTGAGCATGGGTCATTGTGAATGCTCACATGCCTTAGACAGAGGAGAACATCAGCCTTGACTGAGGTCATTCACTGGTCCCAGGCAGGCACAGACAGCCTCATGTTGTTTGCAATGGCAAAAATGGGAAACAGCCTAAAAGACCATCCATACAGAGTTGCTAAGTCAACTGTGATATTCTCACAGCACTTAGTACAGCAGTCAAAGCAAATGAGACTGATCCATGGGTGGATCTCCAAGAAACATTCTGAACAAACAATGCAAGTTTCAAAACAGTACTTATAGTATGATAATAATTATATAAAAAAAAACCCAAGAACAAGATTTATATTTTGCAGGTACATATCCAGCATATGAATGTAAATGTTTTTTAATCTAGAAGGCTGTACTCCAGATTGGTATCCGACTCATCTCTAGATGGGGGTTAGGGATATCAGTAGGAGGAAGGGCTTGATAAAGGGGGAACCTTATCTTAATGTTTTACTCTTTTAGAAAAGGAGAATGCATTCATATATTATTTGCAACATTAATATTGAATAGTTAAAGAGTCACCTATTGGGGGAGCTAGGGTTGGTGGGAAGTCAAAAATAAAATATGTCTTTCCTGGTCATTATGGTATAATGGGACAGAAAGCACAGGTGAAAAAAGTAAACATAAGAACATGTCTAACAAGGAGGACATGAAACTCATTATAAAAATCACATTACCTCATATTTCCTGGACCATCATTCTAGATCATTCCTGTGGAATGTAAACTGGTTAGATCCCATTACAACCAACCCCAGGGACCTGTCCAAATTATCTTGTCCAACTGGAATCTTGTATTCAGATATTACTCAAAATCTGCAAACTACATATTGAGGCAGGAAGCAGTTGGGTGGGGGTTCTTGTGTCATGACGAAACTGTACTCAGAGTTGTGTGTTGCTGGGGCACAGTGGCTAAGGGCATGTGCTCCAGGGCCAGGGCACTTGGGTTTCAAGACCAGCCCCAGCGCTTACTGTCTAAGCTTTGATGAGTGATTTAACCTCTCTGTGCTTGATTTCTCATCTGTATAATGGGTGTATAGTAATAACTGCCTCACTGGGTAACAGGAAAAATAAAATGACACAGTCCATATAAAGAAAGCCCTTAGGATAGGACTGGCACAGAGACGCCAGACAGGTAAGCTGAAATGTCACCAATTAGGCCCTCAGAAGCTTAAAACTCCAAAAAGCCAGAGAGCCCCACTCCATCTAGAGACAGAAGTTTCTTCCTGTGCCCCGTTAATGTAGACATCACTTTCACCAAATAGCTCGGCCTGCCTCCAGGGAAGAGAGGCAGAAGGCAGTGTTAAAGGTTTTCTAGATAAATGATTTTCACCTTCAAAGTTTAACTACAAACCTATTTCCCTTCCAACAATGCTGTTAGGAAAACATTGTTTTTTAAAAAGTAATTATTAGTTGACAGCTTTTCCTTGCTCCTGGAAAGAGGCATCTTTGATTCCTGAAGGAACACATAGGGGTTCCAGGGGAGCCTTGTGGGGCTTCCATCGGCTCTTGGGGATTCCCTGGCTGGCTCCGCTCCACCTGGGAGCTGGCTGGGCTCCAGCGCCCCTTTCAACTTGTGCCTGTGGCCTGAGTATGAACTCCAGCTTCCTCCTGCCTCTCCTGAGTTCCCCTTTGGCAGATCCTGTTAGCAGGTGAGGGAGTTGTGGAATATTGGGAGAGGAAGACCAGGGTGAACTGGCACCTCTGGGCAGGCTCAGGATGGGAAAGCCAGTTACCATTGAGTTTGAATCCTGGGGTTACCTGGGTCCGGCTGGAGGGTGTTGGGAAAAGTTTGGGTTGATCTTTTTTCCCCTTTAAGCAGATGGAGTTTGCAACTTCTCGTGCAGTTTCCCAACCTTGTGGGTTTAGGAAGACCCCTGTGCTTGTGGGGGCCTCTCAGGTCCAGAGCAACTCGGGACCTGGTTCCAAGCAGATGGAGAGAGGTACGGAAGGAAGGTGGTGGCAGCGGGGATAGAGCATCTAGGAGAGGTCTCTGCACATCTATGCATAAAGGGAAATAAGACCCAGAGGGCTGAGCTCAGGCCCTGAGAATCACCGCCTCGGGGCCTGCCCTCAGGAGAACTCTCCACCCAGCCAGAGCCTGTGGACATCAAGAGAGCTGGGGAACTTGTGTGACACTGAAGCCGCTGGGAGTTGTCAGATATGCACCGTGCTGTGGGTCTGTGTGGGAAATCACACCTTTCCTATACAGTTGAGGACTCGCTCTGTGAGCCTCATTTTGGATGGTTGTGTGCATTTGATCCAGGCCCAGGGTATTCACGGTGTTCACAGGGTGTTTGGCCAAATCCTATTCCTAATGGACTCAAGGCCCTGTCAGATCAGACCCTCATTTGTGCAGTAGAAAATCAAAAGCCATCTCCGCCCTTTGCTGCACCCCCAGCCTCTCCATGGGGTCAATGTGGGATTTTCATACAGCGGGGGAAGCTCTTTTGTAAACTGGGGAAAATTGTAAGAAGCTGGAATGTCCTCTGGGTGTCAGTCCTTGGCACTGTTCATTGGCTCTAAATTTCTGGGTGACGTCTTGTGAGTGTGAGTGCTAGGAGCCTTGGGGGCATCACTGCTCCCCCAGTGACTGTCCAGCAGGGCTGAGAATGTCCCTTTCAGGGAGAGAAATCAGCTGTGTGCAAATAGCACAATATGGGAGGTACATGTTTGTCAACTGATGTTAACGATGTCCGCTGGGAAATCAGTGGTGGAATTATAAGTTTTCCAACCAGGAAGCCCTTAGAGATATCTAGCAGGATGACAAGTATCTGGCACTCATGTTGCTATCTCCCACTCATGCCTACAGCAGACATCACTAATTGATCATGGCATTCTCCTGTCCTGTACCCATGGCAGGCATTGTTAATTGATTACGAGCCCAGACATGGTCTCAGAGTCTTTCTAAAAAACAAAACCGAGTATCTTTAGGAAGTCACTACCTATCAGTTGGCAATGGCACCTTGAGATGAAACTAACTGGCCGCCCTCTGATCTTGCCCATTTCCCTTATTTGACAGACAAGGAAATGAGGTCCCAAGCAGGGAGTGATTTGTCCAAGATCACAGCAAGTGACAGCAGGACTAGAACTCTGGTACTCTCGCTTCTAGCTCACTCCAATCTGAGTTCCTAGCCTTCCACTCAGAAGTCCTCTTTCTGGGCCGGGCGCGGTGGCTCACACCTGTAATCCCAGCATTTTGGGAGGCCGAGGCGGGTGGATCACGAGGTCAGGAGATCGAGACCATCCTGGCTAACACGTGAAACCCCGTCTCTACTAAAAATACAAAAAAATTAGCCAGGGGTGATGGCGGGCGCCTGTATTCCCAGCTACCCGGGAGGCTGAGGCAGGAGAATGGCTTGAACCCGGGAGGCGGAGCTTGCAGTGAGCCGAGATCGCACCACTGCTCTCCAGCCTGGGCGACACAGCGAGACTCCATCTCAAAAAAAAAAAAAGAAAGTCCTCTTTCTGTTTTTGGCTGATGAGGGCAGGAAGCTTCTGTTGCCTCACTGAGAGTGTGCCTGGAGGGAGGGGTGGGGAACCATTCACTCTGCCTAGAGAGAAGCTGCCGTTGCAAAGAGCTGAAGACTTCTCTCTAGATCCCAGAAAGGTCGCTGGTGGCTCCCTCCCAGGCTCAGCTGCTTCCTGGAGCTCAGCCCACATCTCCTGCACACCGTCACCTGCCTCTCTCATTGTTGAATAATAAACCCCAGCTTTGCCAGGGGCAGTGTCAGAGTCAGCTCACACCACCTTCATGACTGTTCAGAGCTGCACACCTTGTTTTCCTGGTGTGCAGTGTCATGTCAGGGTGTGTTTGGGTGTCACGTCAGGGAGGCGTTGGAATGCAGTTGCAGCCTCTGCCACCTCCTTCCTCCTCTGCTCCTAGGCCCAAAGGTCCAACTTAGAAAATTCAGCTCTGCCCCTACTGGGCCTTCATCTTACCCCTCTTTGGATAACCAACAGGAAAGTTGTCTGGAAAGTGTGTTGGGTGACAGTGCCCCCCTCCAAACTGGAGAATGAAGGGAAGGGGGATCTTTGGTGGTGGCCAGGTGAGTGTTGTGTGTGTGTGTGTGTGTGTGTGTGTACGTATACACACCCTGTGAAGCTTCAGGTGTGACCAGGTCACTCTCTTCCTGCTGGAGGGAATTTCAAGTGCCTCCTGGCACCTCTGGAGGAGCACTAGCTACGTGCCTGACTCCATGCATGGTGCTGGGGACCCTAAGGGGAAAATCCAGAGTCATCCTGGGTGAAAGAGCCCTCAGCTGGCAGAGCATGAGGGTGGAATGCACAGAACGGGTGTTGCCGCACTAAGTGGGCAGCCCAGGATGTAGACCACCTGCATCATGCCTGCATGCTGTGGGCATTCCCTTTGGCTTGTGGGGGCAGCTTCGATCTGGGGCCTGAAGGTCTTGACATCCTGGTCCTTCTACCCCCCCCATCCTCCCCCACTGACGATGGCAGCAGCTGGTTTTGTTTTTGACTCTTTTGGAATGAGGCATGTAGGGCAGTCTGGTAAGCTATGGGAGCCTGAGCTGTGGGCTTTTCTGAGGGAAGATAGAGTTATTCGTCCCTCTGGGAGGCAATCTGCCACCAGTGTGGTGACCGGGAGATGTGAGCTGCATTGATTCCCTCATCAGCAGCCCCCGCCCCAGGCTGGACCTCAGCTTCCTGATGATTTCAGTTGCTGCCATCCCTGTGTCTCAGGGACACTAGTTTATTTTATTTTATTTTTTGAGGCAGAGTCTTGCTCTGATGCCCAGGCTGGAGTGCAGTGGTGTGATCTCAGCTCACTGCAAGCTCCGCCTCCCGGGTTCAAGCGATTCTCCTGCCTCAGCCTCCCGAGTAGCTGGGATTAGAGTAGCTGGGATTACAGGTGCCTGCCACCATGCCCAGCTAATTTTTGTATTTTTAGTAGAGACGGGGTTTCTCCATGTTGGCCAGGCTGGTCTCGAGCTCCTGACCTCAAGTGATCCGCCCGTCTCGGCCTCCCAAAGTGCTGGGATTACAGGCGTGAGCCACCGCACCCGGCCTCAGGGACACTAGTTTAGATTGGAACACTGTGGGAGTAGTTGGGATATTGGAGCTTTTTCCTTTATATCCTCAATTTAGCTGAAGCCAAGGAAAAAAGATTTTAGATCTCCCAGAGACCTCCACAGATGGATGACATCAGGCTCTCCAAAGGACTTGTGGGAGTCCTGGTGCCAAATTCCCAACTTTCCAAGTAGGGCAGCATCTCCCAGAGATGGAAGGTTCAGGCTGTGTTATCAGCCAGACTTATTTGGGTTTGCGCCTTGGCCTGCCCCTTTACCAGCTGTGTGAACCTGAGTTACCCTCCAGGAGTCTCCACCTTCCCATCTGCAAAATGGCTGTACTCGCAGAGCCTGTCCCATAGAGCTGTTGTGGGATGTGAAGATGAGCCTCAGGAAAGCCTTGCCATCATGGCTGGAGCAGCGGTGAAGCATTATTATTATGAGATTGTTGGTGCTGCCTCTGGCATCCCTGGAGAGGGGAAGGGGCTCCGATCCTCCCTGTGAACAGAATGCATGCCCAGCCTGGATTAGGGGAACATTTTTCCCAGCCACAGAAGGGTCTTGGGTACCTCCAAGCTGCAGTAAATCAATGCTTTGGGGCTGGTGAGGAGACAGACCCCAAAGCCACCAGGGTTTGGCTCTATCTGCTAATTATGGAGCCTTGATCTGGTGCTCAGTAAACAAAGTGGCCGGTTCATCCACCCTGGCAGTCTTGTGCTCAGTGCTGGCTGAGGGGCTCGGGAAGAGCCCAGGAATGTGGTCCATTTAGGTATACCTTGTTCAAAAAGATTTTTTTTGTTTGTTTGTTTTTTGCCAAACAGGAAGAATGAGGCTGGTGTTTGGGCTGGAGCTAAGATGCTGGCAGAGGGTCTTTGGGTGGGTGACAAGCCAGGGCCATTCTTCCTGCTGAGACAGTCCCGGCAGCACCTCCCGAGGGCAGCCCTGGCGGAGGCCAGCCTGCCTTGCTCCCCAGGGAGACAGGCTTGGTTTTTTTCTGGGTTTCCCAGGGCTTCACTGCTCATCTTGGAACCTTTGAGGAGGAATCCCCAGTGGGAGGGTGGAGGGAAACCCCTCTGTGTGTGCCTGCCCCCACTCCATCCAGCAGTGCAACAGGGTGGGGACCAAGACAGAAGAGACTGGGGCCAGGCAGTCTGGCAAAGTGCCAATGTTTTAAGAAAACTGTGTAGGAGGACTCCAAAATGGGAGACTCTATCCATTGCTTTATATATATATTTGGTGCATATTGAGAAAAGTCTGCTGCTGCCTGAGTCTGGCAGTTGGGACAGTTTGGAATACCTGGGTTTCTTGGCTGTGTAGTCAAGAACCAGGGTGCGGGCTGGAGCCATGGGCCTGTGCCCTGGATGGGTGACAGAATCACCTGTGATCTGGGTTCACCTGCGAGCCAGATTAAAAATGCATCCAGATTCCTGTTCCCCAGCAGCCTCCTGAATCTGACTGTCTAGGGCAGGCTCCCTGTGTCTGGAGTTCAGATAGGCTTGATAAGTGAATCGGATGCAAAGCTGGACAGAACTGTGGAGTGCTGGGATAAGGAGACCCTAGGGCCTGAGGAGCTCCCTGTCACAGCTGCTGGTGATGCCTGCAGGTGACCTCAGTCCCAGCGGCCAAGGGCTTCTCTCACCTCTGCACTTTCTCCTCAGCTCAGGAAGGGCAAGAAGGAAGGAAGGAGCTTAGGGACAAACCTGACTTGCTCCTCCTGAGGCAGGGGAGGTTGGGGAGCAGGGGTCACCCCTCAGGCTGGGGGGACTCTCCGTAGGAACCAGTGTTGGCACGTGCTTTGTGTCAGGCCCTGCCCCATGTCCTTTCCATGATCACCCCTGAACTGCTTACAGCCCACCCTGGGATGTAGGCACCACCACTCTCCCCCATTTTTCAAAATTTATTTTTATTTTATATTTATTTTTTTAAGAGGTCTCACTGTGTCACAAGGCTGGAGTGCAGTGGTACAATCATAGCTCATTGCAGCCTCACCCCTGGGTTCAAGCAATCCTCTCAGCTCAGCTTCCTGAGTAGCTGGGAGTACAAGTGTGCACCACTGTGCTGGACTAATTTTTAAATTTTTTGTAGAGATGGGGGGTCTCGCTATGTTGCCTGGACTGGTCTCAAACTCTTGGCCTTAAGTGGTCCTCCTCCATTAGCCTCCTTAGTAGCTGGGATTAAAGGTGCAAGCCACAGCCCCCCAACATTCCCCCTTTTTTAAAAAAAAGAGATGAGGGTACTCAGGTCACATAGGATGTCAAGGTCTCACCACAGGTAGGTGGAGGAGCCAGGATTCAGACTGGGCAGTCTGGTGCTGGAATCCATGCGCTAAGCCGTTCCTCTCTGCTGCCACTTTGATGTGCTGCAGAGCCAGCCTGGGAAGCCCCACACCTCGAAGAGGAGAGGAGTCCTTTCCCTTCCTTGCCAAGAAGGCTTCAGCTACAGAGCAGAAGGGGCAGGTGGGGGCTGGGCATAGAGAGAAATGGTCAGTTTCTGTATGTTCGTTTCCTTGCTCTGCTCAGGAGTCTTGGATTCTCCCTGTGGTGTTCTCTCTCTGTCTCTCTTTCCTCAGTTTCTCTATTTCTCTCTGTCTGTCTGAGGTCTCTGAGCCCATCTCTGGCTGTGGCTGTGTTTGTTCCTGTGACCTTTCCCTGAGCCTCCGTCTACGCTCTTATGTCAGCCTCCCCGGAGGCTTTTTCTCTCGCCCTGATTCTGTCTTTGCCAGTCTCGTCTGCATGTCTCATCCCAGGATGCGGCCGCATCCCAAGCAGAAGTCTGGGAGAAGGGCAGGTGGAAGCCTGCTCTGGTCTGCATGGGAGTCTCCTGCTGGGATTAGTGAAGGCAGAAGCCCTTGCAGGGGAGGAAACCTGCTTCCCCTCCTCAGGAGACTGTGGGGATGGGGAGGCAGCTTTCCCGAGAGTGGCTCACGTACAGACGCGCCTTTTGGAATCAGGCGGCAGTCTTGGCACCTGATGGGGAGGCTGTCCTGCCTCCTGTGGGCAGCCGTGATGGCCAGCCATTGCTCTGTCCCCCTCCCAGAAGAGCAGTGACTGCTTCCTCCCTTCCCTGGGCCATGCTGTGCCCGGGGGCCCTATGAGTACAAGGGGCTGGCAGTGGCCTCAGCCCTCACTCAGGCTACCCCCGGAGAGTGGGGTTCAGAGTCCCTGTGAGTGGGGTTAGGGGCACGGAGGGCAGGAGTCTTGGGCCAGCTCTTCCCCTTATCTGACTGGACAGAGGGTCCCCGGGTCTCATCTGTCTGTTCCATTGCCTAATCCCTGCCCACCCCCATGCTAGCTGTTCCTCTAAGGCCACACCTGCCCCATTGCTGTTCCTGCTAGAAATAGCTGAGCAGTGGGCAGGTGCCCAGGAAAGGGAGTGGCTCTTGCAGGGACAGGCTGGCCCCCAAGCTGTCAGCGATCCAGGTCAGGTAGGTGTCAGGAACAGGCTTGGGGCAGGGCTTTGCTGGCCCTTGAATATCTTCTATCAGTGAACAGCCGTTTTCTCTGGTCCAAGCCTTTGCCATCAACTGGAAGGAAGGGTTGGGGGTGAGCACCTGATCACATTTGTTGAGCACCTGCTAAGGGCAAGTGTTGGTGTTCAGAGTGGGGCTGAGGGGCTGGAGACAGATGCAACCCGAGCTGACCTGCAGACTGGTTACCCGTCTAAGCAGACACGCCTAGTAGGCTGCCGCTCCCAGGTGTCTCTGCGTGTAAGCCACACATGTGCCTCCACCTCAGTGTGTTCCAAACCCAGCTGCCATCTGGACCCCTCCCCACATCCTCCCCACTCCCTTCTCCTTTTCCCCCTTCTCCCCTTCCTTCCTCCTTCTTACTTCTCCTCCTCCTCCCCTTTCTTTTCCTCTTCTTCCTCCTCCACCCCAGCAGACCCATCCTCCTGCCTCCTCACTGCACCCCCCGAGTTTTTACTGGGACTGTCCTGCCCTCCAGCCAGCCGCTGCCAGTGCTTCTCTGTGCTGCAGCTTCTCTCCAGTGTTTATTTGTAATTAGGAATGTTTTCAATCCTATAGAAAATGATATCACAGGCATGAGAGGACCGACTGCCCAGATTTAACACGTGAATATTTTGCCACATTTGCTTCAGATATGTCTCTTTTAAATAAATAAAATGGTGCAGATAGAAGAGGTGTCTGGTCAATGCTACATTCCCTTCCTCCTGCCTTGGGTCTGCGTGTAGGAGTGGAACTGGAGGTGGAGAAGGGCTGGGGTTCAGGTAGGCTGGGAAGGCGCTCCAGGCACGGGCATCCACGTGGGCAAGGTGTGGGACAGGACCGCCTTGGGCATGCACAGAGGCTTGGGCGACCCCTGCTTCTGTGACCTCTTGGGGTCTGAAGTCCAGGGAGGGCGGGACCTGGAAAAGGGCAGGCCTGCACACAGGTGCCCCAGCAACCCCCGAGCAGCCAGCATCTTCTCTCCCTGCACTTCCTCCTCCTCCTGCATCTCATTCCAGGTGGGCAGCTCCCCTGTTTGAAAGGAGCCCATCACCTGGGTCAGCAGCTGGGCTGCCACCTGGAGAAGTAGCCTGCAGCTGGGCACCAGGGTGGGCTTGGAAGACAGCAAGCTTTGCGGGGGGACTTTTCCTGTTGCATTCCCAGGTCCCTGGCAGGAGGCAGTTTTTCCCCCAAGGAGAGCCTCATTAGAAGGGCTGGCAGCAGAGCCTGGGAAGCACAGGCTGCCCCGGGCGGCTCGCCTCACTGCGGGGGCTGCTTTACAAGGCTTCCCTGGCAACACTGCCCGAGGTTTATTTTTAGCTCTAGGGATTCCTCTCTTTTTCCATCTGGGCTCCACCTTGTTCTCCCCTTTTCCCACTGTGAAGGAACACTGGGAAGTCCTTGGCTTAAGGAGATTCCAAAAAGAAGTTATAGGAGACGTCTATGGGCAAAATAAATGCCTGACCTCAGTGACCAGGGAGGAAGCCATCCAAGCAGCAGATGCCAGCTTTGACACCTTCAGACCTGTACGGGGCACACCTGTGCCTGGGTCAGCTGCTATGTGCATCTAAGATGCCAAAAGGGATTCAAACCCGGTTGGGACCACCCCACACCTGGCCAGTCATGTCCCATATCCAGCCCAATAGCAAGTCAGCTCGTCCTCAGCTCATCTTCTCAGACTCTGCCCCCCAGAGACAGCCCGGATCTGCCCTCTTCCTCTGCATCGACTCTGCCCCCACCGTGGTCCAGCCCCGCATCAACCTGTCACCTGGGCAACTGAGACAGCCTCCTCAGGGGTCTCCACATTCTCACGGTCACCTCCTCCATAATCCAGTCTTCCCACGAATCAGAGCCCTCCTAAAACATAAACCCTATCCTGGCAGACCATGGCCTTGAACCTTTCTGAAGACTCCCTTTCTTTTTGGAATGAACTCCAAACTCCTTGCCTGCCCCCAGGCCCTGGGTGATGGCCCTGCCTGCCCTTCCAGACCCATCTCTGTCACCCTCCTGTCACTTGTTCTCAGCACCCCAGCTCGCTCGCTTCACCTGCTCCTTGGGCACCAAGCGCAGTGCTGCCACCAGGCCTTTGTCCTTGCTGTTCCCTCTGCCTGCAGTCCCTTCCCTCAGGTCCCCAAGGAGCTGACTCCTGGGCACTCAGCCTCAGCTCACATGGCACCTCTCATAGAATCAGAGAGCCCCCCCCCCCAAGGCATGCATTCATTTCATGTACTCTTGGTCACTTTGTCACATTCTACTGTCTTCAAAACACTTATTACAACCTGTTATTATCTTTTTTTTTTTTTTTTTTTTTTGGAGAGATGGAGTCTCCCAGTGTTGCTCAGGCTGAACTCCTGGGCTCAAGCCATCCTCCCACCTCAGCCTCCCAAAGTCTGGGATTACAGGGATGAGCCACCATGCCCAGCCCATTGTCTTCTTAACTGTTGTTTACTATGTCATTCCCCACCTCCCTCCCCTTCTCCCCAGAATGTGAGCTTTCAGAGAGCAGGATCTTGCCTGCTCCATAGCTTCTGTTTTCCCGATGCCTAGAACAGTACCTGCCATATAGTGTGTGCTTGGGAAATCATTGTTGAATGAATAAATGAATGCATAGTGAGCTGCCGCTGGTTATGAAGGAATGGGAGAGAGAGGCCTGCTGTCCTCCTCCTCCGCTTTAAAGGCAAGTTTTATTTAGCTCCCATTCCTCCTCTTGTGTGCCCATCTTTGCCTATGGGCTAGATTTACTATTGGGATCTGCTTGTTAAGGATTAGATGAAATCTTTATGGCAGAGAACAATGAGGACTTCTCAAATTTTCATGTGCACATGAACTACTTAGCAATCTTGCTAAAAGATTCTGATTCAGCAGGTCCGCCTGGGGTTTGAGATTGTGCTTTTCCATCAAGCTCTGAGATGATGTCAGTGCCACAGTCTGCCTTGAGTAGCACCGGCGTGGAACATTGGGAGGATATGTTTGAAGTCCCTCTTCTCCATTCCTCTCTTATTCTTCTTTCGGTCCCAGTGTGATCTTTCCCTTGTTAGGTCATAGCCCTTCGTGACCAGGTGGGGATCTGATCTGGTGAACTTGGGCTTTGTGAGGAGCCCTGTTGCAGCACTTCCCAGAGGCTGCCCAGGAATGGCGTGGGCTGCTTCAGAGAGGCGGTGGGTTCCCATCGTTGGTTCCTCTGAGCTTGAGGGTCATGTGTCAGGCATGCTGATGTCCCTGTGGCAAGGAGGAGGCTCCTCCCTGCAATTCAGCTTTGTGTCTCTGTGTGCTTTCTACAAGCTTGTGAAACCAGGATCTTGAGGTGTGGCCCATTCACCTAGAGTGACTTTCAGAGGCCATCTGGCAAGTCCTCCACCCTTCTCAGTCCTTCCGGGGGAAAGCATGGCATTCTAACCACTGTGCATGTGGGTTTGATAGATACAGCTGTGGGAGAGGAGTGATGGTTTAGTTCCAGCAATAGTTGAGTCATGCAGGGAATGTAATGCCTGACTTGATTGGATCTAAGGATAGAACCGCAGGAGGAATCTACATTTTCTATTGCCTTCCCTCTTTTAGTTTGTTTCAATAGACCTTGATTGAGCTCCTCTGTATGAGTCAGGGCAGGCTAACTGCTGTATAACAAACTCAGTGACTCAACATATTTATTTTCTGCACAGGTCCCAGACCTAAACAAGTCACTAGAGGGCTCTGCTCCAGGCAGTCATTCAGGAACTCAGACTCCCCCAGCTGGTGACCCCATCCTGCGTGGAGTTTTGCATCTAGCCAGCAGGCAAAGGAAGAGAGAATATGAAGGACTGCAGGGAGATTCTGTGGGTTATGCCAAAGGGAAGGGTACATTACCCTGCTCATGTGCCACTGGTCAGGATTTAGTTCCATGATTGTACCTCCCAGCAAGGGAGGCTGGGAAATGTATTCTAGTCATAGGTCCAGGTATGTGTTGGATACCATGATGGACAGTGGAAATATCAAGGCACAGACATGACTTTCAAGAAGCTCACAGGCTTTTGGAAGGAAACAGTTTCACAAGCAAATCATTAAGTCCAGTATGGTAAGCATAGTTCTAGAAGTGTGACCGATCTGCAGGAGTGATGGGGAGGAGGGAGCTGTGGAACAGCAGGTTACACCTGTGGAGACCTCAGGCAGGCCAGGCAGTGTGCAGGGACGGACAAGCAAGGGTGGCAGGGCGTGTGACTAGAGAGGTCAGTTGAGCAGAGGTCATGAATAGGCTTGTGTCCCACAGGCAGCAGAGAGCCAACAAAGGGTGTGAAGCCGAAGATGAAATCTGCAGAGTGGGGAGCAAGTTGCAGCAACATTAGAGACTGGTTCAAACTTAGCACTCTCCTTGCCTGGACCTGCAGAGAGGTTTCACATGTATCTTGGTTTCTCATGCCAGGAAATTTCTAACAGAGGAGGAAGGGGTGGCAGTGGGGAGGTGACTCTCCAAGTCACCTGGTGCAGGCAGTGCTTCTGGCTGGAGTTTGCTGCGCCTGCCTGACCTTTGAGGGTTCCACTCAGCAACACAGGGCCTGGATGGTGGCTTCCAGTGTCTTCAAGGATGCTTTCATTGCCCTCTCCTGAGTTCTAGGATGGCCCAGCCACTCTTATTTCCTGGGAAGGCCAAAGAGGCTGGTGCTGGTTCACAGCCCCAGGGCTCCATATTAACCAGGCAAGGCTACAGGGAGGAGCTGAACTCTGCCCGCTTGACCCCAGCCTTCTGCAGTAGCCTACTCTTTCGCTTTTCCTTTTGACAAGACTTTGGAGGAAGAAGGTTCTGAGACCTATGGGCACCTTGACCCATTTGGAATAGAGAAAAAAGTGGGGAATGGAGATGCTTGGGGAAGGGAAGGAGAAAGGCAAGGATGTTAGACTGTCATTTAGAAGTGTTCCGCTTGGCTTCCCTTTCCAGGAAGCCCATCAGGGTTGCACACTGGGGGCCTGCTCTGGAATCTCCTTGCCTTGAGCAGCAGCCTGGGCCCAGGCCCGCTGAGGGTCTGTTTTGGCTTCATCTTTGCCAAAAAGTGCTCTCTTTGTCCCAGATTTCAGTCTGAATTTGATCCCGTAGTGGCCAGGGCACTTGGGGTACCACAGTTCTAGGCCATTTGGAGGATGAGAAGAATCAAGAACAATTGGGGCTAGGGGTGTGGTTCAGCCGGGAAAAGGTTAAAGCCGTTTGCCTTCCTTCCCCTTCCCCCTTCTTCAGGGCCTCCTCCTATTTTGGATAGTCCTTGCAGTTTGTGTGAGAGAGAAAAGTGTCAGGCAGCTTTGGGGAGAATTTCAAAAACCTGTGAGTGGTCTCTGGCAAGGCTAGGGGATGGCTAGAGACCCCCAGGAGGAAACAGAGTGACCACAGCCAGGAACCTGCCAGAAAACACCTCAAATCTGGGCAGACTTCCTTCTCTGCGGAGTGTCACCACCGGCGCCCTGGGCTGGTGCCAGGATTCCTCTGGCTGGCTGTCTCACACACAGATGTTTCTTGCACCACTCTCCGTCCTCTGTACTGGCCAGATGTGTCTTCCTAGAATTCCACTTTCACAGTG
Source organism: Homo sapiens (assembly GCF_000001405.40). Classification (NCBI taxonomy): domain Eukaryota; kingdom Metazoa; phylum Chordata; class Mammalia; order Primates; family Hominidae; genus Homo; species Homo sapiens. The sequence continues at coordinate 103,779,599 of NC_000010.11, read as the reverse complement.
TTCCTTCGCTGCTCAGCAGCCTCAGGGGCTCCCTATTGCCTGGAGGAGGAAGTCCGAGTTCTTCCTCTGTTTCAGATGACCCCTGCAGCCCTGCCCCTCACACTGCCCCATGTATACCCTCCCTGCTCCAGCACCAGGCTCCCCCAGCTCCCACACTTCCTAGGGACCAAAGGGAGGGAAGTTCACAAGCAGCCGGGGCTGGCACACGGGGGTATCAGGAGGATGCTGGGGTGTAGCTCCCATCCATAGTAAGAAGCCGGCCCCGCACGGCGCCTCATGCCAGGCGGGTGGATCGCTTGAGGTCAGGATTTCGAGACCAGCCCGGCCAACATGAGGAAACCCCGTCTCTACTAAAATACCAAAATTAGCTGGGCGTGGTGGCAGGTGCCTGTAATCCCAGCCACTCGGGAGGCTGAGGCAGGAGAATCGCTTGAACCTGGGAGGCAGAGATTGCAGTGAGCCGGGATCGTGTCAGTACACTCCAGCCTGGGCGACGGAGCAAGACTCCATCTCAAAAACAAAAACATAAACATAGTAAGAAGCCATGCCTCAGGTTCTGTGACTCCTGGGGAGACACTATTCCTTCTGCCAGGAGCCAGGCTCAGAGCTGGCCACTTGCAGAATCTCTTATCTGACTCCTTTTGTCACTAGCTCCCCAGGTGCTCTGCTGCCCTGGCCTCATGCTCTTCCCTCTTGGCCAAGGGGAGCTGAAGTCACCTGAGCTATCTGTGTTGGGACAAAGCTCAACAGCCTTAGGATGAGAAAGGGTGTGAAATTATAGGTGAAAAACCCAAAAGGCCTTACAGCTGTTGGAAGTTAGGGTTAGATGGGCTTGGCAGGTGGCCCTGAGCAGCTCCCTGAAAGCAGAAAGGGCTGGAGGAGGGCATCAGAGATCAGGGAAACACCACCGGAGTCTCTTTACCTTCAAACTGGCGACCCCATTCATCTAGCACTCACGGTAAGGCCAGCACACCTGCTCACCTGTATTCTCATTTCATCCGCACAGTGCCATGGGGCGCTGTTTCTACTCCCATTTTACAGATGAGAAAATGGGGTCACAAAGAGATTAAGTGACTTGGCCAAGGTCATGTAGCTAGGAAAGAATAAGCTGGAGTTCTGACTTCAGCCCTCAAGCATTCCACTACTGACTAGAACACTAATAATGGTAAAACAGTGCCAAGGGAGGTGCCTCCTTCTGGGGGTTTCCTCTGTGCCTGGCCTGTGTTAAAGCGCTCTACCTATTCATTTCCCCCCGCCTTTTTTTTCTGGAGACGGAGTCTCGCTCTATCGCCCAGGCTGGAGTGCAGTGGCACGATCTCGGTTCACTGCAAACTCCGCCTCCCGGATTCACGCCATTTCCTGCCTCAGCCTCCCGAGTAGCTGGGACTACAGGCATCCGCCACCGTGCCCAGCTAATTTTTTTTTTTAATTTTTAGTAGAGACGGGGTTTCACCATGTTAGCCAGGATGGTCTCGATCTCCTGACCTCGTGATCCTCCTGCCTCGGCTTTCCAAAGTGCTGGGATTACAGGCGTGAGTCACTGCGCCCAGCCCATTTTCCCTTTTTAACTTCAGCCACCATGGAGGGGAAAAACAGGCATGGTCCTATTTTACAGATGAGTAGACTGAGGCTCAGAGAAGTTATGTGGGAATGATGACTCCTGGCATTTGGCAGCACTTGCTTGCATCTTCTCCTTGGATCCTCACAACACGTGTGGAGACAGGCAGGTCCAGCATTTCACAGATAAGGCTGTGGTTACCCAGAGAGGCCAAGCCATTTGCCCCAGTTGCCCAGCAACTTCTTGCAGGCTAGAACTGGAATCCTCCTCTGTTGACTCCAACCTAGTGCTCTTTCTCTCCTGCACAAAGGCCATGGGTCAGCAGGTGGGGGTCTGTGGAATGAGGCCACTGGGGTAGGTTTGGGGACAGGCATCGGTACTTGGGCACCTTTTGGGCATCAGAGAGAGGCTTTCTGTGGCTTGAGGATTTCCCCTGGGATTGCATCCTCCAGCACATCTTTGCTTAATTCACCCTGTGTATATCTCACTGCAGGTGTCGGGCTATCCGCCCAGGCCTAGCATGTTAAATGTCACGTCCTGGCCAGCCCCCACCCACGGAATGAGCTGCTGGGAAAGCCAGAGGCCTCCTCCCCAACCCTGGCCCACGCACGCCAGCTGGGCAGCTCCCCTGGGGCCTCTAGATGCCCAGAGCCAAGCTGGCCCAGGCCAAGACGCCTCCCAGACCCATCCACCCCTCTCAGTCTCCCTGCCGCCTCCCTGACCTCAGGGTTGTAGTTTCCTAAGCACTTTCCCTGGCATGAGGGACGCAGCCTGGTGTCATAACAAGAGTAATGGTGACAGGGGTGATAAGAATAGCCGGTGTGTATGGAGCACTTACTCAGTGCCAGGCTCTGTGCCAAGCACTTTACCTACATTATCTCATTTAATCCTCTCACCCACCTGACCAGTCAGGTTTTGTCCCTGTTCCCATTTCACAGATGAGGAAACTGATTTGAATGCAGAGCTGCCTAGCTATTCACGATTTATTTTTCTTCACATTTTCTAAAATGTTGTGCAAGCACCACTGTGATTCAGGAAGAGACTCTTCATAGTATACGGACAGATATTTATCTTTTAATGGTTATGTTTTGTTTTAATGTGTTAATGGTATGGGTTGAAGTTTTTATGTATTCCTCCCAAAATTCATATATTGAAGTCCTAGCCTCTGGTACCTCAGAATGTGACCTTATTTGGGAACAGGGTCATCAAGATGTAATTAGTTGAGATCATCCGGGAGTAGGGTGGCTCCTAATCTAACATGACTGGTGTCCCTGTGAAAGGGGGAAATTTAGACAGACACACACGCAGGGAGAGCATCATGTGGAGATGAAGGCAGAGATCAAGGTTCTCCTTTTTACAAACCAAGGAATGCCATAGATGACTTACATCCCTGAAGCTAGGGGACAGGCATGGGACAGACCCTCTCTCACAGCCCTCAGAGGGAACCAACCTGCCCATACCTTGATATTGGACTTCTAGCCTCCAGGACTGTGAGACAATCAAACTCTGCTAAGACACCTAGTTTGTGGTACTTTGTTACAGTGGCCCTAGCAAACTAAATAGTTAGAATACACACACACACACACACACACACACACACACACAGACACACACACGCATGCACACACTTTTTTTTTTTTTTTTTTGAGACAGTGGTGTCTAGCTCTGTCACCCAGGCTGGAGTGCAGTGGCATGATCATGGCTCACTGCAGCCTCAACCTCCTGGGCTCAATTAATCCTCCCTCCCCAGTGTCCCAAGTAGCTGAGACCACAGGTGCACAGCACCACACCCAGCTAATTTTTAAATCTATATATTCTGTAGAGGTGGAGTCTCACCATGTTGCCCAGGCTGGTCTGAAACTCCTGGGCTTAAGCAATCCTCCTGCCTTGGCCTCCCAGAGTGCTGGAATTACAGGCATGAGCCACGGTGTCCGGCTATACACTTATGATTTGAAGACAGAGAAAGGGGCCATGAGCCAGATAATATAGGTGGCCTCTTGAAGCTAAAAAAGGCAAGGAAACAGATGCTCCCCTAGAGCCCAGGGATGGAAATGGCTCTGCTTTCCCCAACCCAGATGCTGTAGACAGCAGCTTAGTGAGTGTGTGTTATTATCGAGCAGGCATCTGAGACCTCCCACCTGCCAGTCCCCATCCCAGAGACTCCAGCCACATGTAGTGCCGTCCTTGAGCTGGGTTCTGAAAATGACTTCTCCATCTCGTCACACTGCTGGTGATGCTTTAGGGCACCCTAATTACCCCTGAGAGTGGCACATCAGGCATCTGCCCTCATCCAGCCCTGGTGCCAGCTGTGTGGTCATCCTCAAGTCGCTGGAATAAATGATCAGGAGCCTCCACCCCGGATCCCAGCACTTTCTCTGACATACGGCAGCATTTCATGGAATCCGTGAGCAAGGCAAATCACTCCCATCCCACTGCTTCCTGTAGCAATCCTGACAGGCCCACTGCCGAGCATAAGTCCCTGCCATTCCTCCCCCTGGAAGGCCTTCCTCCCATTTCCCAGCTCTCTATTCAAGGCCTGGCTCTGATGTCTCTTCTGAGACATCCTTTTGCTCACTCCAGCCACACTGATCTTGTCCTTTCCTAAACTCCCATCGCCTGGCTTTTCATACCACTCAGCAGGTTGACACCCACTTAATGCTGCTAGTTAAGTCCCTTGTACCCATGTGGGTGTCCCAGCTCCCACTCGGATCACAGACCATGACTGACACTCCTGAAACCTGCTGATGTGGTAAAGGCCTGGTTGGGAAGGGACTTGAAGTAGTGAAGGCTTGCATGTTTTCCAGAAAATGGTCAAAGAAGACTTCTTTGACTTGTTAAGGAACTTTAGAACCTGGAATGGGCTCCCTGTCAAAGTTGGGGTGTGTTCTAGCACCGTGCTTCCTCAGCGTGGCATGAGCCATGTCCCAGCTAAAAGCATCCCAACTCCTTGCCAGGGTGGACAGGTCCTCTCTCTCTCCTCTCGCTCTCTCCCTGGCTGTTCCTTCAGGCCTATCTGGGGGGCCACTAGTATGGAAATGGTAGAAGAGTCACTTAACTTGAATATAGATCATTAGAAATGATCAAATCTGCATAACACTCCAGGCGTCCAGCTGGGACACCGGAAGGGCGGCACTTTAGCAGCAAGGACCTAAGTAAGACCCTAAAGTAAGGCCTACTGTAAACTCACCCTAATCAAACCCAAGAATAAGTCCTAACAATATCCACAGAGGAGACAGAATTTGGAGGTTGAGTCACATCAAGTTAGAGGTACTTGGAAAATACCTAGGACTTTCCATAGATCCCCCCTAAGAAAGCATAAAACTCTGCCTACGTAAGTTTGAGGTGATTAACCATTACTTGAATTGGCTACTAGAACAAAAATCAACACTTTTCAGAGAAAAATAACAGAATCCAGAGTCTCTACAGCATATTAGCCACAATGACAAGTATAAAATGAAACATTACTAAGTGGTCAAAGAAATAAGAAAATATGACCCATAGGTGTAAAAAAGTACTAGAAACTAACACAGAGATGGCCCAGATGTTGAACGACTTTCAAACAGTTAAATAACTAAAGGAAAATATGGATTTAATGATTAAGCAGATAGTAGAGAAATGGAAACTATAAAAAATAGAGTCAAATAGAAATTTTGAAACTTAAAAGTGCCATAATTGAAATGAAAATTTCACTGGATGAGCTTAACCGCTAGTATGGAAATGGCAGAAGGATCACTTAACTTGAATATAGATCATTAGAAATGATCCAATCCGTATAACAGAGAAAACAGAATGAAGAAACACACGCACAGTCCCAGAAACATGTAGTACAATATGCAGTCTTCTGACTTACATGTAACAATAGTCCCAGAAATAGAAGAAAATTATAATGGAGTAGAAACAAAACTTTTTTTTAAATGGCCACAAATTTTCCAAATATTGTGAAAATTATCAACTTACAGATTCAAGAAGCCCTGTGAACTCCCAAAGAGAATAAATATAAAGAAAATGGCTAGGCATGATGGTTCATGCCTGTAATCCCAGCACTTTGGGAGGCCAGGACAGGAGGACCACTTGAGGCCAGGAGTTCAAGATCAGCCAGGGCAACATAGTGAGACCCTGTCTCTAAAAGAAAAAAAGACAATTAACTGGGTGGTGCACACCTGTAATCCCAGCTACTCAGGAGGCTGAAGTGGGAGGATCACTTGAGCCCAGAAAGTCAAGGCTGCAGTGAGCTGGGATTGTGCCACTGCACTCCAGCCTAGGAAACAAAAGCTCGACCCTGTCTCAAAGAAAGAAAAGAAGGCTGGGCACAGTAGCTCACACCTGTAATCCCAGTACTTTGGGAGGCTGAGGCAGGCAGATCACTTGAGCTCAGGAATTCAAGACCAGCCTGACCAACATGGTGAAACCCCGTCTCTACTAAAAATACAAAATATTAGCCGGGCATGGTGGCACACACCTGTAATCCCAGCTACTCAAGAGGCTGAGGCAGAAGAATCGCTTGAACCTGGGAGGAGGGGGTTGCAGTGAGCCGAGATTGCACCACTGCACTGCAGCCTGGGCAACAGAGCGAGACTCCGTCTCAAAAAAAAAAAAAAGAAAGAAAGAAAAGAGAAGAAAAACCACACTTATCATTATTGTCCCTCTCTTCTTCTGTGATGCTCGCTGATGTGTCCCCTGCATGTAACACAGGGGACTGCTTAGTCCTCAGCTAAGTAGAATGAACAAATGAATTCTGAGGTTTCCCGCAATCTTGCATGGTCCCCACAGAGACTGGGTGGCCTTGTCTCTTTTTTTCTCTTTTTTTTTTTTTTTTTGAGACAGAGTTTCACTCTTGACACACAGGCTGGAGTGCAATGGTGAGATCTCAGCTCACTGCAACCCCCGCCTGCCAGGCTCAAGCGATTCACCTGCCTCAGCCTCCTGAGTAGCTGCGATTATAGGCGCCCGCCACCACGCCCAGCTAATTTTTGTATTTTCAGTAGAGATAGGGTTTCACCATGTGGTCAGGTTGGTCTCGAACCCCTGACCTCAGGTGATCCACCCCGCCTTGGCCTTCCAAAGTGCCGGGATTACAGGCGTGAGCCACCGCGCCCGGCTGTCCTTGTCTCTTTTTAAGGGGAATTTCTGGGTCAGGAAAGCCACCAGCTTTTTGTAGTAATGCACCCTTTTTTCTTGAGCTAGATAGAAAGGGCACAAGGATGAAGGTTTGAGGATTGGGGCCTGAAAGCTTGAGTCTCTGGGAGCTCCACCCTCTGGGAGGGGCGAGGAGCCGGCCTCTTGGGTTACAGATGTGCCCCAGCTGGGCTCGCCCGTCCTCCCCTCTCCCCTGCGTGGATTGCTGCGGAGCCCTGCCCTGGGAGAGCTGCCGAATCAGCTTTCTCTGGCTGGAGCCAGCGCGTGGAGCCCAGCTGTCCCCTATCTCTCACACGATCCACCCTTTAGATAAACAGCCTGGCCGCCTCCACACACTGCGAGGTTCTGATGTGGTTGCGAGGGGCTCCATTAGCCAAATGCCTCTCACTCCAGCCAGGACTCTGGCGATGGGCCCTGCTTTTCCTCCAGCCTGAGTCAGGCCCGTGCTGGAGTGACAGGAGAATCTGCTTCCTGCCTGCAAAGGTGGTCCCGGAGAACTCTCTGCTGGGCGGGGCCTTCCTGCCTCACCGCCCCCGCGCCCAGCCTTCTTCCTCCCAGAGGGCGGGGCAGCAGGTTCAGGAGACAGCCCCGCTCAGCCCCGATTGTTTTATCTGTGGAAACTAGCCCTGCAAATTGGGTACTGACCAGGTTAGAGCCCGCTTTGCAGCCTGCCTGGCCCTCTAGGAGGGGTGACATTTGAACTGTCTCTCACCGCCCGCCGATCTGACGTATTGAGGGCCAAGATGCTGAACTGTGCAGCTTTGCAAGTACAAGCCCCACACAGAATGAACTCTTACTTGGTTTGCTCTGGAGTCTGAGCCCAGAGATTTGCTTTCGTTGAAAGCTGACCTGTGGGCAGAAAAGGTGTCCCTGGCAGCTGGTTAGCTGTGCTTCCGTTTTCCGCGGCCAGTGGTCCATGGGGGTGGGGGATGACTGACGGAGAGCAGCTCCGGGGCTCTGCTGGTTTATCCTGGTGGTGGGATTAGGTGACAGGTGTGGCTGGGCTCAGCACCTGAGGTCCTGCCCAGACCTGCTGAATCAGAACTTGCCAAGAGCTGCAGATGCATGTTGAAGGTTGTGAAGCCTGGCTCCTTGATGTGAAGGCTGCAGGGTATGTGTGTGTCTGTGTGTGTGTGTGTGTGTGTGTGTGTGTGTGTGTGTGTGTGTTGTTTTGACGGAGTCTCGCTCTGTTGCCCAGGCTGGAGTGCAGTGGCACGATCTTGGCTCACAGCAGCTTCCGCCTCCGAGGTTCAAGCGATTCTCCTGCCTCAGCTGGGACTACAGATGTGCACCACCATGCCCACCTAATTTTTGTACTTTTTTTTAGTAGAGATGGGGTTTCGCAGGCTGGTCTGTGAACTCCTAGCCTCAAGCAGTCCTCCTGCCTTGTCCTCCCAAAGTGCTGGGATTATAGGCGTGAGCTACTGCGCCTGGCCATGAGGCTACAGTTTAACTTATTTCTAGCACCTAAGGCAGAGCCTGACATGGAGAAGGCATACAGAAACGGTTCTTGGGGGAAAGGAATGAATGCATGAGTCCTGCCTGCCCCTGCCCACTCCCCACAGCATCACATTCCCTCTGCACTGTGAGAATCTCAGACTCTTAGGTCTGAAAGAGATGGAGGAGTCGGAGAACATATGCATGTCAGAGCTGGGGAAAAAATGTCAAGTTTTGGTAGCCTAACTCCCTTAAGCCCCAGAGAGATATAGCACCTTGGGTGAGGTCTCACCACTTGTGGTGGAATAGCGGGTCACCTTGTTTCAGGAGACAGGTGGTTGAGATAAGGACAAAGCGTTCCATACCTGGGCGCGTGTTGCTGGGCCCACCTCTCTCCTCAGACATCTCTGTACCTCTTCATCAGAAACCTATGGAGTCATTTCTCAGAGGCCCCAATGACATGTTAGTTATCCATTTATGAATTCTCATTCTTCTTATGGAAAAGATTTAAGGTACTTATAAATATGCATAGAATACAACAAGATAAAAAGTAAAAAGAAATGCATTGTTATTAAGGAAGTGTGCGTAGACATGTGAACAAGGGGATTCACGACAGTGCTATATATAGTAGTGAGAAGTCAGAAACAACCTAAATATCCAACAGTAGGGGAGTGGGTAAATACACTATGGCAGCAATATCCCACCACCAGGATAAGCCAGCAGAGCCCCGGAGCTGGTCCCCCTGTCAGTCATCCCCCACCCCCATGGACCACTGGCCACGGAAAATGGAAGCACAGCTAACCAGCTGCCAGGGACACCTTTTCTGCCCACAGGTCAGCTTTCAACGAAAGCAAATCTCTGAGCTCAGACTCCAGAGCAAACCAAGTAAGAGTTCATTCTGTGTGGCACTTGTAGCTGGCAATATCCAGACATTGAAATTCTGTGTCCTGATTGAGAATGCTGACGTGTCCTGGGCACAGTGGCTCACACCTGTAATGTCAGTGCTTTGGGAGGCCAAGGTAGGAGGATCGCTTGAAGCCAGGATCTTGAGACTAGCCTCACAGTGAGATCCCATCTCTACAAAAAAGTTTTTAAACTAGCTGGGCATTGTGGCACACACCTGGTCCTAATTACACCAGAGGCTGAAGTGGGAGGATCACTTGAGCCCAGGAGTTTGAGGCTGCAGCAAGCTGTGATTGCACACTGTACTCCAGCCTGGGCAACAGAGTGAGACCTGGTCTCTTAAGAAAAAAGAACATTGATATGAAAGTATTCATTGACATGGAAAAATGTTCATTATATAGTGTGAAAGTATTGATGGGTTCATTTTATTTACATGGATGGAAGAATGCCTAGCAAAGATAGATATCCCAAAATATTAATGTCAGGGAGAGAGATTATGAGTGATTCTTAGTTTCTTTTTGACCACCCACTGCTATAACTTCTAGTTTTTTCCCTTAGCGAACATGAATTCCTTATGTCGTAGTGTAATATAGAAATGAAATCTACAAAAACAGAATATGGGTGAGGAAAATGGGAAAAGGAGAAAATAGGAGTCCTAATCTGTATAGAATTTATTTGAAAATGTATTAATTTTTAAAATCCTTTGCTGAGCATTAAGGTATAGGAAAGAAAAAAAAATCCTGTTTAGAGTGTTATGGCCCAGTTGCTGTTTTTACACATAGCAGGCAATTATTAATGTTTGAGAGTTTGACTTAAAACATTGAGAACTCACGTGGCCAGGCGCCGTGGCTCACACCGGTAATCCCAGCACTTTGGGAGCCTGAGGCAGGCGGATCACTTGAGGCCAGGAGTTCGAGACCAGTCTGGCCAACATGGTGAAACCCCATCTCTACTAAAAATACAAATGTTAGCCAGGCGTGGTGGCACACACCTGTAATCTCAGCTATGAGAATAGCTTGATCCTGGGAGGCGGAGGTTGCAGTGAGCTGAGATCGTGCCACTGCACTCCAGCCTAGGTGACAGAGACAGACTCTGTCTCAAAAAAAAAAAAAAAAAGAAGAAGAAGAAGAAAGAAAAAGAAAAAATCATGAGCCAGCTTTTGTTAAATATCCATCTGTATTCAGGGAAGTGAAAGTTAATCATGCTGCAGTCTTTGTCTTGTTTTGAATGTAATCACCGGTGACCTGCCCTTCATTATGTGGGATCTAAATAACCTGGGTATATTGGGTAATGATTATGCAAGAGACAATCCTAAAATTGTGTGTTAGAGCTGGATGGGTGGACAAACGGATGGATGGATGGAAATAAATGCGCGCGCGCGCGCACACACACACACACACACACACACACACACACACACACACACACACAGAGTCTAGCCTAGAACCATGCTATAGCTTGGATATTTGTTCCCCCCAAGTCTTATGTTGAAATTTGATACCTGGTGTCGGAGGTGGGCCTAATGGGAGGTGTTTGGGTCATGAGGGCTGATCCCTCATGAATAGTTGGTCCTGTTCTCATAGTAATGAGTGAGAGCCAGTTGTTAAAAAGAGCCTGGCGCCTCCCCCTTGCCCTCTGCTTCCTGTCTCGCCCTGTGATCTCTGCACATGCCCACTCCCCTTCCATGCCGTGAGTGGAAGCAGCCTGAGGCTTCACCACATGCCTAGTAGATTGTGAGCCAAGCTAAATAAGATTCTTTTCTTGATAAATTACCCAGCCTTGGGTCTTCCTTTATAGCAACATTAAACAGACTAAGACAAACCGCTTTTCACCACCTCCAGTGCTAACACCTTGGTCCAAGTCACCTTCAGTAGGATCCTAACTGGTCTCCCTGCTTCCACCCTGTGGTCCATTCCCTACGCCGTAGCTAGAGCCGTCTTTTCTAAGTGTGAAGCAGATCGTCTGTCTCTGCACAGAACTCTCCAGGACTTCCCCTTCCATCACGACAAGCCCTGAGTCTTCACCACAGCCTCACCAGGCCCTCTGTGCTCTGGCCCATCCTGCCACTCAGATCTCATTGCCTGTCCCTCTCATCCTGGCTCACTCCACTCCAGCCACATCGGCCTTGCCAGGCTCTTTTTGCACGTCCTGCTTCCCTGCCTGAAACGTTCTCCCTCTCCAGCGTAGCTTGCTTCCTCGCCCCCCTGCAGGTCTCTGTAGAATTGCTAGCTCGAGGTCAGGCCTTCTTTGCCGCCCTATATAAAATGACAACTCCTGTACTGTTCCCGTACCATATCCTACTTGATTTTCCTCCGCAGCACTGATCTGATCTTCCCTGGCACATGACATTCTTACTTGTTTGCTGTTTGTCTCCCTCCACCGGAGTGTAAACTCCCTGAGCGCAAGAACTTTGTCTATTTTCTTTACTGCCCTTTCCTTAGTGCCCAGTGCTGTAAAGTGGATGCTCAATATGTATTTGAAAGACTGATTGGACTTCAAAGATCATGTGACTGATCCTTCTCATTCTACCAAGGAGGGGCCTGAGGCCCAACCTTGAGAGGCTCCATTCCTTGCCTGAGGTCACACAGCTGGGGCAGCAGGACTAGATCATGACTCCCCTCCTGCCTATGCCTCAGAAAGGAAATCAGCCACACACAAAGGGGCCCTGGCCTCATCCATCCTGTCTCCTGTGTGTTTTTCCAGTTTACATAGAATTTCAGTCCAGAATAGCAAAAAAAAAAAAAAAAAAAAAAAACAAAACAGTTGTTCCTCCAGAACCCTGGAAACTCTTCCAGTGGGTCCGTCCTTGGAAAAACAGCAGCGACCTCAGGGTGGGAAGGTAGGAAGTGGAGGAATGGTCTTCCGGCAGCAGGGGCAATGGGATGGATTTGGTTTTGCAATTAAAATAACAGCTGGTTCTGTTTCCACAGCACGGTTCTGGAAGGTGGGTGGTCTGTCTAAAGTATCAGGTGGGGCCTTCCCCCATCCTGGCCCAAGAGGGTTCGGGATGGCCAGTGGCTGAAGGATTCACCCCACAGACGAAGTAGGAAAGAAACTAGGCCCAAAGGAGCCTCTGGAAACCCTACAGGCAGCCTGGCCTGAAAGCCTCTGGTCCCTACCCCAGCCTTGCTCGGGGTCATCTCCTGACACCTTCCCCTGCACTCCTACCCGCTCACTGAGATTGATCAGATGCCCTCTTTGATGCAGAGAGAGCTTTGGCCTCCTCCCTCTCATGCCCCATGTGGTTTGTTAATCATCTGTGAAATGAGGGATCTCAGGCGTCACTCATCCGTGTGAGGACACTGGGGCCCTGGAGCAGTGGAGTGAGTGGGGAAGGGATGATGAGGAATGTTCTGGTCTTCTGAATCCTGTCCCTCTGTCTGTCTGGCTTCTCAGATGCAGCTTTTGGATAAGTTTCCCATTGAAGGTGGCCAGAAGGACCCCAAGCAAAGGATCATCCCCTTCCTCCCAGGTAAGCATTGGGTGGCTCCACCCAGGGATGGGGGATACCCGGGAAGGACCAGTCCTTCCCTTAGGCCGAGAAGAGTACTAAGCAGCAGATTCTGGGCGGGGCATGCCCAGGAATCTGCATATGAACAATTCCCCCAGGGGATTTGGAAGCTCCAGACTGTGAAGTCCACTGTCCTCCAAGTGGCTTCTCTCACCATTACAAGACCGTCTCTGCTGGCTCCTGGCCTGTAGCTTCTGAGGAGTTTCTCAGGCTCCTGGACTTTGGTTTCCTTTTCACAAAAAGCACAGAGAGACCAAGTTCTATGAATGGATGAAGAGCTGCAGGCTGAGATGTTTGTACTGACTCCCATTCTAATCACGGATAACCTTAAATTGAGCGCACTCCCTGATCTGATCTCCTCCAGTCCTCACGTCACCTTATATGGAAGAGGAGGCTTACACCATTTTGGAGTGTGTTTAAGGCAATCAATTACATTATGTAATTTAGAGGAAAACTTCTCAGGTGTATCATAACCTGTTATTTTGATGATGTCTTAAGTGTGTATAGAGATTTATAGCCATGGAGTGCTTTTTTATTTGTTATCATATGCACATCTCTATACCGAGGTGTGTACTATAATCTCCCCCAATGGGTGAAGAAATTGGGGTTCAGACAGGTTAAAGAACTGCCCGTAAAAGTGGCAGAGCTGAGGAATAAACTCGGGCCTCCTGGTCCATGTCTGGCTCTGCCCTGCACCAGATAAGCGATGCTGTCTCTTGGCTCTCCAGAACCCCTACCGTTCCCCAGAAGAGCTCCCTTCACAGTGGGCTTCCCCCCGGGCTCAGACTGGCCCTGGACCTGCACAGGTCAGGACCACAGTGATCAGTCAGACCTTGGCAAGAAGCAGGGCCTGCACCTTGCTAACCCCTGGCACACTGCCAGCCCACAGCCAGTGCCTGCTTGCTGACTTGAAAACGGATGTAGGGGCACCTCCCTCAGAGAGCGGCTCCTCTCTGAAAGGCGTTTCTCCTGCATTCCTCCATCCTCAAAAGCAGCGAAAGATGTGAGTCCCTATGACCGCCTGTCCTCAGAGTCCTATGCTATAGCTAGAGATAATTAGTTTAGCTACAAGGAAGAACTTCTAAATTCCACAGTTTGGGCAAGACTGGAACTAGTCAGTGAGGGTGTAGGGACTCTCGGCCCCTGGCCTCCCCGCACAGGGTCATAGCATTGCTCCTTCATTCCTGGCCCAGGAGTTCACATGGGGTGACTTGCATTCCTTGCTTGGCTTTGCACTGGGTCTTGAATGGAATGTCCAGCATCCAGGTTGGTGACAACCTTAGATGGTGCTCCGGTACAGTCTGGAAGCTCAGTGCCAGGGTTTGGTAGCCCATCTGGGATGCTGTGGGCACAAGAGTCCTAGAGGCAACCTGAGGCCACAGCGTGTTAGGCTGGCCTTGGGGCATGAAGGTCGCCTGTTTGCTCCAGAAGAATGGGCTTCTCCCACTTCTTCCTCAGCTAGCACTCCAGAGAAAGAGCACCCCATCACTATTCCATCAGCAGCTGTTTACCAGGGCTCAGCCTGTCAGAGCTGATGGGGCTGGGTGGCCTGGTGAATTAAAGGGAGATCTGAATTTGTTTTCCTCATCTACGGAACGCTCAGGCTAGTGGAGAGAAGACCTGCTCCATCATCCCAGGACCATTTAAGGCAGGATGTGACTGTACCACTGTGCAATTTGAGGGTGACTGGAGAGGGAGCTCAGAGAACAGTGACCTCATTGTGAGCTGAGGAAGTCAGCAGAGACCTCCTGAACGAGGGGGGCCTGGAGCTGGCCCCCACAGGATGGGTAGGCTTGGAGGGTGGAACGCAGGGCAAAGGCTTGTGTACTGCCGCTACCTCAGCCCCTTGTCTCAGGAGTCAAACTGCCCGGGTTCACCCTGGAAACCCTGGCTCTGCTGATTACCAATACAGAGAAGTTGCATTAGCTTCTCTGTGCTTCAGTTTCCTCATCTGGAAAATGGGGATAATGATAGAATGTACTTCGTGGGGCTGTTTCAAGCATAAAATAAATGAGTGTATCTCAGGTGCTTACAACTATGGCAGCTCCTAGTAGGGGCCAAATAAATGTTAGTCCTTATTATTACTAATGTTCCATACATGCCTAGCATTTTACACCACAATTTACATATATAATCTGATTTGATCCTCCCAACTAGGTGATCATCCCCATTTTACTGACTAGGAAACTGAGGCCAAGGGAGGCTAATAGACTTGCACAAGGCTACACAGCCAGGAAGCACAGCCCACACCAGAGCTGTCATTCCTGACTCCTGGGCCAGGGCTCCCTTCCACATCAGCTGCCCAGGTGCCGAGAACACAATAGCTGCCACAGGACTGAGGACCTCTCTGAACTTCAGTTTCCACTTACAGGATTGCAGTGAGGATTAAAAGAATTTACGCAAAACACTTTGCACAAAGTCTGTCTTACAGTAAATAATAAATGGCAGCTGTTAATCAAGAAAGTCACCTGCCCCCACACCACCGTCACCTACTGGGAAAAGTCAAGCATGGAGACACCTTCCAGCTCCCATGCAAATGTGACCTGTGCATAGCGGGTGATGTTGTCAGGAGGAGTGAGGTTGACTCGCCCCCACCCTGTGCCCTTCTTTTTCCTGGTTTGGCTTCTTTTCTTGCCTTGCTTCAGCAGGGTTCCCTCTTAGACTCCTCTTCAGCTCACTCACTCTCCAGGACTTCAAAACACACATTGCTGGCCATTTGGAATCCTACCCCGGGGTTCCCAAGCCCTGTCCCTGGCCTTCCTCCTGCTCACTAGAAACTACCTTAACCCTGTTATGCTCTGCTCACTCCTTAGCTCAGACATGAAGGAAAAAGATGGAGGAAAAATAACGCAACACAATCAGAACCTGGCCAGGGCAAGTTGAGTGGGTGTGAGGATTCCCCATCCACCCCCACCGCCCTGATGCACAGGGCTTCCAGGAGGAGAGGGTGTCAGAGAAGGGCAGTGATGAACATTGCCTGTCTTAGGTCAAGTTCGTTAAATGCAGAGCCTGAGATGAGGATTCGCCTGCTAGTGGCTTTTGAGGGTATGCTCTCACGTGAACTTCCTGTGGCAGGGAAGGAAACAGGATGGGGCAGAAGAGGAAGTGAGGCAGAGATGTGTGTTCAGCTAAGTCTAGCCTCTGCCTGATCCCACGGGGAGCTCTGGAGGGTGAATGGCACCACAAAACTGTTCCATCTTAGGGGACAGCTTTTATAGCCCCCCCACATCAGTCATCCATTGTCTGTGGGCTGCCTCTTCTTCCAAAGGGTGTGGAGCATGGGCATGATGGCTCTCATGGCCGGGGGCATGCATCTGAAGAAGGGGGCAGCTGGAAGCCCCTAGCAGTAGCCCACACTCACAGCACTGAGGGGAGGAGCCGCAGCTGGTACAGGGGCTCAGGACAGCATCTGCTATACACACTAGCACCAGCTCAAGGCTCTGCTTCTGCTTCCTTGCCTCTAGGGAGGGTGTCTGAAGGGACCCTGCTGATTCCCCCAGGCTCACCCCCAGCAGCAGTGACTCAGCAGAACTCCAGAGAACTTAACAGTCTTTCAACCCCAGGGAGGGTTAGCAGCCAGCCTTGAGAATAGCCTTGCCAGCCCTTTGCCTCACCTGAAATTTCAGAGCAAGGAAATCCCAAGGGGTGGAAGCAGAGAGCACCTATTATTTCCAGAAGGGTCTCAATTTTAGCTCCAGAGATGCTGGGATGTGCTGAGCATTTCTGTTGCCCAAGTGTGGAGTCTGCGGGATGTGCTTGGAGTGTTAGGCCAGCTGATTTGCTTTGGCCCATGTGGCTGCAGGCTGATGGCTGAGGGCTCATAGAAATTTTACTGGCTGGTGGAGCTGACAGAGAAATTAGAGACAAAGGGAAACCATGGCTTGGTTACATGCTTGCCCATCTGCCAGTCAAATCCTGGCAGAAAATCTCACACATGGGCCGTAAGTCTTGGGACCTAGGACACAGTCTTGTGATATGTCTGGGTGGTGTAATGGTCAGTTCAGGGTCAGCCTGTAGATTTGAAAAGTGGTGAGTGCCTGGGGCTCCTGTGGTCAAAGGCAGAAGCTCCATCCCTGGAGAAGCTGACCCAGACAGGGCTCATTGGCTCTTGGGGGACAGATGGAGTGTTGTGCAGTGGTGCTGAGGTTGGGGGTAAGGATTGGGGGTCTGTGAGTAGGGCCAACAAGGTGGTAGAGTGGGGAGCCAGTATACTGCTGACCCAGGGGCTGACATTGGCATATCCATCAAATCCTATAGAAAATTTTGTAGGGGAACTGCCCGTAAGAGAGCCCCCGAATTGTTTTCATCAGGGCTAGAACCTGCTTTCTGGACCCTGGAAGTGAAAATCCACTGTGTCTGGGACCACCAGCCTTTATGAAGTCTGCAGAGCCTTGGAAGGGCAATGAGAAGCTATGGACCCACGTGGGACTGGCAGTTCTCCAGCAAGGCATCCTGGGAAAGAAAACCCAGACGTTTCATGGTCAGGAAGGGGCAGAGAGTTACTCCAGAGCCCAGACACCCTGAAGAGTGGTGGTGGGGGCAAGGGGTAGAGGGAAGGAAAGGGAGCCCCCCCAGGCCTATGCCTCCAAACCCCGTATTATGTGAGACTGAGGGAGACACACCCATCTCTTTTGCTGGCCTTTGCAGCCTTCCTTTGAGACAAGGCCCTTATCCGCCTCTGTCATGTTTCTATCATGAGGCTGGATGGGGGGTGCTTTGTTAAGACATGTTGGGCGCAGTGGCTCACACCCGCAATGCCAGCACTTTGGGAGGCTGAGATGGGTGGATCACTTGAGGCCAGGAGTTCCAGACCAGCCTGGACAATATGGTGAAACCCCCATCTCTGCTAAAAATACAACCAAAAAGTTAGCCAGGCATAGTGGCACATGCCTGTAGTCCCAGCTACTTGGGAGACTGAGGTGAGAGAATCACTTGAACCTGGGAGGCAGAGGTCACAGTGAGCAAGATTGTGCCACTGCACTCCAGCCTGGGTGACAGAGCGAGACTCTGTATCAAAAAAAAAAAAAAAAAAAAAAAAAAGACGTGTTGATTGCTCCTAGTGTGTGCCTAGCCTTATCCTAGCCACTCTGCATACCTTCCCTCCAGTCTCACTGCAGGTGGCTTTATCCCCATTTTAAAGAGAAGTCAAATCACTGTCCACCATCACTTAGCCATACAGCAGCAGAGCCGCGATTCTTCCTATGGGGCCGTATGTCTTTCCTTGGGCAAGAAGGAATTGCCACAACAGCCTCAGCTAGACTCTGTCTTTGTCCCTCCCTTCTTGCCTGCACACCTCCCAGGTTAGGGATCTGAGAAGTTCTGCCTGAGACAGACCACTGGGAGGTCCAGCCTCTCCCTCGGGCTGTCATTGCTATCTCATGTTTCAGGAGTGCCCTGTGTGGGTGGCAGGTGGCTGGAACCTCACGGGGACTCAGGTGACCTGTAAGGGTTCTCTCATTCCATTGAGTGGCCGAGGTAATTACTCACCAGCACAGAGTAATTGATATTTTTCTTGCAATTAAACCACTTAACTTATTATTTTAATGATTACAAATAAGATAGTCCCAAGGCTTTCAGAGTGCTATCTTCCTTTAATTATGATCTAACAAGTTTGGCTATTTGGTTTCCTAACAGCATTTTTTTAAACTTTTTATTTTGAAATAATTAGAGACTCACAAGAGGTTGCAAAAATACTAGGCACTCTACATTCCCCCCTCCAATTCCACCACTGTACTGCAGGGTAGCTGGCATTATTCCCATTTTAAGGAGAGGTCAAATCACTTTCCACCATCACATCACTTCCCCCCAATGGTAACATCTTATGTAACCGCAGTATGTTATCAAAACCAGGAAATTAATATTGGCACAACTCAACTAACTAGACCACAGACCTGAGTAATTGATTTTTATTTTATGGAGGTGGAGAGTGCTGTTAAACAAGCATGTCAGCTGGTCTTTAGGAAGGAGGCAGTGGTTTGATAATAGTCCCTGAGAAACTGTACTCCCAGGCCCAACCTCTCGGCATTCCCATCCTCAACAAAAAGGCATATTCCAGAAACCTGTGCAAATTCAGCTCTTTGGAACAAATCACATGATCTTTTAGGTGTCCAAAGTATTATTCTATTCAAAAGAGGCATATAATAAATCCTGTTGCAAAGCAAGGAACTTTTAAAAAAAATATTCTTTTAAGTATTCTTGGCTGGGCACAGTGGCTCATACCTGTATTCCCAGCAACTCAGTAGGCTGAAACAGGAGGATCACTTGAGGATAAGAGTTTGAGACCAGCCTGGGCAACAGAGCAAGACTCTATCTCTAAAACGAACAAACAAAAAACATATTTTTACTCCAGCTCTCTTTTGATTAAAAAAAAAGTATTCATCTTTCCCTCGTTACATATACATATTTATTTTATATACATATATTGTATTGTATATTTTATATTTTATATACATGTATATATTTTAAATACATATATATATCTTTTTGAGACAGGGTCTCGCTCTGTTGCCCAGGCTGGAGTACAGTAGTACAGTCACAGCTCACTGCAGCCTCCACTTCAGAGGCTCAATCTGTCCTCCTGCCTCAGCCTCCCAAGTAGCTGAGACTACAGTTGCGTGCCACCATGCCTGGCTAATTTTTGTATTTTTTTGTAGAGATGGGGTTTTATCATGTTGCTTAGGCTGGTCTCAAACTCCTGGACTCAAGTGATCCACCTGCCTTGGCTTCCCAAAGTGTTGGGATTACAGGTGTGAGCCACTGCACCTGACCTGGTTTACATATATTTTTATACTTTGGGACTTCTCCTGTTCCTCCAAGTTCCGTAGGTGTGACAAGACGGGCTCAGATGAATGCCTGCATATGCAGTGAGTTACTTTATAGGAGGGGAGCCTGCATCTTTTTATAATGGATGGTAAGCAAACCTGCCCTTTTGCTCCCAAGATGGACACTATCCTTAGTCCAAGACTATATGCAAACCTGCCGTATGCCCCAGAGCAAGGCACTACCTCTGTCTTCTAAGGCTGTTTGCTATGCAAGCACCTTTGAAAAGATCATCCAAAACAAAAAGCAGTTAGTGCCTTGTTTACAAGACATGTACAACAGCAGGAGGCCCAGGGAGAATTGGCTCAGAAGTGTGCCTTAGCGCTTTCTGAGGTCTCTTGCTTTTTGGAGGGGTGGGCAGAAATCAAATTCCTTAGGACATTGGGCCAAGCGTGGCGGGGTCACCAGCCTCTCAGGGCAGCCTACTGTTTACTTGGAATTTTCTGCCTTGTTTTAGAAGATGACTGTGGAAAATCCATCTCCTGTTGCCCATCCTGGGATTGGAGTAGATTTCCTGTGTATCCCGAGTTTGCTGGCCTGAGGAGACTCCCTGAGAGGAAATGGTCATTACGACATGAAGTAGAGTGTGTAGCTGCTGATGTAAAAAGCAAACAACTGTGGCCAGGGATTGAGGGACTTCAGAAGCCAGGCAGTGGAGCAAAAAGAGCTGCACTCCCTCTGCAAAGGCTGTGCGAGGTCCCCTCCCACTAGCAAGCCATCTGTGTCTCTGTACTGGCTGGCACTGGGCCTCTGGGCTTCCAGAAAGCCCTTCATCCTAATAGCTGAGTTAGTCCCATGCATCGCTATCCATATCCCCAGGTTGATGAGTCCTGGAGAAGTGAGATTGCTTAGGGAGAAAAGTGAATCTATAACCATAATCAAGGTAGGCGTTGCCAGCCTGCAGACAGCCTTGTGACCTTATGAGCTTAGAGGTATATTTTTAGTCAGCAGGCATGCTTGCTTCTTTTGTACTGACTCGCCAGTTTACGTAACGGCCCTGTAATGAAGAGGCAGTTTGGAGCCACAGTGCAGAGGGTGCTGGGTGAATTGCAAGCATGTTCTCCGGGGCCTTCCTCTCCCAGCCCCCAGAGCCCTGTGCAGAAGATCCGGTATTTGTTCCAGCATAGAAGGAAGCAGGGGGAAGGGATGTCTTTAACTAGAGCTGGTCCGTGGCCCGCTCCCTGGGCTATAGGTGTCTGTGTGTGTCTCCACCAGGCACCAGCTGAGAAAGCCCTTCCTGAAGGGCCCTGGATGCTATGAGGGAGGTTGTGGCTCAGAGATTTCACCAGACTGCAACCCCCAAGGAAGAGAGGTTGAGAAGTTTCTGGGTCCCACAGGTGACCTGGGATGTCAGGAAAAGCCAAACTATGTGATGGAGAAGGAAAAATAGGGTCTGTTGGTAATTCTGGGGTTTAAAAAGGTCAACAAGATTATAGGCCTGAGAGGCACCGTGTGCCATCTTAAACACAGCTTTCCTCCAACCTCCACTGGAGGTATTTTGTCTTCTCTTGATGTAATTACTGCTTCCCATCCCCAAAAATCAGTCTCCTACTCTGTAATCTGGACGGGCAGTTTTCAGGGCCTGCTGTCAGCAGCTGACTCTGAACACAGCGTGGAATAGCTACATTCATTCCTTTCTATCACAGATATTTATTGAACACATACTGTGTGCCAGCTGTGGTCACTGGTGATATGACTGAGAACAAAGTAGGCCTGGTTGTGGTTCTCAGGAAGTTTACCTTCCAGTGTGGGAGTCAGAAGACAAATAGATGAGCAATTTCCAAGAGTGATGAGTGCCAGAAGGAAAAATAACCAGGTCATGTGGCAGGTGCTACAGCTCAAGGCATCTGAAATTAGATGGTCACAAAGGGCTTCTTTGCAGAGGTGACATCTCCACTGAGTAGGTTTGGATCATCAGGGCCCAGGGGTGCCAGGCTTGGGGGGACAGCAAGAACAGTAACCTTAGTCGGACCACCGGTATATGTTTGAAGAACAGTAAGAAGTGTGTGGAACAGTGAGGAGTGCTGAGTCACCCAGAGACAGCTGGGCAGACAGGACTTGTGGAGCCAAGACACTCCAGAGCGGCTCCACCTGTGTGTTTGTGAGCTGTGCCATCTGGCCCAGTCACACGGACTCCAGGCTCTGTAGCATCATCTGTCAAATGGGTTGATCATGGTTTGGTGACATCGCAAGCAGTTAATGCATGGAAAGCGCTGTGTGGCGTGCAACGGGAGAGGACTGGTGCCGCAAGCCTGTCTGTGCTCGTGGTGGCTTTGCCGCAGGACACAGATGTGGGATTTCCTTTGCCCTCCCCACTCTGTGCTGAGTCAGCTCTTCCCACTGCAGCCCAGGCCGCAGCCCAGGCACAGCCTCACTTCCTGCAGTTCTTTCCCGGCCTGTGGTAACTTGCAAAGCAGCAAGGAGCTTGTTTCTAAAGAGCAGATGACCCAGATGGCTGATCTGGGATGAAAGGTGGGGATCCGGCCTCTGATCACATGGCAGTGTCACTGTCACTACCTTCCAGACTCCGAGCTGCAGACCCTCCAGGTCTTGCAGGGAGTAACAAGCTTTGCAGGGGTCAGCCACGCAAGGGGCTTTTTTACTTTTGAAATGTAGATCAGTCTCCCAAGCCCTTCCCCCGCGACATCCCCACATTCCAAGACCAGGAAAAGAGCCAGGCCACCTTGTTACAACTTGGTATGTGCCTTCCCAATCATTCTAGAAGGGAATCAGCTCCTGAACACCTACCCCCAACCCTCCGTCCTGGATGGATTGTATCCTAGGTATCTTCCCCAGGAACTTTCTGATCTGGGCCGAAAAGCCTGTCTCTTCTCATGGTCTCAGTCAGTCTGTGTCATCTAAGACGCAGAAAATGCACCCGGGCCTGGGTCTCCAGAGTCCTGGATTCTAGTGCACCCCATGCTAATCACCATGGCACAAAATTGAAGAAGTTAAGTTTGAGCAATCAGGGATCACCTTGCTTGTTGGCAAAGTCACCAGAAAGTGACAGGCATGATTTCAGGGCTCGGTGACACTCCTGTCCTTTACCCTCCACTCCCTCCCCCTGGAAATACATCCTTTCCTTACCTGATGCCTAAATGTCCTTTTACAAGGTTGGATCCTTTCCCTCCATGCTGAGAGAGTACAGTTATACCCTGGTGTCCCCAGGGTTGGTGCTTCCAGCCAACTCATACTCCAGCGTAGATGGCAGACTGGATGGTTACTGAGACCAGGGTTGATAGAGGTGAGAGGGCAAGTGGGCAGCTGAGGCTAGAGACAGAAGAAGGTGCTAGGCCTCAAAGGCCTGTGTGGAGTCTGGAGAAGGGGCTGGCGGGAGCTTGCACGGAGCAGAGGAGACCAGCTGGGGTCCTGGAGAGGCAGGTGAGAGGGCAAAGGTGACTTGGCCTAGGCTGGGCCCTGGGTGGAGGGAAGTAGACTGAGGTCTGTCTTAGAAGGACAGCCAAGAGGCCATGCTGATGGATTGGAGGTGGTGGGGTGGGGTCGAGGATGACTGCCCATAGCTCTGTCTGGGCAGCCCTGGCCAAGATGGCAGAAGGAGTGTTTCACCTCACCACCACTCCCCACTCCTGCCTGTGGGCTGCATCCGTGGGGGTGAAGGGAAAGGACTTCCTCCCTCCTCCCTGAGGTGGCCGAAGCCTTTGGAGCATATGAAAGGTGCTTTGTGGTGGGCAGCCTCCCTCCCCAGGAGCCTCTGGGCACTGGGCACTCTGGTTTCTGGGTCCAGGTTTCACTGAGGGCTCGGGAGTGGCAGCAGCGGGTGATGGTGGTGGAGGGGAACACTGAGGCGCATTGAGAAGGAGCTCCGGCCCCCAACAACTTCTTAGGAGGTGAGGGGCACTGGAAGAGATAAACTCCCACAGTGTCCCTGGCCTAATCCCGCACACTGCCCTCCTGGGTCACTCCAACTGGACCCAGGCCCAAGGACAAAGCCCCAAGCCAGAGCTCTTCTCTGGCAGGGACTGAGCTGGCTCTAGGCATCACCTGTGTGAACTGATGTATCATTCATCCAGGGCTGCCTGGCACCCAGCAGATCCATCGTTCTGGGCGCTGAAAATACCTCCTCCCCCTTCACCTCCACAGTTCCCAGGACTGATGTCCACTGAGGAGGCCCCAGGATGCCAGGCTGCCCAGCCTCCAGACCACAGTTGGCCCCAGGGGACTGGCATGGCCTGAAGATGGAGCCCGTTCATCTGAATGTACCTTCAAAAGGGAAGGGAGGAGGCAAATGTGGAGGGTGGGGGTTGGCTGGCAGCCTCGCCTTTCTCTACCTGTCAGGGACAGGGTGGCCTGGCGACACCCCTGCAGGCTTCAACTGTCAAGATCGAAGCTCGTGTGAAGGAAAGGGGCTAGGTTTATGTTTCTCCCCAGGCCCAAACAGGAGAAGCCAGATTTCGCCTTAGTGAGGACACATTTGGGTGGATCTCAGAGAGAACTTCCAGGGACAGGAAGAACTTCTCAGCGGGTAGGGGGTGGTTCTGAGCAATGACTTTGGGCTCCTGCAGATCTGGTTCATACCTGGGCTTTCTACTTAGTGCTACTTGCCTGAACCAAAACTCTGCTATTTTCCGTGGCTGAGATGGGTAGCTATCGTACTTCCACACTGGAGGACTTACAGCCAGACAAACCTGGGGTTCAAATCCCAACTCAGCAGGCTCGGCATGCTGTCTCACATCTGTAGTCCCAGCTACTCAGGGGGCAGAGGCAGGAGGATTGCTCAAGCTCAAGAGTTCGAGACCAGTCTGGGCAACATAGTGAGACCCTGTTTCAAAAAATAAAAATTAAAAGAAATCCCAACTCAGCCTCTTCATAGTTGTGTGACTCTGGGCCAGTTTTAATCAGTTTAATTCTGAAGCTCCATCATAATCCCCATCTCTGAAATCCCTTCAGGGTTATTGAGAGCATCAAATGAAATGTCATCTGAAAAGCACAAAGTAAGCCCTCAGCACACGATTGTGATTTGGTAATTTTTAGTATCAGGTCCCTAACAAAATTGTGAGCTGTCTCTGGGATGGTTTGAATGCAGCCTCCTAGAATCCCTTCCAAGAGTGAGGTCTCTTCTCAGGAGTGCGGTCCCACAGCCTTGTGTGTTTTAAGGATTGCTGTTCAAAATGTGGTCCTCAGATCAGCAGTGTGGCCATCATCTGGGAGCTTGTTGGAAATGCAGACACTTGGCCTCCCCCAAGATCTGTAAGTCACCGTCTGCATTTTAACATGCACAGGTGATTTGTGTGCACCATAAAGTTGGAGAAGCAATGTTTGAAGGTCCATCAGAGCCCTTCTACAGGAGGTCTACTGTGTCTTTAGGGCTCTCTTGGTGCTTGGTTACGTTCAGTTCATTCACATAATACAAACAACTGAGCCTGCAATGAATCCATTTCTGACTCAAAGTAGAGGTGCATGGGGAGACAAGGATTTACAGGGGTAACTTGGTGAGGGCTGGTTTCTTGGCCTCACATCCTTACATACACCTGAGCTGCCTGCCTGTTTCTGGTATTCTGTGGGAGGGAGTCGTGAGTAACAGCCCTCTCTCCCCATCACTAGCCCAACCAGGAGGATGCTCAGGTCCCAACCACACGCCCTCATCAGATATAGATCAGAACATTCTCTCTCCCCTCCCTTCCAAGATGGGGTGAAGTTTTGGGCCAAGGAGATTGCTAAGATTTTTATTTTAGAAGTTCCCTGATTGGAGATGGGCAAGACTGGCTCATGAACTCTCTGTGGTTTTGAAGATAGGGTGGCATGAGAACGTCTAAAGCCTATGTCTGGAGTTACGTCGTACTGTTAGGATGGAAAACAGGCTCTTGTAAGATGTCTCTGGAAAAAGTTAAGTCAACAAAATAAAGTGAAGCCAAGCATGGTGGCACACTCCTGTACCAGCTACTCGGGAGGCTGAGGTGTGAGGATCACTTGAGCCCAGGAGTTTGGGGTTACAGCGAGCTATGATCATGCCACTGCACTCCATCCTGGGTGGCAGAGTGCGACCCTGTCTCTAAACAAAATTGGTTTTAATTTCAAAAAAGAAAAAAAAGTGAAATTTGAAAGGAGCATATTTTGCTCTTCTATATAAAATAACCATTGCAGACCTAAGCTTCAAAGTAAAGGAGCCAGGGAGGAGAGTTGAGATGAGTGAGTGACTGGTAATTTGGTGGCCAGGTAATTCTTCTCTGATTGGCACAGTTTTTACTCCTGGCCTCTTGTTTCTGATCTGAAAGACGAATTAACCAGTTTAATAGTTGGTAGTTGGTGAAGATGGCTTAAGTGAGACCTATGTGGTCTTGTTACCAGAAAAACTTGCTGGTGAAAGACAGAGGGTGGAGCAGCTGTTCACGATGTGAGCCCAGTGGTCCAGAGATAACAATTCGTTGAATTGGCTGTAGGGAAAAAGTTGCAAACAGCTTTCTAAGGAACTTTGTGTGAGGCCTGGAATTTCAACAAATTAAACTATTATAAATGAGAGAGAATGTCTGCTTAAGGATTATAGCTACTACTTATTAAGCATATACTTCTGCCAGATACTGTGCAAAGGATTCATGTGCTTATGTTGTCTCATTTAATGACAAGTCTACTTGACACATGAAGACTCACAGGCTAGAAGGGGTGCATGACTTACCCAAGGCCACTCAACTAGTAAGAGGCAGAGCTGGGCTTCAAACCCAGTTCCCTCCACTTCCAAGCCCAAGCTCTTGATAACTATTCTTTTTTTTTTTTTTTTTTTTTTTGAGATGGGGTCTTGCTCTGTTGTCCAGGCTGGAGTGCAGTGGGACAATCTCGACTCACTGCAACCTCTGCCTCCTGGGTTCAAGCAATTCTCCTGCCTCAGCCTCCCAAGTAGCTGGGATTACAGGCGCCCACCACTATGCCCGGCTAATTTTTTTTTTTTTTTTTTTTTTTTTTTTTGGTAGAGGCAGGGTTTCACCATGTTGGCCAGGCTGGTCTCAAACTCTTGACCTCAAGTGATCTGCCCACCTTGGCCTCCCAGAATGCTGGGATTACAGGCGTGAGTCACTGCACCCAGCCTTTGACCACTATTCTTTATGTCCTTGCCACAAAGTGGGATTGACCAAAGATGTACTGTCTGGAGATTAACAGTTAAGATTTGGTATAAAATGGCAGGTATGTTGCCTGCACCAGGGTGTTTGCATTATCTTTAAACCTTGTTTCAAGTATTATCTCATTTAAATATATATATATACATATTAGAGGTTGATCAATGTTGTCCTTTTAATAAAGTATCACATTCTTATGGTAAAAGTTTTAGCTAGATTACATTATTTTCTCAGTCACCTTTCACTTAATCTATCAACTGCTACCAGCCACCTAGTGGCAGATGCTGGAATTGCAGGCATAGTGTCCAGAAGGAAATAATTGAATTCTGGAAAGCTGGCTTTGGAAACCCAAACCTATGAAGTAACTCTGTAATGATAATCATCACAGATATTATTTCCTAAACCACGATTCAACAGAGTACTGAAAACAAGGAAGAAAGATGTCCCACTTTACTGTTATGTTTCTATGTGACACGAAAACTGAGAAGTTTTCCTTTGAGGCACCAAATAGAACCTTAGGAAAAGTCGCAGGGTTTTACTTATTCATTCCTAAAACTTGGTGAGGGAGGAACTCTGGGCCTGGGGTCTGCTTTGCTGTCCGGTTTCTTTTGCTGTGCATGACAGCAGTTTCTCCAACATTAGGGTGGTGTTCTTCTGTGCATTGTAATAGATTTGTATTTATTAGTTCAGAATCCCCCATAAGGATAAGTCACAGCCCTTCTCTGAGCCTGAGTTCCCTCGTCTGTGAAATACAAGTATTGGACTTGATGCTGTCTAGGTTTTCTCATAGTCCCAGCATTTAGTGATCTAATAGCTATTAAGACCAAAGGAATAAATGCCTAATAATGGAATATCATGCAAAGGGGAAAACATTTTAGGAGAACAGGAGTCCTCTAGGCCTGCCTCAAATCCCACTGTACTGGCAGAACGTGGCTGCCTCTGTATAAGGCAAGCCTTGTGCCCTTCCCACTCCCCTGTTCCACTCCTCCATTTCCTTTGGAAGGCAGAGAAAGCCCCCTTGTCCTGAATGTTTCCCTGCAAAGGGCTCCTGCTGAAAGACTGCATACACAGCCAAGACTTTGACCTTCACCTTTGCCCCTCACTGACTTGGTGAAAAAGAGTTCTTATCCTCCCCTCTCTAGGTTTGGGAGGCGGGGAATCAGCTAGGGTTAGTAGGAATTCAATGAAAATATAAATAGAAACATGATCTATAAATAACAGTGCCCCAAAATATCAGGAGGCATGAATACCGGCTGGGCAGCAGACAGTCACAGATCACGAGGGCCTGGACAGGGAGTGCGGGTTATTCGGTTGCTTTGGTGTCTCTTGGGATGCTTCCAACTTGCCAGTGGGCTTGGAGAAACCCTCTCTCTTTCTGGACTCTAGAAACGCCCTCTTTGTTGCCTCTCTTGCACCCATCTCTAGCTAAACCTTCCTTAACACTGCCTGGAATTAGATCTGGTGTTTAATCCCAGCAGTGTGTGACTTGGGGAAATTCAGAAGATATCTCTGAGCTTTAGTTTTTTCATCTGTGCCCATGAGGATTTTTAAAGCTGGAGATTTTGAAGAGCAAGAACCGTATCTCATTTTATCTTGGTTAACAGGGTGGAACCTAGGGCCAGATTGCCTGGATTCAGATCCCCATAGTGCTCCTTACTAGTTGTTTGGCCTTGGAAAAGTTACTTAACCTCTCTGTGCTTTAATTTCCTTGTTAAATGGGAAGAATAATGGTATCTATATTGTTGGGCTGTTGTGAAGAATAAGTTAGTTAATATTTGTAAAATGCTTAAAATAGTGTCTGGCACATAGTAGACATATATAAATAATTATTAAGCAAGGAAACAAATCTATATATCCCCCGTGCCTACAGCGTTACCTGGTATGTAGTAGCTGCTCAATACATGTGTAGCATGAATGACTGAATGACCTATCTATCTTGTAGTCTACAAAAGTCATTCAATAAGATCATGCGTGAATTCTTTCTAAGCCACAAAGTTCTATACAAATGAAAGTGGGAATATTAATCTTACCTACTAGGGTGACAGTTTGACAAGGGTTAAAGGTACACTCCCTTATTATCCTCATTCATCTTCTCTGCCTTGCATACTCTGCATTCTATTGGTCTGGGGGAAATGCCTGGAGCTGAGACAGCTCAGTGGTAGAAAAAGTCCGTTTCCCGCTGTGGTGTTCTGCGGCAGTGCCAGCCTCTCTGCGTGGCCTAGCACTGCCCTGCCCTTCTTAGCATTAGGCCCTCATTGTGGGTAGTGCTGACAAAATTGTTCACAGGCAAAGCAAAGCAAAGCAAGCTCTTAAGCAGACAAACAATTGGCTGTGTCGCATTTTGCTATATACAGATTTTAAATATAAATAAAAGAAACAAAAAAAGCCCGTGCCCCTCAACAAAGCAACCTGAATGGACAAGGCAGAAAGAGCATTGACCCCGGAGTCAGGTGCTGGGTTCTAGGCTCAGGCCTGCCTCAGCTTGTGTGTAGGATGGGGACCATCCCATCAGCTCTCTGAGCCTCCCCAGGTCTGGAAGGTATTAGATTCTGTCAGTAATTCTCAGCCTCAGAGGTACATGAGAATCGCTCAGGGGGCTCATGAAAAAGGCAGACTCTCGCCCTGTCCATCCCCTTCCACTTCAATTCAGGGTGTCTGGGCAAATTTTAGGAACTTCATTCGTTACCAGTGTTCCAAATATCTCTGATTCAGGTAACACAGGGACCCTGTCCTTCCAAAAGGAGTGCTAGGCCTTGTAGTAGTTACCTGGGTAACAAATCATCCCCCAAAATTAGCAGCTTAAAACGACAATAAAAGGCCAGGCACGGTGGCTCATACCTGTAATCCCAGCACTTTTGTAGGCCAGGGTGGCAGGATCACTTGAGCCTGGGAGTTCGAGACCAGCCTGGGCAACATAGAGACCCCCATCTCTACAAGAAATTTTTTAAAATTAGCTGGGCATGGCATCATGCACCTGTGGTCCCAGCTACTTGGGAGGCTGAGGTGGGAGGATCACTTAGGCTCGGAGGTCGAGGCTACAGTGAGCCAAAATTGTGCTACTGCACTCCAGCCTGGGCGACATAGCAAGACTCTGTCTCCAAACAACAACAATAAAAATGTATTATCTCAGCATAGTCTCTGTGGGCCAGGAATTCAGAACTGCTTAACTGGATGGTTCTGAGTCAGAATCTCTCATGAGGTTATAGTCGAGATTCAGCTGAAGGCTTGACTGCAGTTAGAGGACCCACCTGCAAGACGGCTTGCTCATCTCGCTGGCAGACTGGCGCTGGCTGCTGGCAGAGGCCTCAGCTCCTTGCCACATGGATCTCCACAGTGCTGCTTCAGCATCCTTACAACATGGAAGCTGGCTTCCCTCAGCATGAGTATCTGGGAAAGAGATGAGGAAGGCAGTTACAATGTTTTTATAATCTAGCCTTGTAAGTCATACGATTATTCCCACAATATCCAATTGCTTCCACAGGTCAGCCCTGGTTAGTATGGGAGGGGACCACGAGGCAAGAGTCACTGGGGCCATCTTGGAGGCTGACTTCCACAGCCTCCTTTGAGTCCTCAGTTCTATGAAACACTGTTAGTGGATGGCAGCTCTTGTTGTTGGGTTAGGATTTGTAGAAATTGGAGGCAGGAAAGACAGCTGAGTTGGAGACCCTAGCAGATGTAGCCTGGAAGCACAGAAGCACAGAAGCTTATAGGCTACGTTTGCTAGGCTGTCTGTAAGCCAGAACCAGGCTGCCAGGTCGGGTGCCCTTTGAGTTCAGCCTGGTCACTGAGTTGCTAAGAGAAGGTGGGCAAAGCGTGACCCTCTCAGAGCTTAGCTTTGACTTCAGAAGGTGAGGAGGCTGGACAAGATGGCCTCTGGGGTCACCTGGTCTTCACCCCTGTGTTCCACATGGGCTGTGGTGTGAGTTTACGTTGTATGTGCCCAGCCAGTGACCAGGCCCAGGCTGCTCCCCGAGCTCCTGAGATGTGAGGAAGGCTGGGTGCAGTGGCTCCCACCTTTGGGAGGCCAAGGCGGGTGGATCACCTGAGGTCAGGAGTTCGAAACCAGCCAGGCTAACATAGTGAAACCCCATCTCTACTAAAAATACAAAAATTAGCCAGGTGTGGTGGCACATGCCTGTTATATCAGCTACTTGGGAGGTAACAGAGCGAGACTCTGTCTCAAAAAAAAAAAAGAAAGAAGAAAGAAAGAAAGACTTCAGGAAGAAGGGCTTCGGGCAGGGTCTGAAGGTTCTGGTGTCTTCTCACCGTGAACATTATGGTCCTTGGCCTTGGAGGTCCAGGAACTCAGGCATTTCTGAATATGCAACTGTAGTGGCTTCAGTGTGCTCTGTGTGGCCATTCAGTCTCTTTGGCACCTTTCATAACCCCACCCCAGGGACCTCCCAGCATGCGTCCTGATGCACGTACCCACTGGACTCCCTTCAGCTTCTCAGATGTGCCTGTCTCTTCAGTCTCTGGGCCTCTGCTCAGACTCTCCCTCTACCTGGAACACTCTTCCCGCTTCCCTTTGCCTGTCTCACTCTCTCCACTTCCTCAGCCCTGTCTCCCTCCTGCGTGTGCCTATGACAGCCAACACATCACAGCGCAGTGCCCATACACAGTATCCTTTGCGAGGGCAGGGACCGTCACCATCACAGCCCAGCCCCCAGCACAGTGCCAGCATTTGGGAGGGAGTGAATGGGTGTTGCGTGTTGCCCCTTCTTTCAGGGATGGGGTAGGGTTGAGATGTACCCCGTCAGGAAAGCTGGCCACAGGTTGCACAGCCCGGGGCTCAGGGAAAGGAAGGAAGATAGCAGAATCATTAGGAGCCTAGGCATGTTCAGTCTGCCCAAAGAAAGAGACTGTGGCACACCCAATCCCAGCTCCACCACTTCCTCGCTTTGCAACCCTGGGCGGGGCACTCAACTTTTCTTACCTTCAGTTTACTCATCTGTAAAGTGAGAATAACAACAGCACCCAGTATGTAGCTCAGAGGTTGTTATGAGGATCAACTGTCATAATAAATATAAAGTACACGGCACAGGGCTTAGCACATACCAAGTGCTCAATGAATGTTACGTCCTCTTAATGTTACTGTCACCATCCTTGCAGGAGATGGGTGGAACCACAGAAAATGCTGGTGGGAGGTTGATGAAGAGAGTTGACTGTCTGGGCTCAGTTTTGCCAACAGAACCAAAGCTCAAGGAAAGCAGGCTTTGGGACAGGCGCGGTGGTTCAAACCTGTAATCTCAGCACTTTGGGAGGCTGAAGTGGGTGGATTGCTTGAGCCCAGGAGTTCAAGACCAACCTAGGCAACACAGTGAGACCTCATCTCTACAAAAATAATAAATAAATAAATAAATAAAATGAAAGCAGGCTTTGGTGGACAGTGTCCATCCCAAGAGAGCCAGGCAAACTCCCCTGTGGCTGGCCTGGCCAGGCCTGTGGTTTTGGGCCCTTTACCGACAGGCCTCTGCTTCCTGCGGCTTTTCCTCTGTCTCAGAGCCTCAGAAGTGAGTGGGTGTCTTTCAGCATCATCACTGCGACCCAGGACTTCCATCTGCCTGCCCCACAGCCTCCTCATCTGGCTGGGCCATTCTGCAGTGTTTCTCTGAGCTCCAGAGGCCTCGTGCCCCTCGCCAAGCCCCCCACACTGTGGACCATGCCACAGGGAGAGGCTGCCAGGAAGCTCTGCCCAGCGTCCCACCGTCTTTCCTGAGGGCAGCCTCCCCTGGAGGGAGGAGCCGAGGCTGCACAGGCTGAATGGGGCCCTTTATTCCCGGCTCCCACAGGGAGGGTACAGAGCCACTGCCCACCACGCCCACCACACCCACGCCCACATGGAGGGGGTACAGCTTGGCCCTGATGCCGGCCTCTGAGCTAACCACACTCTGGCCCCACTGTGTCTGCGTCCTGGAGGGTGAATCCACCCCTCTCCCCAGCTCTGGCTGAAGCTGCCGTCCCTAATGTGTGGGGTGAGCTGTATTTGCTAGTCTGCCAGGGGTCTGGGGGTGTGTAAATGAGAGACAGCCTAGAGCAAGCCAGTGTGAACACACACTCACACTCACTCACCTTTCAGCAAGTCGCGGTCGGGGTCCCTGTGTGCCCGTCCTTGTGCTGGGCCCTGAGGATACGTTCGTGGGCTTCACTGGCTGCAAGAAGCTTGCATTCTGTCCTTAGGGAACGCTGTAAAGAGGCAGGTTCAGAAGATCATTATCAATGGTGGCAGATTCTGGGAGGGAAACAACGGAGGCCGGAGAGAGAGGGCACATGGCCACCAAAGGCCTCCCAATGAGGGATGCAAGGCAATGGCTGGGCAAAGGGCAGCAGGAACAGTGCTCCAGGAACAGGAACAGGGACAGCGAACACACAGGCCTGAGGTGGGGAAGAGCAGGATGTGTCTGTGGCGTGGGCAGAGTGACAGGAGATGGGCGGGCGGAGAGAGAGGCAGGAGCTGAATCCTGCCCGGCCACAGAAGGGAGTTTGGATTTTATCCTCAGTGCCCTGGGCAGTCACTGAAAGGGTTAAGCAAGGGTTATGGTTTGAGAATATTATTCTGAGGCCAGGCGCAGTGGCTCACGTCTGTAATCCCAGTACTCTGGGAGGATCGCTTGAGCCCAGGAGTTTAAAACCAGCCTGGGCTACATGGTGAAACCCAGTTTCTACAAAAAAATACAAAAAATTAGCCTGGTGTGGTGGCGCATGCCTGTAATCCCAGCTACTCCGGAGGCTGAAGTGGGAGAATCACTTGAACCCGGGAGGCAGAGATTGCAGTGAGCCGAGATCACTCCCCTGCACTCCAGGCTGGGCAACAGAGCAAGACCCTGTCTCAATAAATAAATAAATAAAAATAAAAAAGAAAGAAATGGTTCTGGTCCCACTGCTCTAGAATGCTGCTCAAAAAGACTTCCATTCCATTTGGTTCAGCAAAGATGTATTAGTCCCTCCATGGGCCTGGGACTAGGTGCTTTATCACTAGCAGACACCCATAAAATCCCAGTTGACCCACCTGGGGTGAGGGAGAGAAAGATACTGTTCCCTTCAGCCTGGCTCTGCTTACTGGGTATGGGAACCTCCGAACCAGAATTTGGGAGATCGTTCTTCCCTCCAAGGTGCGCTGATGCTTTCTGCAAGCAAGCCGTGGCTGCAGGAGGGTGAAGGCTTCACTCTGTCGTGAACCCCAGTGGGCTTTTGCAAGTGTGTTTCCCTGGGCGTGTGGGAGAGGGAGTGGGGAGTGCTGGAGCGGGCAGACACACCTGTGTGAGTCACCCTAGAATGCCCCTAGGGGGCGGGTGGAATGAACAATTGGCCTCCTTGCCATTGTGTCACGTCCTCTGCCCTCTGAGTTGGGCCTCCGAGAAACGGAAGCCGTGTGGGAGACACAGATGTGTTTATGGGTTGGGTGAATCAGGAAGGGCAGCCGCAGGCTGAGGGGAGCTCGTGTTTGGCCTTGGTGGGAAGCCAGGTGGATGGACTGGGTGCCTGGGAAATGCTTCTGGTACTTGGATTCCACGTGGCCAGCAAGGAGACAGGCAGGGCCCACCCCACCCCATCCCACCTCCTTGACCTGGAAGTGTCAACTCATAAGAGATCCCATTTGTTCACCATTTGCCATGGGCTGGGCTCCATGCTAAATGCTTTTACAGACTCATTCACTGGCTCCTCGTAATAGTCCTTTGCATTAGACATTACTGCCTCCCATTTTGTAGTCTGAGGAAACTAGCATTCGAATAGGTTATGACTCATCCCCTGTCACATAACAGTAACTGGCAGAGCCAGATGTACCAGTCAGGACTCTCCTGGTGACAAGAAATAGACCCATCTCAATCTGGCTTAAGAAAAAAGGGGAAACTTATTGGTTCACATAACTGAAAACCAAGAGTAATGGTTTCAGGCATAGCTGGATCTAGGGGACCAAATCTGTGTCTCTTAAGCCCTCAGCTTTGCTGTCTTTTCTGTTGACTTAATTCTCTGATAGGCTTCCCCCAGGTGGTAACAGAGATACATAAAGATGCTTCCTAGCAGCTTGGGGCTTGGCATTTATGAGTTAGCAGCTGTAGAGAGAGAACACATCTCTTCCTGGTAGTTCCAGCAGTAGTCCCAGGCTGATTCCCACTGGACCAATGTGGGTTGCATGCCCATGGCTGGACTGTACTTAATGATCAGCCCCAGAGTTTGGGATGGGATCAACCCCACTGAAATCCCATGGACTGAGAATGAAGGAGGGATTGTTTCCCAAAAGAAAATCGGGCACTGTAATAATTAAAAGCTGGCAGACAAAACCTACCAATGTCTACCATGCTAGACTTCAAGCCAGAGGCAGCATCTTGGCTCTAAAGAGAGATTCATGGGAGCCAGAACTCAGGGCATGGTGTCAGTATGCCTCAGGCTGCTGACCTTCGCTATGGGGATTGTGTCTTTCCGGAACCTGCATGTGCCCACTGCTTCCAGCCTCAGCATCTAGGCCTCACTCCTGCCTTCCCCCAGCCCAAGTAAATGGCAACAAAGCCAGATGTTGCAAGTGAAGAAGGAAGGATTGGGTGTCAGGGTGTGATCTGAGCCAGGTACAAGGCTGTAGACTCTGGGGATGTCATCTCAGCTGCACCAGAAGCTGGAGGCAGCCCAGCAGGGGAAGAGGTGACCTGCAGTCCCCAGGCTGCAGAGGGTCAGAGGTGACATGTGAGTTTCAGGGGCAGCACTTAAAAAGACAAGCAGGGGCCAGGTGCGGTGGCTCATGCCTGTAATCCCAGCACTTTGGGAGGCTGAGGCGGGCGGATCACCTGAGGTCGGGAGTTCGAGACCAGCCTGACCAACATGGAGAAACCCCATCTCTACTAAAAATACAAAATTAGCCAGGTGTGGTGGCACATACCTGTAATCCCAGCTACTAGGGAGGCTGAGGCAGGAGAATCGCTTGAACCCGGGAGGTGGAGGTTGCGGTGAGCCGAGATCATGCCATTGCACTCCAGCCTGGGCAACAAGAGCGAAACTCTGTCGCAAAAAAAAAAAAAAAAGACAAGCAGGGGCCTGCCATTCAGCCACTCCCACCCTAGCCTAGGCAGGGCTAACCCAGGTGAAAGCTGGGTGGCCCCATGGTCAGGAAACAGCTGAACATCAAGAGCAGGGCCAGCTTTCAGGAAGACAGGGGAGCCAGTAGAGGCTGTTCCGCCGTTCTTCTCCCCTGCCCATTACATCCAGTTCCATCAAGGCCTCTCTGCTCTATGCTCTCTTCCCTAGCGAGACCCTGTTATTGAGTGAGAAGCCGGTGCCTGCTCATACTCAGGTGTGAATGGTTAATAAGGCTCACTGTACCATTCTCCAGGAAAAAGTTGATATATCTTGACGAAAATCTTAAAGAAACTAAATTCTGATTCTGCAATCTCAGGCATCAAAGAAGTAGATTGTGAGTTTGTTTGTTTTTAGAGTTGGGTATTCTTAGGGCCCAGGGCATACCCTCTTGGTGTCTGCTTGCTTTAAACCATCAAAAGTCCCAGCCTGGGCCAGGTGCAGTGGCTCAGGCCTATACTCCCAGCCTTTTGGGAGGCTGAGGCAAGAAGATCACTTAAGACCAGGAGTTCGGGACCAGCCTAGGCAACATAACAAGACCCCATCACTATAAAAATGTAGTCGGGTGTTGTGTGCACCTGTTACTTCGGAGGCTGAGGTGGGAGGATCACTTAAGCCCAGGAGTTCAAGGCTGAAGTGAGCCATGATAGAGTCACTGCACTCCAGCCTGGGTGGCAGATGAGATCCTCTCTCAAAAACAAACAAAAAAAGAGTCCCAGTCTGCTTCTCCTTGGACCAGCTTGGATCACCGAGCCTCAGTGACTCGGTGAGTTGGGGGTTGGTAACAGCCTCTCTGAAATCAAACAGACTTAGAATGAAAGAGGGGTCGTTTGTGTTTTGTTTTTAATGGTGAAGAAAGCCCCATTAGTGGAATCATGGTTATATTCTCTCTGCCCTCCCCTGCCCAGGGCCCTTCATTTAAGAGCTTCTGTCTTCATCAATCTGTCAGCAAACAACACGGATGGAGGCGCCTGGTGAGGGCAGCTGGACATGGGATCCTTGGCTGGTCCAGCCCACTTTGCACAGGGACCTGGTCAGGTCTCAGGACCACAGAGAGCTGTGGGAGTAGGAAACTTAACTTCTCCTCCTTCCTCCCACATGCATTGCCTGTGTCTTATCACCCCACGAGCATGCGTGTCACCCTTGAGGGGGGGAGGGAGGTTCCCTCTAGGAATCCTCACATCTTCTTTCCTCCAGTTCATCTGGGAAATCTGTTCGTCTCTTCTCTCCTGGGTGTCACATCAGCCCTCAGAGCCAGAGAAGGACCCGCCCCCCCATTCTCTCGGCTTCAGGTCCCCACAGCTTGCCTGTCTCCTCTCAGGCTGAGACTCCGGAGCTGCTCTGTTCAGACACTCCCCTGTCCCCCACGAGGGCTTCAGGCTGCACTCATATCCATTTCACCCAGCGCCATGCCAGACATTTCCAGGGATTCAGGGAGTATAGAAACCACCCCTGTCCTTGGGGCCACTGAAATCCGCTTAGGGATATAGGGCCCTGTCAGGTGACTGGTATGCCCTGTGACTCTCCCATAACTACCCTGCGGTAGGTTGAATAATGGCTCCCAAAAAGATATATCCAAGTCCTAACCCTTGAAACCTGTGAATCTGGCCTTATTTGGAGAAAGGGTCTTTGCAGATGTAATCAAAGATCTTAAAATTAGATCATCCTGGATATAGGGTGGGCACTAAACTCAGTGACAGGTGTTCTTATAAGAGAAAGGCAGAAGGAGATGTGGGACACAGGCATGGGGCGGGAAGGCCATGTAAAGACTGAGACAGAGATCGGAGTGATGCTGCCACGAGCCAAGAGATGCCTGGAGCCCTCAGAAGCTAGAAGAGGTGCAGAAGAACTCTCCCTGATGCCGCCAGAGGGAGCGTGACCCTGCTGGCACCTTGATTTCAGACTTCTGACCTCCAGAACTGGCAGAGAATACATTCCTGGGTTGTTGTTTGATTTGAGACAGTCTCACTATGTCACCCAGGCTGGAGTACAGTGGCACGATCATGACTCAGTGCAGCCTCAACCCCCCAGGCTCAAGCGATCCCCCTACCTCAGCCTCCTGAGTAGCTGGGATCACAGGCGTGCGCCACCATGCCCGGCTGATTTTTTTTATAGCATTTTGTAGAGACAGGGTCTCACTATGTTGCCTAGTCTGGTCTTGAACTCCTGAGTTCAAGCGATCCTCCAGCCTCGGCCTCCCAAACAGCTGGGATTACAGGCATGAGCCACCATGGTCTGCCAAATTCCTGTTATTTTAAGCCACTGGGTTTGTGGTAATTTGTGCCAGCAGCCTTAGGTGACAACTGCCTCCCACCTTCCTTTCTGTTCTCAGACCCAGTTAGAAGGGCAGGAGGGCTGTCCTTGGAGCACGAGGCCTTTGCACCGTGCAGTCTGTGGGCTCCAGGCCCACCTGTGCTCTCCCTTGTTTCTTAGGCAAGTCTCCCTCGACAGCCTGGGCTCTCTGGGCTGCATTGAGGGGAGGGGTTTGTGAGCATCTGTATCCCTGGAGGCCAGGGTGGCTGGGAGGAGCTGGCCCTCCTTGAGCCCAAGGGGCTGCTGACCCTGTTGCTATAAATCAGGGATCCCCTTGAGAAGATGAGAGGGGGTCCTGAGGAGGGTGGCTTCCTGACAAATTCTCTAGGACAGCAGGGGAGAGAGGGCCAGAGTGGGGTGACTGCCAGAGGGCCCTAGTGGTTGGCAAGGAAGGGCGAGACAAGCATTCAAGGAAGGCTTCATGGGGGAGGCAGCATGGAACTGTGCCTTAAAGACAGAATGAGTGTTAAGTAGGCAGGCCCAAGGGCACTTAGAATAAAACCAAACTCTTTTCTGTGGCTGCAGGCTCCTCTCTTTTCTGTCTTCCATCATGTCCAGTTCCTTCTGCCCCAGGGCCTTGGCTGTTGTAGTTTCCTCTGGCCAAGCCCGCTTGTTCCAGAGCTTTGCACAGCTGCTTTTTCTCCTTGAAGGCTCCACTGAAGCCCAGAGAAGCTTCCTTGACCATTCTCTAAATTCTTCTCTAGGCACCCCTCTTCACATTACCCTGTGTTATTATCTTTGTAGAGATGGGGGAAGACCTGGAAGTATAACCAAATTACTCAATAGGTATGAAAATGTGTACTGCCTTCTTCCCGTGCCCACTCCCTTCCCAATTGGAAGGTAAACTCCTGAGAGCAAGGCCCTCATCTGTCTGGTTCACTGCTGTGCTCCCAGCGCCTGGAACAGAGCCCAGCACAGCAGGCCTCCATCAAGACAGTGCTGGGTGGATCAAGGGAAGGAAGGAAGGGTGGAAGGAAGGAAAGAAGGAAAGGCAGGGGGAAGTCTTCCAAGAATGAATGGCGTTCCAAGTGGCAGAAAGACAGGGAAAAAGGAGTTGTACATGCATGCATAGACACTGTGAGTGTGAAGAGGAGAGGCTGCCAGGAATAGATCAGCCTGCTCAGACCAGAAGAGGTCCCGAGGCCAGCCCTCTCTTACGGCTCCTATAATCAGTGCCCTCTTATTACCTCTACAAATGGGTCCTAGTTCATGGAGGTAGCTACCAAACTCTTCATGGCTGGTGTGGGGACCCTGGCCAGTGGTACTGTGTCTGGTGATTCTACTTGAGGCCCCAGGCCCTGGCTCTCATGGGAGTCCATCCCATAGGTACCGCTTTCCCAAGAAGAGCCCTGGAGGCTGTGGTTGGTTTGGGGGTTTAACTGTTCTCATCTCCCTTCACATGCAGAATAAAATCCAAAGTCCTCACGGTGGCTCTCAAGGCTTGACATGATCCAAGTGCAAAGATCATGGCTCCCCCACACTCTCTAAGCTTTAAAACCCCAGGTTGAAATCCCAGCTCAGCCACTAGATAGCTGTGTGACTTTGGACAGGTCCTTCAACCTTTCTGAGCTGCCATCTCCTCTAGGACAAAATGGGCCTGGTTAAAGTACTTGCTTCAAGGTTGTTGCGAGGATGAAGGGAGGGAATTCAGTGAAAAGCTCTTAGTGTGCACCAGGTGTGTGCTGAGCGCTTAGCTACCATTAACCCTTTCCTCCTTCCTCCTCTGCCCACTAACGTCCCCACTGTCAATCAATCTTAGGGCTTCCAGAGGTAGCAGCCATAGAGCCCAGGCCTCCGATGAGCACACAGCAGTCCCAGTGGAGAAGGGACCTGTTTCAGGGTCACACAGCCAGCCTGTGGCCCAGGTAGGACTTGAACCCCAGACTCCCACCGGAGGCCCCCACTCCTTCGCTGGTCTCACCCCAGCCCAGCCCAGAGTGGCAGGAAGAAGGACCTCCAGTTACTGCTTAGACGTCGCAGCTGCACAGCTTCTTCTCCGCTTTCAGGACTGAGTTAATCCTGATGAGTTAGGTCTGTCTCATGCCCCGTGCAATCTTCCTTGCGATGCTCATCAGATTCCTAGGGCGGCATCTGGATGGCTTTGAAGACTCTGGCAGAAGCTGAGCCCTGCCGTCAACGGGCTGCACTATATTTACAAGAGGCCTTTAATGCCCTGTGGTCCCGGCTTCCTTCATGGGGATTTTCCTCCCCCTCCTTTTTCTCTCCCCCTTTTTATACGGTCACCGGTTTGGCTTTCAGAGTGTGGTTTGGATTCCTAACAGAGAAGTCAAGACCGGAGAATCCCTTCCAGGCCCTCCCTCTCTCCCTCCCTCTCTCCCCCACTGGCCAATTGTGCCAAAGCCCTGGGAAAAGAAAACGTTGCTCCTGTCAGGATTTCAGCGGGAAAGGGGGAAGCCCCATTGGGCTTCCAAAAACTCAGCTGGGAATTGGCTTGTGCAGAAATTCTCCTCTGACCTTGCAAGTGAGCAGCAGATCCAGGAGCCTGGTGGGGAGGACTGGGCAGCCCCAGGCACAGTGGCCCGGTGGCCTCACTCAGAGTGCAGACTGGAGGGCAGGGCGGGGTCCTGTGCTTGGGGCCAGCATGGGGAGGAGTCAGGAGCACCCTCTCATCTACCTCCCCACCCCAACCTATCCCTCCCTTCTCTGGATCTCCTACACCTGTGGAGGCCTCAGTGCTCCTTAACTAGTTTTTAAAATGAGTTCTTCCCAGCACTTTGGGAGGCCAAGGTGGGCGGATCATCTGAGGTCAGGAGTTCGTGACCAGCCTGACCAACATGGAGAAACCCCACTCTACTAAAAATGCAAAATCAGCCGGGTGTGGTGGCACATGCCTGTAATCCCAGCTACTCGGGAGGCTGAAGTAGGAGAATTGCTTGAACCCGGGAGGCAGAGGCTGCAGTGAGCTGAGATCATGCCATTGCACTCCAGCCTGGACAACAAAAGTGAAACTCCGTCTCGGGAA
The DNA here is from genome assembly GCF_000001405.40 of Homo sapiens. Lineage (NCBI taxonomy): Eukaryota > Metazoa > Chordata > Mammalia > Primates > Hominidae > Homo > Homo sapiens. The sequence goes on along the minus strand of NC_000010.11, from coordinate 103,738,806 downwards.
AAAAAAAAAAAGAGAGTTCTGTCTGCAACTAGGACAGGAATGATCTAAGCCTCAGCCAGAGCTTTGGCTAACCTTGAGATTGGGGGCTGGGAGAGGGACCCCATTTATCTTCCCATCTCCCTGCTTTCTTTTTTGTCCCCCAACAGGATGAGAAAGGGCGGGAGTGCATTTTTGGAGGCTGAGGCCCTGCTCCATGCAGGTTTGTGGGCCCTCCCCCACCCTCCTGTGGTCCCCCTGGGTTTCCTCTGTATCTCAGACAGTCCTTCAGGGTCCTGCTCATACGGCTGGACCGCTGGTGTCACTGGGTCTGGGCATCCCTCAGCTTCTGACAAACAACTGCCTTCATTAGAAAGGCCCAGAATTCCAGCCCCAGGGCCACCCATCTTCTTGGCAGTCCTGAGCTCAGGTCACCTCATGTTTTTATTTTTACACAGCCTCCCCCTGGCCTCACACATGTAGCCTGTGGCATGTGAGCAATCAAGCGACAGGCAACCAAAAAAGGGTAGGAGGCAAAGAGGCAAGGAATACCGAATCTGTGACATCTTCCCCCAAGGAACAGCGGCGTCGCCAGTGTCTGGATAAATCACGTTTTATCTCCTTTCGAGAGGGACGCAGGGCAGAGCCGCTTCATCTTGGTGATGTCGTCTGTCTGCACAGTGTTGTCCATCTGACAGGGAGATGGCCCGGCCCTCTGGCTTCAGAGAAAAGATGATGAAGGAGAGCTTGAGCAAGAGTCCAGGAGAGGAACAAGAATGACCCAGCAAGCACTCATTGAGCATCTGCTGAATGCAAAGCCTAGTGCTCCATGTAGTGTGGGGGCAGACAGGAGGGGTGAGCTGCAGAGCCATCATGGAGAGATGAGAGATATCCACGGGAAGCAGGTCACATGCAATAGGATGCAGTTACACGTTCCACTGTCTGACTTCAGCAGGGCTGGCGACCAATGCTTGTGGTGGCAGGGAAGTCAGGGGTGGCTGCAGCTGGGGTTTTCATGGCCCCTGGGTCCCCTGTCTGTTCACTTCTGCCTACCAAAGGCTGCTCACTGGAGCCACTAGGGCCTTCTACCTCAGGGCTTTGTCTAGCCATGGGCACACACTCAGCCAGATGTGCTGGAGTTAACGCCCTCAGAGGCAGTCCTCAGTGACAAACAGGGAGTTGGTGGGTAGATCCCCAGCCTCCACATGTCAGGTACATTCTCTGTCATCTCCTGGAGCCCCCCAGCAGAATTGAGCTCTAGTTGCCCACCATGATTAACTGGCCTGATAACACTTCCTTCCCCTCCCTGCCCTTACTGTCCCACTCCCCTAATGATATTTCTTGGGATCGCCTCCAAAACAAGTCAAATCCTTGTTTCTGGGGCTGTGTCTGGGGGAATAATCTAAATCAAGGCAATGGCTTTTCTGAGTACTTCACTCGGACCTTGACAGAAGCAGCTGGTGTGGATTCATATGCAGTCTACCTGTCTGCTCACATGCAATGGAAATGATCTAAATTGGGTGTCCTTTAATTCAAGTTATGAAAACCCATCTTCAACTCATTTAAATGAAAAAGAAAATGGTATTGTTTTATGCAACTGAAAAGTACCAGGTGGACCCTGGTTTAGGAACAGCTACCGACATCCAGCTGCTGAAATGATGTCAAAGGGCTCTGTCTCTCCCTCTCTCCACTTGGCTTTTCAATCACTCAAGAAGCTTTTACCAAGCACCTGTCTTGTGCTAGCCACCCTTCCTTTCTCTCATTCCGTTTGCTTCCCAGGCCACTAGAGGTGCCAGGCTTTCATCCTGCCAGCTTAGCAACCGTGGGAAAAAGCAGTCTCAGGGCTGACTCTCATTGGCCCAGATTGGGTCCCTCCCCACCACTGAGCCAATCACTGTGACTCTGGCTGACTAGGCTGCATCCTGTGGCTACCTTTGTTGCTAGGGGGTGTGGCTAGACTGACTGACACCACAAGGACTGGGAGTGGAAGATGCCTTCTCCAGGGGGAAATTAGGTAGACTGAGGCAACAGATGCCCGTTACAGCTACAGGTGAGCACTTCATCATGTGCCAAGCTCATGGGCCCCAAAATGGGTCACAAGTGCTATAACTCACAGCAGAATGTGGCAGATAGCCTAGGAATGGACAACGAGTTGTGGATGTTCTGGAAAGAGGGACATTACTCCCAGCTCAGCCAATCAAGGAAGGCCTTCTGAAAAGGGGGCTTTGGCCCTAGACATTGACAGCCGCCTAGCACAGAAGTCAGTTGTGTAAGACCTTGAACATCAAACCAAGGAGTTCAGATTCTAAATTTCTCAGACTAGAAAAGGACTTATGTCTTGATGCATTTGTTATGATTGAATGTGGCCAGCTTGGGAGAGTCAGCTGGGAAGGTCTGAGGGGCTGGCATTTCCTGTAAGCCTTGCCCATACCTGTAGAGGGGTGTCCCAGCCCAGCTGGCAGCAGCCCGTATGGCTGGAGGCTGTGTGTGCAGCGAGGCCAGGGAAGAGTCAGGCTGGGACAGCCATGCTTCCCTTGGTATTGCCTTGTGCCCGCCCTGGAAGGAGCCACCCACCTAAACTAAGAATAGGAATTCCTGCCCAGCTGGCAGGAACGAATGCCGATTTCTCAAGGAGGGATGGGCCTGAAAACAAAGCGTAGCATGTGGGCTGGGCTCTACTTTGTGTTGATTTGCAAGGTCACTTGAGAGCCGCACCCACTCCGGGCATTCATTGATCCTGCCATTAGATCCAGGCAAGGTGGCCTGGCCAAGTCACTCATTGAATCCCAAGATGGCAGCCTCCAGGGCTCCTCACCCACCAGAGAGGTCCTGGGCTCTCAGCCTAGGGCGCCTCCTGCCCTCCAGGAAAGGTGACTGTTTCTCTCTTGTTTCCTTGACCGTGGACGGGGTGGTGGCAGGTAGTGCTGGACTAAGATGCTGAGAAGCCAAGGGAGAGGGGAATGAGAAGGTCTCTGTAGCAGTTTTAGCCAGAATCCCCCACTCATGAGCATCTCTCTTCCAGGCAAGATCCTCTTCCGCAGAAGCCACATCCGGGACGTAGCTGTGAAGAGACTGAAGCCCATCGATGAATACTGCCGGGTGAGAGTGTATCTGGGGCTGGGGGAGGGGCTCGGGGAGGGCTTCAGGGAGGAGAGGGGCCCATTTGCCTGAGTGTCCATCTGTGAGGAAAGGTTGCTGTACAGAACCGTCCTGAGGCCTGGTGTTTCCTGGCCAGAGGGGTGGGTATGGGATCACCCCGTAGCTGGGCCACCCTCTGGGACCCAAGGACCTCGGGTTCACAGCTAAGCTTCTGTGCCTGTCAGGACATATCCATGTTTACAAAACACAGTTTTAAGTCACTTCCTCTGGGAAGTGAACTGAGCTCAGGAGCTAAGTCAAAGAGCCTCCTTCTGAAGGGCTGCTTGCTTCTCTATGTGAGATTTTGCTGGACATAGAAGAACTATTTCTTTGAATTCCTGTTGGGATGTTGTTGGGATCAGTTCACTAGCATCAGCAGTACACATTTGTTTATTCACCTAAATCTTGGTAACTACAAATGTTCATGTACACATCTTTACAGATGCAGGTGTTCACACAAACACATGCACATTAACACAGCCAGTGCCAAAGAGCAGGCAGGAGAAGGACAGCAGTGTCATGAGCCAGAGCCCACCTGTCTGTCTTTGATTAGAGCCCAGCGCTGCTGCAGAGAGCATGAGTGGCTACCAGAGGATGAGCGGCCCTCAGTTTCCTTGGCACATGGCCTCTGGAGGGCCAGTCTTCCTGGGTTGGAAGCCCTGTCTAATTTCATGAACTTGGGCAAGTTACTGAACTTCCCTGAGCCTCTATTTCCACATCCGTCCAATAGGGAGGAGAACACACAGGGTGCCTCCACACGGTGGTCATGAGGATGGAATGAGCTGGCACATTGTAAGGCAACAGCACAGCGTCTGGCTCAGAAGAAGCATTCAGCAGATGCTTTTGTTATTATTTTTACAAAGGGCAAACAATTTGTATTAAATAAACAAGCAAATGAAAAAGCTTTATTTTTTAAAAATTTTTATTTATTTATTTATTTTGATGAGACAAGATCTTTCTCTGCAGCCCAGGCTGGAGTGCAGTGGCACCATCTTGGCTCACTGTAACCTCCACCTCCTGAGTTCAAGCAATTCTCATGCCTCAGCCTTCCGAGTAACTGGGATTATAGGAGTGCGCCACCATGCCTGGCTAATTTTTGTATTTTTAGTAGAGACGTGGTTTTGCCATGTTGGCCAGGCTGGTCTCAAACTCCTGGCCTCAAGTGATCTGCCTGCCTTGGCGTCCCAAAGTGCTGGGATTACAGGCGTGAGCCACCGCACCCAGCCATATTTTTAACATGTTTTTGAGACAGGGTCTCGTTCTGTTGCCCAGACTGGTGAAAAGGCTTTATTAAAAGCAAATAAAAAAAAAAAACAAGCAAATAAAGCAAACACAAAATAATTTAATGTTTCTACTGGGCACCATTGGCTTTAATAGAGCTAGAATTTCGTAGTTAAATGAAACCCACTGTGGTTCCTGACTCAAAAATCTTGAGAAGATGTGGTATAATGTGTTATAATGTGGCAAATAAGGTATAAAATTTCACAAGTGCTGGTATTAGAGTATCAGAAGGAGAAGAGCTGGAGTCGAATCCCGGTGCCCACTTACTAGCTACGTGACCTTGGGCAAGCTGCTTTGCCTCTTTGAGCCCTAGTTTCCTCATCTGTAAAATGAATATAAAAACACTACCTCACATGGGAGCTGAGTAGGGAGAATGTATATCACAGTGTCCTCATACAGAGCTGTTGCAGGAGGAGCACTTGAGGCCAGGAGTTTGAGACCAGCCTGGGTAGCATAACGAGACCTCATCTCTCCAAAAAAAAAAGTTTAAAATTAGCCAGGCGTGGTAGCACACACCTGTAGTTGAGGTGAGAGGACTGCTTGAGTCAGGAGGTCAAGGCTACAGTGAGCTATGATCACGCCACAGCACTCTAGCCTGGGTAACAGGGAACGATCCTGTCCCTAAAAAAATAAAATAAAATAAAATAAATAAAAAATGTTTAAGAACCAACTTGCTAAATTTATTAACTGGCATTCCCAAGCCTATAGGAAGAAAAGACAATGTAGTCTTCATTAAACTGAAGTTTGAATTTCGTGACTGTGAACATTATACTTGGGTCACATGTTCTGCCTTATTTTAAAAGGATGCCCCAGTGCTGGATTCCCTTAAGCTAGAAACTTCTCTTCTTCAGACCAATATTCATTTTTCTCTTTAACAGGCATTCACTGTTTCTGGTTAAATTGATGGCTGTAGCCTGAGCTTTTATTTCTCTTTTTTCCTTTCTCAAGAAGTTAAATAAATGGGCAAAGCTAATGGAGGAGGGGGCATAGGGCGGGAGGAAGGCTTTTCCAGCTGGGATTTATAGCTCAGATTAGCCAGCCCAAGGCATCTGCAGTTGGGCTCCAAGGAAATGCTGTCTGCTGGGTCATCCGGAGGAGGAAGTGATAGCATCTTATCTCCTGGGATCAGGCTTTGAACAGGACTCCTGATTCAGAGGGGCTCTGGAGCTCCAGTGTACCACGCGTAGCTGGGGGAGCCATTGAAGTGGGGTCTGCAAGAGGAGGGACCTCCTAACCTGATTAGCACAGATGGAAACTGCCCAGAGCCAGACAAGGAATGGGGCCATGGGCTCACCAAGCAGACAGCCATCTATCTCACAGGCGGTGATTTACTCTGAGAATGGCGGGGGTGGGGCAGTACAGAGTGACCTTTAATTCTGCTGAACTAAGAAGCTGGGATCTGTGGTCTGATTGTCTGAGAAACCCACTGACCTTGGAATGGTTTTTAGGGACAAGTCCATGGCCACTGCCACCTAGCTATGCATTTCACAGCTGGCCTCCAGACAGACCACTCAGCATCACCGGCCGACCCCAGCCAGCACAGTGCCGTGTGCAGTCCGCTCCACGGCCAGACCTTCCCCTGTCTCTACCTGCCTTTGTCTACGTACTGCCTAGAGCCTCTGGAGTCTCTACTTACAGTGCCCTGCATAGCCCACCTGCTTGGCTGGTCATCTTCCTTCGACCTGCTAGACAATGTGGGCTCAGAGTCTGGGGTTTGATGGGAATTCAAATGCACCCAAAATTGTGCAGCTGGCTCTGCACACAGAGCAGCCGGCTCCCTGCAAGGACTCAGACATGGAAAGTCTGACCGTGCAGTGGACCTCCCCAGACTTTGGGCTCCCTGCCCTTGCTGGCCAGCCAGTCCCACCACCTAATGGCGGTTTCACAGCCCAATATCAGTGTTAATTTTTAACATATAAGCAGCAGATTGGATGGGAATCACGGAAAATTTACCACATGCCGACTGAGTGATCATTTTATGTGGCACTTGAGGGTCAGGTGTCTATGAAGAGGGGTTCCAAAGGCATTTCTTTAACTTTATAAATTAATTTAAACGGAAACGTGGTAATGCAGTTAATATTTAATGGTCTGAGACCTCAACAAGTCGAAGACTTTCATCAGACTAACAAGAGTAAGCTATACCATAGAGGCTTGGACTCACAATTTTTTAAGTGACTCTATTTACCCCGTTCCTAGGGGTGAAATACATGTTTGCAGTGTTTGTCCAAGGGATAAAATGAATATTCTAGGGAGGGGTTCAGAGAGGAGTGTGAGAGAGTGTTTGAGAATGAGCAACTCACCCTTTGACATGTTAATGACATTTATCCAAGTCACCACTTCCTGGTTGGTACGACTAGAATTTTTTTGCTGCCCAAATAGCTGAGCATGTTTCTATTATTCGTCTATCTATGACACATTTGATTTCAGGGATCAATGGCTTTCTTTGTAGGAGGGAAGAGGGATTGGGTGCAGTCAGACTTAAGGGCAGGAAGTCTGAGCCCAACAAGAGGTCAGCACTGAAGGGTAAGGATCCCCTGACCCTCCCCCTCTGCACTTCCCAGACTCATTCATTTTTATTCCCACTTCCCAGACTTGAAAACTGAGGCTATTGCATGGCAGTGGTTCCTAGTCCCAGGTATTCTCCCTTCCACTGTGGGATTTTCCACCACAGCCAATCATTGGCTCTCCCCTTGAGGAGAGTAATGTTGTTCTTGTGGTCCTTGTTCTAAAAGCAGACCTGGCCCAGGAGAGGCCTTGCCAATGGGGAGTCTTAGGCAGAGCCCAAGGCTGATCCATTCATGAGGTGCCTCCTGAGTGGCCTGGTTCTCTGGGGGAACCCAGATAGTAGAACCTCACCATCTCCCTCAACCCAGATAGTAGACCCAGGAGAAGGAGTTTCTAGGCTGAGATAAAGCAGATCATGTCCCTTTTCTCCTTAAAGACCTTCAGAGGCCCGGGCACAGTGGCTCATGTCTGTAATCCCAGCACTTTGGGAGGCCAAGGTGGGCATATTGCTTGAGCCCAGGGGTTTGAGACCAGCCTGGGCAACATGGTGAAACCCTGTCTCTACAAAAAATACAAAAAGTAGCTGGGCGTGGTAGTGCATGCCGGCAGTCCCATCTATTGGTGAGGCTGAGGTGGGAGGGTCACTTGAGCCTGGGAGGCAGAGGCTGCAGTGAGCCATGGTTGCACCACTGCACTCCAGCCTGGGCAACACAGTGAGACCCTGTTTCAAAAAAAAAAAAACAAAAACGGGACTCCTTCAGAGGAGTCCTGCTGCCCCCGAGAAGAATATCTGAGCACCTCAGCTGGGCCCTGTGTGGGCTGGTTCCAAGTGCTGCTGGGGCCTCAGCTCCTGCCTCTGTCTTCCATATCCTGCAGTCCAGTCCGGCAGACACAAGGCCATCCCCAGCTAGCCAGGCCTCCGCCCCTGAGCCTGTGCTGGTCCCCTGCCTGGGTGCACATTCAGTCTCCGCAGTGGGCCCTTCCATAAGCCTCATGACTCCCCAGGAAAAGCTGATCACTCCTGCCATTCTGCCCCCAGAGGACTGCGCCCACCCCGACTCTGTGCATTTCTCCTCTGCAGGAGGGTAACTTCTGTGTGTCTGTCTTCTCCCAGACTATGAGCTCCTTGAGGGCCACATTTGTCGTCTCTGTGTCTTCACTAATAAACAGGAAGCCCAGCCCTAAGGGATTGTCCAGCCAATGCCTGATGACAAGATGGAAAGATCACAAGTAGACAAAACTTCCTCAGAGAGTGACATATCCCCCAGGCCCTGATGTACTAAGATCCCTTGTGAAATGGCTTAAACTGCTACCAAGAATTAGACATCATTTACATTTCAAGGGGAGTCGCTGCTCAGATCCTTCAAAAAGAAAACCCATGTGTTTTGAATACTCTGAACTCAGAAGTTCAGTGAGACCCCAGCTTTCTAGATGGTGACCTAGAAAGAACAGTCCAAGCAGGTTAGAGGCAGCCCCAGAGGTGGGGCTGGAAGGACACAGGTGGGAGGCCAGAGGGGCAGGATGCCAGCCCCCTTGTGCCACACCTCCAACTCCACCCAGCGCGGCCGGGCTTTTACCCACAAGATTTCCAGGGATTAGAAACTGATGCTTTAAAAAAATTAAAAAACAAAAAAAATCAGTGTGCAGGAAGGAGCAAAAAAAAAAAAAAAAAAAGAAACGAGAAAAGAAACTGATGCTGCTGAAAAGAGAGAAGCAATTGATCCTGTGTAAAGAGTGGGCACCTGTAGTGTTTTGCCAAATGCACAGCTTTGCTCTTTGTCCTGACGCAGGCATTACCCAGAGTGGTGGGCTCTGTGGAGGATGACCGTTTCGAGGCAGAAGGCCTGAGCACAGTCTGCCGGGGCCCCCTCCTGTGCCACTTGCATGTGCAAAGACCACACTTGTGCTCACCATAGCTGAGTGGAGGTCTTAGAGACACACAATGCAGCCACCCTCTCCCTTGTTTACACCTGCATCATTGGCCATGATGACACTCAGTGCTAAGTGGTGGCTCATGTCATGGCCCCCATGAAATGGTCTTGAGGGGCAGGAGCTGGAGACTGCAGGACAGTTTAGGACTGGAAATGGGGAAACTGGCAGGGCTAGCTGATGGCAAAACCTGAATGGCTCTTCAGCACCTCATTACCAGTCCCCGCGACCCAGTTACCCACTACCCCAGCCCCTTCCTGCATGCCATTTCTGCAGATCTGCTCTCAGCCAGCTCACTGACCCCTGGTTTACAGAATGGCAGGGTTGGAGGGGGACTGAGGCCAGCTCAGCTGACATTCTCCAGGGACCTGCATAGTTCCAGCAGCCCCGCAGGGCAATGCTTCCTCCCACTTGCCCCAGAACCTGAGGGCTAGAAAGTCGTACTCATTTCAGCCCTTCTCCAACCTGAGGCCTTCGGAACCCTCTGAGCTCACCTGAGCTCTATTAGAAAGTCTCAATCAGATTGATTGATAGATCAGACAAATGAATTCACTGGTGATGGTGCTGTTTAGTTAGAGCTATTAACAGTTAGAGCTGGAAGAAACTTCAGAATGTCTTGAACCTGGATTTGCCTCAGCTGTGTTCCACAGGGCGTCACTAGGAGTTGTCTGGAAAATCAGCACCGCAGTCAAATACCTGTGGGTAAAGCTAGAGGCAGGAGGGAGTGGATCAGGGCATAGGCTCTGGACTCAGCCTGATTCAAAATTTTGCTACTTACAGCCGGACGCCATGGCTCATGCCTGTAATCCCAGCACTTTGGGAGGCCGAGGCAGGTGGATCACTTACTTGAGGTCAGGAGTTCGAGATCAGCCTGGCCAACTTGGTGAAACCCCGTCTCTACTAAAAATACAAAAAATTAGCCTGCTGTGGTGGCACGTGCCTGTAAATCCCACCTACTCAGGAGGCTGAGACAGGAGAATCGCTTGAACCCGGCGAGGGGGAGGCTGCAGTGAGCTCAGATCGGGCCATTGCACTCTAGCCTGGGTGACAGAGTGAGACTTTGTCTCAAAAAAAAAAAAACAAACAAACAAACAAAAAAAACAACTCTTTGCTACTTACTAGCTGTGAGGCCTCAGGGAATTATGTAAACTCTCTGTGCTTTAGTTTCTTCTTCTGTAAAACTGAAATCATAGTCATACTGTCCTCTTAGAGTTGATGTGCTGATTAAATGACACAGTCCTACAGGATATTGTTAGTAGTAGTAAATGCTGGCTTGTACAAAGCTCTACAGGTTTCTTTCCTGCAGGATTTCTCAGAGGCTTTGTGATGGTAACAAACATGGTGATCCCCAAGGCCAAGATGGGGGGACCCTCAAGGCAGATTTCACATGTGCTCACAGAGCTCATTTCACCTCATCAGGGAGTTCTTCCATGAGACATACTTCGGGATTCCATTTTATCTTGGAAGAAATGACAACCAGAGAGGTGAAGTGAGCTGCCTAAGGTCACACAGCAAGTATATAACTGCAGAACTGGAACTAGAATTGACTCCTGTCTCCCATTCCAGTGCTCTTTCAAGTGTTCATCACTGCTTTCTCCTAAAGAATGACAATGGCAGCGATGACACTAATGTTATCACGGCTCACATTTACTGAGTGTACTCTTCACCAGCCACTGTGCTCGGCTTCTCATATTCATCTCGCTTAACTTCCTAACAGCTAGGTAGGTGCCACGTCACATCCCAGAGCTCAGAGGGCAGGTAATGCATCCAGCCTCACACAGCCCATAAATGGCAGAGCCAGGACCCAAACCTGCATCTGCCTGCAGCCCTGAGGTCCTGAGGCTCTGAGGCCCTGAGGCTCTGAGGCCCTGACTTTACCACCACGTGGCATACATCATGAATGTCTCATGGCAGAATTTTAGACCTAAGCTGGGGTTGCTAACCCTGATATGCCCATTATCTGGCCCCCTACTCTGCTCTTCTCACAACGGCTGGGCTTGGGGGTGCCCTGGCCCTGGCCATCATCACCAGCCCAGGCTGCGGGGACTCACTGCTCAGCATCACTCTCTCCTGCCAAATGATTTTGGCCAGAGCTGAGCTTTGGCAGCAGCTCTGATGGAAGCTGCTCTGGGCTGAGAGCCTCTTGTCAGCCTGAAATCAGGACGAGCCCTCCACGCGGCTCCCCTCAGGGCTCCCCGTTAAATAAAGATGCTGCGGTTGTTCCACCAAAAGGCCTCTTTGTCTGAGGCCCTCGTGGCCCACGCGTCCTCTGCCTCCGGAATGTGGGTCTCTGTCGGCATGAAGAGCCCCTCTGTTCCCTGCCAGGGCTGGGTGAGCCATGGCTGGCCAGGGTCTGTGCTTAGGGTGAGTGGCAGCACACTGAGCGGGGAGGGCACTAGTGCTGTGGGCCGCTGAAACCCGCCCTCTCCTGCCCTGCGTCCCTCCTTCTCCCTTTCAGGGTGGTCACCCGGCAATGACTTTGCACAGAGCCGGGATCCCTGGTAATGGTTTCCTCCTGCCTTCTGCCCATCCCGACCCCATTGGCACTCTCTCCTGGGGCCCCCTGTCCTCCCTGACTTTCTCTCCCTCCCTCTTGCTCCCTGTCTGTCTCTCTCTTTCCTCAGTTTTTCATTTCCTTTTCCTTCTACCCTTCCCAAGGAGAACACAGCATGGACAGTGTGCGTTAAATGAGAACTTGAATATTCTGGAGGCATGCTCCACCCATCTGACCTTCACAGCTTGGGGCTGGATTCTGCCCCTTTCCTCACTTATGGCTTCACCCCCAGCAGCCTCAGTGTCCCCATCGTATGTGGAGGCAATGATGTCTACCTCCAGGACAAAATGGGGTGACATGTCATTAGATTTGCTCTCTCTCATCCCTGTAAAACCAGGCACAGCCCCATATGCAGCACACACTGCAAAGCCCTCACTGTTTGGTGGATGACTGGAGGAGTCAAGGGGCCAAGGATAGGGCCTGACACATAGCTGCTCATTTAATGTTAATTTTCCTTTTCTGTTTTTTGCCTGTTGATGGAGATGTGTTATTTCAGAGACCCTTGGAGAGCCATGACCCCTGAAAGGAATGACTGAGGGTTACATCATGCTCTCTTATCTGCCATGGTCTGGTCTTACCTCATCTTGCCTGGGTGTGGGTTTGGCATCGAGAAGGGCCCATCTTGATAGGATGCCTGGTGCTAGATGGCACACTTCAATTGTTATCTAACTAGCTCAGAGAATAACTAAACCATTACTTTCCTCTTCCTCAATATTATAATTCTATAGATGCAACCTAAGATTATATGTGGGTTTTTTGCCCCACTATCATGTCCCATAGCTACTGGATATTGGGCTTATAGACATGGAAACCTTCACTACCTTATCCATTTTTCATTCATTTCTTTAAACAAATATAAATCAAGTGCCTGCTCTGTCAGGTACTCTACTAGGATCTGGGGACACAGAAATCAACCAAACAGACTAAAATCGCGCCTGCATGGAGCTTACCTTCCAGTGAGTCTTTCCCACCCTCCGTGGGTGCCTGTGGGCAGGCCACATGTCTCCCTGCACCTCTGTCTCCTCACCCGTAGTATGGGGATGGGAATTGTGCCCTCATGAGGACGACCCTCATGAGAATTTCCTGGAACGACACTCACAGACTTACTGTACTTGGCCCAGGAGCCACTGGATCTAGGCCTTGCATCTGAAGCTGGTCGTGGTGTGTGAGGTTTCAGGAGGCAGGGGTATGGGACAGGGTCCTGTCTTATAGACCAGGTCTCATCAGGAGTTTCTCACAAACCCTGTGTTTGTTGACTCCTCCAGTCCTGGGTTTTCCTGTCTTCTCCTGGCTCTAGCCCTCGGCTCCCTGTCCCCGTCCCTCAGCTCTGCTTTGGTAGTGTTCTCTCCTGTCTGTTTGGACCAGGGGATCCTTCCTTGCCCCAGTATTTCTCCCCATACTAAATTGAGGGGCCCAGAAAACGGGGCTACACCCGGCCTCACCCTACACCCCCAACCCCTCCATGTCGGACTGGGCCAGGTCAGGGTCCTGCGTGCTGGTGTGCAGCATGAACTCTGACTGCCTTCTTTTTATTTTATTTTGTTTTATTTTATTTTATTTATTTTTATTTTTATTTTATTTATTTATATTTTTTTGAGACAGAGTCTTGCTCTGTTGCCCAGGCTGGGGTGCAGTGGCACGATCTTGGCTCACTGCAGCCTCTGCCTCCTGGGTTCAAGCGATTCTCCTCCTGCATCAGCCTCCCGAGTAGCTGGCATTACAGGCGCCCTCCACCACACTGGCTAATTTTTGTATTTTTCGTAGAGACGGGGTTTCTCCATGTTGGCCAGGCTGGTCTCCAACTCCTGACCTCAAGTGATCTGCCCACCTCGGCCTCCCAAAGTGCTGGGATTACCGGCATGAGCCACCACGCCTGGCCTAACTCTGACTACCTCCTGACCTAGTGCCTCACTTTCCAGCTGCAGACTCTCCCCATGCCTGGATGACAGGCTCACAGCTGGCCCACGCACTTGCCATGACTACTGTTTCCCATAGAATGCCCACTCCTCCTCTCTGCTTGTCCAAACCCTGCAAACTCCACAAGCCGTGCTCCTGCCCACTCTTCTAAGAAACCTTTCCACACTCTTCAGTTTACATTGTTTCTCCAGGCATCCTCAGCTTGGCCTAAAACAAGGCCCTGCTAGTCATGCCCCTGCCCACCTCCTATGGCCCCTCTCCCTTGCTCTGGGTCCTCAGGCCGCACTGGCCTTCATTCATCTCCTGAAACCAACATGCTTGATCGCTCCACCTCCACCTTGACCAGTTAATTGTTATCCATCCTTCAGAACTTAGCTTTAAAGAGTCCTTCCTGAAACACTGGCTCCCCATCTTCCACATCTTCTTGGGTTCTATCAAACTCCATCATAGTGCTTTGTTGTCCTTGGCAGCAATTATCAACTTGTCATGAAATAATTAATTTTGTGGTCAGTGTTTAGGGAGTGTGAATGCCTGGTGCAGCTGGAGCGTGGCTAGTGGAAGACAAGGCTGGGAGGACGTGACCTTGGACTGTTAGGTTATGGATCTTGGACTTATTCTGTGTGCAGAAGGGAATTCCCTCAGGGTTCCTGCAGAATGATTAGCTCCTGAGGACCCTAAGACCCAGGGTTCCAGGGTTCAGTGGTCTTTTTTTTTTTGTTTAAGTCAGTTGTTTAGTTGGTTGACTGGCTGGTTGGATGGTTGGTTGGTTGGTTGGTTGGTTGACTGGATGGTTGATGGGTAGGTTGATTGGATAACTGGTTAGGGGTTTTCTTGTTGTTGTCTTGTTGGTTTGTTGATTAATTGGCTGGTTGGTTAGTTGGTCAGTTAGTTGGCTGGCTAGTTAGTTGAGAGAAATGGATAGAAAGAGGGAGGGAAGGAAGGAAGGTTGGTTGTTTGATTCGTTATTTGATTGGTTGATTTGTTGATTAGTTTTCTGGGTGGACAGGTGGGTGGCTGGTTGACCATGTCTTCCATGGCTCAGTTCTTGAGCCTCTCTGTCACTGTTGGTGTAAGGTGACACTGTCTTGGTTTTCCTGTTCCCAAGTTCATCACACCTAATGCCCTTTCTTCCTGTCTCTCCACAGGCACTTGTCCGGCTGCCCCCCCACATCTCACAGTGTGACGAAGTCTTCCGGTTCTTCGAGGCTCGACCCGAGGATGTCAACCCTCCAAAAGAGTAAGTAATAGCTCAGGCCTCTCCTGTGTGCTGGGGAGGCGTGGGCTAAAGCAATGGCCAGCCTGGGGAGGCTGAGGCTGTGGGAACACAAGCAGAAGGTGAGCTAGCAGGGCCAGCCGGGCTAAAGAACAGTGGTCCAAAGGAATGGGGGACATTATTCCCCAGGCTCCTAGTGCCAGAGCCCACTCTTCATTTTCCTTTACCCCAGGGCTGCAGGGAAGAGTGTCTCTGCATTTGTGGAGCAGATTTTCCTACAAACTCTTTCTGGCTCACAGGGTTGTTACAAGGAGCAGATGAGATAACAGAAAATATAATGGTCATGCCATCGAGACCACTCAGGGCTAGCACAGTCCTTGCTCTTCGCTGTTATGGCTGCAGAGGTCCCAGTGTGCACTGCCCAGGATGAAAACTCACCTGCCAAATAACAGCAGTCCTGGGCTGCTACAACAGATTTTATAATCATCATAAAAAATCATAATGAATTTACCCAGTATCTTTTATGTATAGCATTTTATGATAGGCATTACCATATTCAATAGTCCTATTTACAGAGGAGGAAACCATGGCTCGGTGAGGTCAGGTGCTTTTCCCCCAGAGTCATGCAGATGGTTTGATAGGAGACAGGACAAAACCTGAACCTAAGTCTGTGGTTCCTAGTGGCCCAGTGCTGGCTAATGTTTCCATGTTTGGAGAGAAACAGGGAACCATGCAGGTCTTTTTTCTCTCTGAAATTGGGATGCTGTGGGTGGTGGTAAAGATGGCCCACTCAGCCATGCTGGTTTCTCACACCCAGGACCCGACTCCATCCAGATGGCCATGCTCTCTTGCTCAGAGCATTCTGCTCACCTGCAGTCCCCAGCATAGGTTCTCATTGGAGAGAAAAATTCAGCTCCCACCCAGGAGCTGGTGGGCAGAAGGCAGGGAGGGGTGTTGGGTAAGAGAGAGGGTTGGGGAGAGGACTTAAGGGGATGCTGATGAATCAGCTCACTCCATAGCTATCCCCTGGAAGCTTAAAGTACCGGATGGGTGAGAGAGAGGCAGATGGGGTGGCTACTACAGAGGGAAAGGAGAGAGTAGGACACAGGAACCCTCTGGGCCAGGTGGGGAGAGGCAGGGGGAACCTGGTGATGGGGAGGAGAAAGCCTGAAGATGAGGGTGAGCATTGCGTGGCTCTGGAGGTGCCATTCACACTGCACTTTCTGTGAATGTGCCCATGAGGTTGTAGAATATGTGGCCTGCACACCCATACATGGCAGTCCTGCCTAAAGGGACCCTTCTGTCTTCACGCATGCTAAAAGACTAATAGCCTGAAATAGCCTGGGCATTTCGAGGGAGGAAAAAGCAGCTCCGAGGCCCACCTGGCCTAGCAAAGACCATCTTCACTGATGGCTGCCTCAGGCAAGAAACAAGCACTGTGAACCATCAGGAGCTTATCAGTAGCTTGGTTCACAGCGTGAAGCAGTGGAAAGCCACAGGGTATAGGATGCAAAGTATTGAGTTCACGTCCCAGTTCTGCTGCTACTAGCTGTGTAATGTCCAGGCAGATCCCTCGTAACTTCCCCAAGCCTTCCTGTGGTCCCTAGTGGCTCAGTGCTGGCCGAAGTTTCTACATTTAGAGAGAAACAGGGATGAATCTTAAATTCAGCTGATTGAAAAAAAAAAAAAAAAAGCTAGGCATATTGGCTCACACCTGTAATCCCAGCACTTTGAGAAGCCAAGGCAGGTGGATCTCTTGAGCCCAAGAGTTCAAGACCAGTCCTGGCAACACAGTGAGACCTTGTCTCTACAAAAAATTAAAATTTAAAATGTAAAATTTCAGAAGAAAGAATAGCGAGAAATAGGGAACCATCTGTAAAAAGGGAATAGTGATTAAGCCCTGTTTTTGCTACCTCCAAGGGTTATCCATGAAACTCAGATGATGAGAGGTTTGCACCAGGGCTTGTATATTCTTTTTTTTTTTTTTTTTGAGACAGAGTCTCGCTCTGTCACCCAGGCTGGAGTGCAGTGGAGCAATCTCGGTTCACTGCAACTTTTGGCTCCCAGGTTCAAGCAATTCCCTTACCTCAGCCTCCCTGGTAGCTGGGATTACAGGCACATGCTACCATACCTGGCTAATTTTTGTATTTTTAGTAGAGACGGGGTTTCACCATGTTGGCGAGGTTGGTCTCGAACTCCTGAGTTCAAGTGGATCCACCCGCCTCAGCCTCCTAAAGTGCTGGGATTATAGGCATAAGCAACTGCGCCCGGCCAGGGCTTGTATATTCTTATCCCCACATTACAGATTACAAAACAGGAGCTCACAGCTAGAGCGGGAATTTGAACCCAGAACTTCCAGGTTGCAAGCAGAAGCCCACATTCATCTGTTTCTCCCACCTGCTTCACTGGTTTGGGGACTGTGGTCCTGAAGCTCCTCAGGATCTCCTTTCTGTCCCCACCTGTCTGCGCTCCTGCCCCTTCCTTCTTCATCCTTGCCTTGCCTCAGGGCAAGGGAAGGCTCTGAGCCTGGCAGCAGTATCCCTGGGTCCTCACCTGACCCGCCCTTGCCCAGCTGTGATGTTCTCTCCAAGCCTCTCATTTTCTGTCCTTGCATGGGGAGAGAGGAGATGCTCCTCCCTACGTGGGTGGCTGTTGGGATCCCCCGTGATCGTGTGCCTGGCCACGGGGGAAAAGGATCAGGATCGTTGATGGTGGAGGCAGCAGGTGTATCGCCACAAAAGCAGCTGACCCAGCCTGTGATCCATGCCTCCAAACCTGCTCTTTGCCAGTCAGCTGAATCCGTCGGCCTCACTTCATTCATGGCATTAAGTTAGCCTTTTGCCCACCTCTAGGAGGCCCTTGAGGAACAGTGGAAACCAGGCTCAGCAAGACACTTGGCTGTTGGGGAGGCAGCAGGCCATGGCTTTGTGGGGCCAGGCTCTGGGGCCAGGCCCTGCCACTTAAGGCTCAGTGATCTTTGGCCATTTGCTCAATGTCTCTGCATTTCTGTTCCCCTAAAATGAGATAATGCAGAACTCACGAGCTGGTCAAGAGGGTTTACTCAAATAACCCGGCCAGGTGCTACTGGTGCACAGGAAGTGCTCCACACCTGTGTTCATGGAAGGCTGGGGAACAGAATGGAATGTGTGCACGTTCCGTCCCTACCTGACTTTTGCAGGGAGGGGCTGTGAAGCATTTGGCCGCTCCATCACCAGGCCAGCAGGGGTTATCTGCCTCTTTCTTGAGGTGGTATTGGCCACGTGGGCCAGTTCACCACTGGTCTGGCAAGTTATGGGCCTGGGAATAGGAATGCCTCCAGCCCCAAGACAGGTCTGAGGCTCAGGAAGTGAGCTCAGCTGTGGCCAGGCAGTTCTGAGGGGCTCCCCCTCCCCGGGCCCGGCCCTGTCTCTGCTCCGCCTCCAGGACCCACCAAGAGAGACCTGTGTTCCCCTGCAGAGTGTGCCTGCCACAAAAGAGCCAGAGCTTGTCCATGACCCTCGGCTGACAGGCTGCCGACGTGTCAGCCTAGTGCCTGCACCTCCTCCCTCTCCGGCTGTTTGGACCTTTCCAGGCGACTGTGCACCTCCCTTCCCTCCAGCCTAGAACATAAACACGGGATCGAGTAACAGCATATTTTGACTCTGGGGCGACTGTGGAGTGGCTTATCAAATTATCAAAGCCTGTGGATTTAATTGGAATTTTGTAGATAACCCCTGGCTTCTTTCAAGTGTGCTGCTGCAGGGTCCATTGAGAATTCATGGGGGCTGGGGTGGGGGACCGTCTTCCCTTTCCATCTTCCAGAGAAGACAAGGTCTGTCACAGCCCAGACTCAGTGGGGGAGGTGGGCAGCAGGCCTGAGCGCCTCGGCTTTGATCCCAGGCCACTCGCTGGCTTCTGCAGGCGGAGAGCCAGACCCATCTCCGGTCAGTTAGTGGTTGCTCTTCCAGACCACTGGCCCTGCACAGAAAGGATGTTCTTCATGGACACCTTTGATGAGCCTGGCACAGAGCAGCCATGGTGGTTTTGCCTCCTCACACGGAAGGATAATGGGATTTGCGCCCTTATGAAAGAGGCTCCAGCAAGGCCCTTGCCCCTTCCATCATGTGAGGACACAGCATTTGCCCCTTCTGCCATGGCAGGACACAGCTAGAGTGCGCCATCTGTGGGGAACCAGCCTTCACCAGACACCAAATCTGCTGACACCTTGATCTTGGACTTTACAGCCTCCAGAACTGTGAGCAATAAATTTCTGTTTTTAAGAAATTACCTAGTGTGGCCGGGCACGGTGGCTCACGCCTGTAATCCCAGCACTTTGGGAGCCCAAGGCGGGTGGATCACCTGAGGTCAGGACTTTGAAATCAGCCTGGCCAACATGGCAAAACCCCATTTCTGCTAAAAATACAAAAATTAGCCAGGCGTGGTGGCACGTGCCTGTAATCCCAGCTACTTGGGAGGCTGAGACAGGAGAATTGCTTGAACCCAGAAGGTGGAGGTTGCAGTGAGCCGAGATCGCACCACTGCACTCCAGCTGGGTGACAGAGCAAGACTCCATCTCAAAAAAAAAAAAAAAAAGAAAGAAAAAAAAAAAGAAAAAGAAATTACCTAGTGTAAGAAGGTACTCTGTTATAACAGCCTGAACAGACTAAGACGCTTGCTGTGTTTATTGTTGGCCCCTCCCACTAGAACACAGGCTCCAGGAGAGTATGAACTTGTCTTTGTTCTGTTCACAGCTGTATCCCCAGCACCCAGAACAGTGCATGTCCCAGAGCAGGGTCTCAGAGGGTCTCTGTTGGATGAATGATTGTTGTCATTCAGCCCTCACTATGGTCTTACATGGTAAGTACGACTGTGACATGATTTTACCAAGGAGCTGAAGGCTCAGGGACATGAAGCCACTCACCTGAAGTCACCCAACTGGCAGGTGCAGGGCCAAGATCCAAGCCAGGCTGGCTGGCCCCAGACCTACGGTTCTAACCACAGCCCTGACCCAACCCATCACTCAGCTCACACCCACTACGCCTTCCCAACCTCGTCAGCACCCGCTCCCCACCTCCACCCCAGCCAGAGTAGGTGGGTACCGGCCTCAGCCCCTTTGATGTTTTCCTTTGAGGATGGTGTGTGTCAGTCTGTTCAGGCTGCTGGAACAGAGTACCATAGCCTGGGTGGCTTATAAACAACAGAAATAAAATTCTCACAGTTCTTATGAAAGAGGCTGGGAAGTCCTAAACCAAGGCACCAGCAGATTCAGTGTCTGGTGAGGGCCTGCTTCTTGGTTCATAGTCATCTTTACCCTGGTGGACAGGGAAACAAGCTCTCTGGGTTCTCTTTTATAAGGCACTGATCTCATTCATGAGGCTAATGACCATAGCCTAATCAGCTCCTACTATATCACCTTGGGCGTTAGGATTTAACATATGAATTTAGGTGGGACACAAACATTTGGTCCCTAGCAGTGTGTTCTTGGAAAGTCAGCAGTTGAATAGGGGTGTATGTGCGTGTGTGTGTGTGTGTGTGTGTGTGTGTGTGTGTGTGTCCTGATTGGGGGGAGGGAGGGGAGCAGAAAGGGAAAGGAAGAGTGTTTGCCTTATTGTATTGGTCACCTCCTCTGTAGTCTACATCATGCTTATTTAAATATTCATTTAAATATTAGGCCACCCACGAAGGTGATGTTATTATCCCCATTTAGCAGATGGGGAAGCGAAGTTGCTAGCAGTTACCTGACTTCCCCAGGCCATGCAGCCAAGTGGGGAGGCAGGCCTTGGAGCCTGGGTGCAGTTCTGTTAGGCCCCTCCAGCCCCCCAGCCCCCAGCCCTTTGCCCTGCAGTCATAAGGGGTCAATGGGCAGGGGTGGGCAAGAGAAGCTTGATGTAGTTTCTTGGTCTCTCCTGTGTGAATTGCTGGGGAGCCATGTGACAGCTTGGGATGAGGAGACCCTTGGTCACCAAATCCCAAAGAAGGCAGATAAAGACATGCCCTTGGCCCCGTGCGGTGGCTTATGCCTGTAATCCCAGCACTTCAGGAGGTCAAGGCGGGAGGATTGCTTGAGCCCAGGAGTTTGAGACCAGCCTGAGCAACATAGTGAGACCCCCATCTCTACAAAAAAAAGAAAAAAGAAAAAAAATGAGCCAGGCATGGTGGCACACGCCTGTGGTCCCCGCTACTCAGGAGGCTGAGGCAGGAGGATTGCTTAAGCCCAGAGTTTGAGGTTACAGTGAACTATGATTGCACCACTGCACTCCAGCCTGGGCAACAGAGACAGACCCTGTATCTTAAAAAAAAAAAAAAGACACATGGAAGCCACACCAAGAGACACCCTCTGTAGCAGCTGAGATGACCCCACTGTGAGCATGACCTGCCTCCTGGCACAGTGTCCTGAGGCCACTTTACTGACTCAGCTCCCCCTTGCTTTGCTCTGCCTGATCTCCTGAGAATCCCTTGCTTCCACAGGCAAGGCCCCTCACCCCCAGATGCAGTCCTCCCATATGGTGTCAACAAGGGCAAACAGGAGCTAAAGGCAGGCCCAAACTGGCCCGGCAGGACTCACCACGTGGTCAACTGCGTGACCCAGAAATGCCTCTTTGTGTTCCATTTTAAATTCTCATCCAGTGGAAATAAGGAATCTAAAAGTCTTTGAAACGAACGCTAGGAACTCTGTCTGTAGATTCCCAGGAGGATGCAGTTCTGGTGGGAGAAAGATCTGGCCGTAGGGCCCCAGGATCCACCTTTGCATCTCTGCAGCCTCCTGGCCCAGTGGCCACGCCCTCATTCTTTTCTTAGCTTGTCGCCAGCCTCCATGCTCTGCCCCATGGTTCCCTCCACCAGGAGCACCCTCCTCTCCTCCCCACTCGCTCTGGAACTGCATCCTACTCTGTCTCCAGACTCAGCTTGGGCCCCTCCTCCAGAAAGCCCTCCCTAGAGCTGGCAACCTGGCAGCCTTGGGATCTGTTTATGGATCTCTCCCCACCAAGGAACCCACATCTCTGGACCCCCAGGACCTGGCACCTAGTAAGTGTTGGGTGATTGCCCAACTGTGCCAAAATAAAGCCAGGCTATTTAATAGAGTTATACATTGAACTGCCCACCTCGGGGAGCAGAGCCAGGAGGATTCTCAACCTCTCCGGAGTCAGGGGGCCAGGGGTCAGAGACCAGCTCTGCCACTTGCCTCAGGCAAGTTGCAAGGCCCTTGTGTGCCTCAGTTTCCTTTATCTGTAGAGTGGGAATCGTTGCTGCCTCCAAAGGCAGTTGCGAGGATGATGCTTTAGCACACATAAAGTGCCAAACAAACCTGGCACGGTGTCAGCACTGCCAAGGCCAGTGTTTGCTGTCCCCATCATGGTGGGATGGGGACATCCCGGGTGGAAGCGCACAGCAGCAGCAGGCCCACATCACTTCCCTCCACATACATACACACGTTCTCCACTTCTGGAGATGCAAGGCTGCCTTTGCAGCCTCAGGGCTGAGGTTGCAGCCTTCTTGACCACTGCTGGCAGTCCAAGCCTGTGGGCAGGGTGGGCACACATGCCTTTGGTGCACCCATATCACAGAGGGGAAAACTGAGGCCAGGGCTGAGCTGATCTGCCCTGCTCTTGTCACTCACTTAGTATCTTTCTTCTTGGGCCTCTTACCAGCCCACTGGCCTTACCAGCCCACCTCTTACCCACGATGGGACACATAGTGGGCCCACACAGTGGGTAGACAGTCACCTCCCACTTCCTGCTCTCACCCTGGGCTTATCCCTTCGGCTTGTTTCTTCCTGCTGAAGCCAGCCATGATCCTGGTTAAATTCTTGACATTGCATGGGAGGAGCAGATAGCCCTGCTAAACTGGTTTCTGTTCTTCAGCCCAGGGCCACAGAGCCACCCTCTGTTGTACAGTAGAACAATGCCCCAATGTTCCGAGGGACCTGGGGTGAGAGGAGGATGGACTGAGGCCAGGCCAGAACCATCCCTGCCTCAGCCTGCCCATCAGGGGCCCCCAACACTCCCCATGGGGCAGAGTCCACCCCCAGTGTCCCTGCCTCCTGCGGGGAACCCCAGGGCAGGCCAAAAGGGGAGGCCATCCTGCGGGAGGCCTGCCCCAGCCAGAGCACAGGTTTGGGAACTGGGCCGGGCTGGTTAAGGTGGTGCAGGGGCTGGCTTAGGACACTGAGGGAGGCTGCCAGGGAAGGAGGGCCAGGGCAGAGGCAGATGCTGCTTGGGGCCTGGGGTGGGAGGAGGTCAGACTCAAGAAAACACTCTCCTCTGCATGACTTTCTCATCCTCCCCTCCCATTTATATTTTGGGGATGGTTGTTTCATCTTGGACTGCATGGTAAAATTGTGGGGAGTCCAGTGAGGGGGACAGAGGTTGTTGCTGCCATTTGCCTGGGAGAAGCAGAGCCCAGGAGGACAGATGAACTCTGCCAGCCCTGCTTCAGGGTTCCCGTAGGAAGACGAGGGGCAAGGTGGTGTGTGTGGCAGTGCAGCTGGAATAGCACTGAGAATGTGGGGTGTCTCCTCCAGGAGCCCCACATCCCCAATCCCAGTCGAATGCCAGGTCTGGCCTGTTCGGGAAGGCAGGGCGACTGCTCGGCTTATGTCTGGCTGCCAGCCTCTTGAGTTAGAGTCCAGG
Source organism: Homo sapiens (assembly GCF_000001405.40). Lineage (NCBI taxonomy): Eukaryota > Metazoa > Chordata > Mammalia > Primates > Hominidae > Homo > Homo sapiens. Next base: position 103,715,684 of record NC_000010.11, on the reverse strand, counting down.
CTTCCCTGCTCACCAGCAGCATTGCTGTGGGTTGACTGCGTGGCCTTCCATTCTCTGTAAGTCACCCGGAGTCACTGCTCCGGCACTGGGGAGAATGAATTGGGATGATGCGTGTGGATCACAAACTGGGCACTGAGTCATACACCCTCCTACTCCCTTCCTTTTCCTAGGAGGCAAATGGAAGGTTGTGGACAGAGCCCTGGAACCTCTCCACAGCAGCCTCCCTTCACTCTGCAGGTAGTTACTGAGTGCCAGCTGTATGCCAGGGACCGCGTAGGCTAATCACCTCAAGGGTCAAAGCTGAAATTGTGAATTGAGTTAAATTAACTGCAGTGGCAACTGTGGGGACACCCAGCTCTGCCTGTGAGCTTGAATGGCTCACTTCTCCTCTTCCAGTCTGTTTCCCCATCTGTGCAAGGCCCCCGTGGTACATGTGGCAAAATGATTGTGAGGTTCAAGGGAGCAAATGCGTAGAAAATGCCCCTATGTACTTAACCCATCACAAAAGCTCAGGAAATGGGATTTTCTGTTTTTCTTCTCCTTTCCTCCATTAGCCCAGGCCTGGGTACAGAGCAGCCACCCCAAAAAGGCTGGGGGAATGGAATTGGGTTGGCCGAGCTGAAGGTGAGAGCTGGGAGAGGAGCATCTCACCGCATCCCTCTCTGCTCTGGGAGTCCTGGCCAGGGCTGGTGCTGCCTGTGGAGCGAGGCTGCCCCTACCACCCTGCAGGCTGTTGGAAACTCCAGGGCATCCCAAGTCCCTGTCTCTCCTGGGGGATTGGGGTAGAAAGTCCACCCACACATGCCTGGCTGCATTCTGGTCAGACACCTATCATCAAGATGGCTCTGTGTGCTCTGTAAAGCCCTGCCACCACCCATCTGGCCAGGGACGTGGGCCACACTGTCCTTGCAGCCCCCTGCCACTGGCTGCTGCACAAATAGCCTCTTTATGTTGATGGGCAGGAGGGCCAGCTGGACCTTGGAGCTGTGGGAGGCTGAGGGAGGGAACAGAACGTTAGATAAATAAACCTTGTCCATCCCCTGCCATGCCCCCTTCAACCTGGGTGGGCAGGTGGCAGGAAAATGCCCACAGGAAGCTGTGTCCAACCCACTTGAAAGGGGCATTGGCCGTGGGGAACAAGGACTTCTGCAGGCTCAGCTGTCATGCTGGGTCGGCGAGCTGGAGGGAAGCAGATTCAAACACCCCCAGTCCAGCCCAGCTCATAGCGCACACGCCTGGGAGGCCCATGTCCAGGGAGAGAAGATGACTCTGTTTTCAGGCCTGGCACAGGATTTTCTTCAGGGTGGGGAGGAAGGTGGCAGGGAAGGGTATCCTGGTGCAGGAGTGTGTGGGGGTAGACTGGGTCCCCCATTAATTTCTTGGGCTTGTGCATTCTATGTTCTCTGAAACCTCAAGACCCCCATGTGCCCACTCTCTTACCCCCAAGGAAGGCCTACAGAGCCCTTTGGAGCCTCTGGCGGAAGGGGTAAGCCCTGGAAGAGCGCTGAGGCCTGCTTTGCTGTTATGTTGTGTTCAAGGTGGGTCTTGGTTCCCCTGTGGTTATCACTACCCTCCATGTTCCTAGTCCCTGGGTAGTTACCCCTCCATGGGGAGTTTAAGGCAGAACTGAACCTAGAACCTGGGTCTTCGGCCACTGGGACCAGCCTTCCTCTGTTGCATTCTTGTGGGAGGCGTGTGTTCATGCAAGTGTTTCTAGATCATCTCTATGTGAGGCCCGGGACTTCAGAAGTAGCTCAGTCCCCACTCTCGGGGCCCTGGTGGTCTAAGGGGGAGGATAGCATGGCATGGGCCTGGCTTGCTTCCACAGGAGGCAGCAGACCATTATAGGCTCTGGCAAACCCTGGCTCCTCCCCCACCTGCTGTGTGGCCTGGGAATTATTTAAACTCCCAAAACCTCAATGTCCTTGCCTATAAAACAGGGCTTATAACAGCTGCTGATAATGGGGAAGACAGAAAAAGAACAACTGATTGTAATAGGTGCAGGGCCTTGCGCAGCAACAAACCAGCCTGCTGAGGTGGTCAGGAAGGCCTCCCTGAGGAGGTGGCATTCAGGCTGAGACTAAAGCAAGAGCTCACTACTCAAGGAGAGTGGCAGAGGAGGGCATCCAGGCCAGAGGGAGTCCCTGAGATTGTGTTTCAAGGATTGAAAGAAATTTCATCTTCCGTGAGAGTAAGGGATTTTTGGCTAGGGCTAGGCCAAGAAGAGATAGGCCTGAGGCAGTCATTAACAATCGCTACACTTCAGCATCAGGTAAATGGGCAGAACCTAGGGGTCTCTGGGCTATCTCCTGGCTCTGACATTCTGAGGTCCTAGCAGAACCAGTTGGCTATTGCAGTGGTCCAAGCATGCAACAGTCAGGATCTAGAGAGGGGCTGGATGGCTGTGGGAATGGGAGATATTCATAGACATAGTCCGAGATGAAAGGGACAAGCATCCAGAGACCTTGTGACTCCTTCCCCTTCACAGGCTCTGTAAGTTGGATCTTGAGGGTGGTTGGAGTTTGGGCACGTCTGTAACTTTGGGTCACTTTGAAGCCCTCGGTTCATGAGATACATGTGTATCTGGCTCCACCCCATGGCCATATCGGATATTACAGCTCCCAGCGTCTGGCTGATGCTGTACTAAAGCCGTGCTGGACCCTTGAGCATGGTTTATCTTGTTTGAGCATCCGTACAATCCAGGGAGGCCCATGCTCCTTTCTGCAGATGAGGGACCTTAGGCTGAGACTGGTTGACTTACCTCTCAGCTAGGAAGTGTCAGAGGCTGGACTCATGCCATTGCCCTTCAGCTCCAAGTCCACACCCCACACGGGGGTGAGCTGAGGATGAAGTGAGAAGCACCTGACCCTTGGCTGGGGCAACTAGCTCCAAATTTCAGGATGGGACCCTTCATCAGACAGAAGGGCAGAATAACTGCATCAGGACGCCATGGTTGCCATGGTCACCACGGGGGCTGAAGGTAGAGTTGAAGGCATGTGCCACATTTGGGATCTTTTAAGGGGAACCCAGGTTTCCTGCTGGGCCACATCCCTGAAAAGGTACAAGGTTTGCTGAGACTGCCAAGTCTGGTCCAGGCCCCCCAGGGCAGCCTGTTGAGACCCTTCCCCCAGCCTCAGGAGCTCCAAGGAGGGGCTTCCTATCCCAGGAGGGTTCAGGCCTCTGAGGAGGGGTGCTGCCTGGCTGGTACAGGCTCCTCTGATGGAACAGACACAGGGAAACCGGTTCTAGAAGCACTCAGAAAACCAGGTTTCCCGCTCCCAAACCACAGACTGAGCCCTTGGCTTCCCACACCCTCTCTCATGAATGGCCCATTTGGTCATGGGTCCAGAGGGCACGCAGATGGCTACGTGCAAAACCCCACCCAGGACATGTGGCCCGGAGCATGGCTCAGTGGTCAGAGCCAGAGGGAGAGTTTCCCCCAGACAGCTTTACTGAGGTATAATTTACATGCTATAATATGTACTTGTTTTAAGTGTACAATTAATTCATTGATTACTAATACTTTTACAGTTGTGCAACCATCACCACAATCCAATTTTAGAGCAGTTCCATCTCCCTTAAAAGATCCCAGAGGGAGGTTTTGGGGTTATTTTCTTTCCTTTTTTTTTTTTTAATTTTGAGACAGGGTTTCTCTCCATTGCCCAGGCTGGAGCTCAGTGGCACAATCGTGGCTCACTGCAGCCTTGACGTCCCAGGCCACCTCAGCCCCCAAGTAGCTGGGACTGCAGGCACACACCACCATGGCAGGATAATTTTTTTATTTTTATTTTTTGTAGAGACGGGGTCTGGCTCTGTTGCCCCTGCTAGTCGCAAATTCTTGGCTTCAAACGATCCTCCCGCCTCGGCTTCCCAACGTGCCAGGATTAGAGGTGTGAGCTGCCATGCCTGGCCACCAGAGGGACATTTTATATTCTTCCAAACTCCAGGTTTTGGAGACCTGTTGGTATCCCTTCCCTCTGCTCCTGTGTGAGGGGAGGACATGCCTGTTCCCAGGGACTGAGTCTCTGCCCCACTTGCTGCTGCTGTCATTTCTGGGCCCTCTGGTAGTTCCAGCTGCTACGCTGCCCTTGCACAGATTGCTCAGTAGCCCGGGGACGAGGTCTGCCTGGCCCTCCCGGTGCAGCTCTGAGGTGGACTAACCACTGAGTTGGCGCCCAGGGTGAAGGGGGAGGGTGTTCATCTCAGTGGGCACGTTCCCTGCGTATTGATTCCAGTGGCCCAGCTGGGTGTTCACTTTGAACTTCATCCCCAACCCCAGGTAGTTACGTGCCCCAGGTCAGTGGGAAGGCCACCTCAAATGCAATGCTTACTTCCCCCCAAACTTCTTAGAAGGCCAGTAGGTGCAGGCAACAGGCCAAGAGGCTGCACCACAATGATGCCCAACTTTCTACCCAGGGAAATTCCAGGTGTTCTGGCAGCTCAGCTGTTTAGCAGAAAGTGCATGAGGAGCTGATTATCAGCTTGGCTTTTTATAATCATTTTTCCCTCTTGGGATGCTCCTGGGAAGGAAGGTGGCAGAGCTGTTAAGGGAGGTGGCCTTGGACTCACAGGTGTAACTTCAGATCCTGGTTCAGCCCCCCACCAGCTATGTGCCAGGTGGGGCAACCGTTTTTTATTATTATTTTTAGAGACAAGGTCTCTGTCTCTCTCCCAGTCCTGGAGTGCAGTGGCACCATCACAGCTCACTGTAGCTTCAAACTGCTGGGCTCAAGCAATCCTCCTGCCTCAGCCTCCCGAGTAACTAGGACTACTGGCACATGCCACCGTGCCCCACTATTTTTTAAATTTTTTGTAGACATTGGGTCTTGCTATGTTGTTGAGGCTGGTCTTGAACTCCTGGACTCAAGCCATCCTCCTGCCTTGGCCTCCCAGGCAATCTTTTAACCCCACCTAAACTCACCACTTACTCACCACACCTGGGCCTGCCATCCCCACCTCTCACCCCAATACTGGGACGTCTCACTTGTGGCATATACCACAGAGGTAATTAAATCCTTAACATCCGGCTTCCCTGAGAGGCTGCACACACCCTGAGGGCCGGGACATTACTGCCAGGCATCTACCATATCCCTCGTGCTAGCTGAAGGATGGACACAGTAAATGCAATAAATGGAGAGGATGACTGTCTGTGGGCCTTATGTTCCCCCAGGAGTAAAATAGGGACCATAGAAGTGGCAGCATAGGGTTACTATGAGGTCTAGAAAGCTAATAATAGCTCAATTACTGTATCTCACCATGTGATGACATTCTTCTAAGCGATTTACATTTTTTAAATTATTATTATTTTTTGAGATGGGGTCTCACTCTGTCACCCAGGTTGGAGTGCAATGGTGCGATCTCGACTCACTGCAACCTTCACCTCCCAGGCTCAAGCGATTCTCCTGCCTCAGCCTCCCAACTACAGGTGATGCCCAGCTAATTTTTTGTATTTTTGGCAAAGGCAGGGTTTTGCTATGTTGCCCAGGCTGGTCTCAAACTCCCGAGCTCAGGTGATCCACCCACCTTGGCCTCCCAAAGTGCTGGGATTACAGGTGTGAGCTACTGTGCCCAGAGGACTTTTTTTTTTTTTGAGATGGAGTCTTGCTCTGTCACCCAGGCTGGAGTGCAGTGGCATGATCTCAGCTCACTGCAACCTCCGCCTCCCGGGTCCAAGTGACTCTCCTGCCTCAGCCTCCCAAGTAGCTGGGATTACAGGTGTCCACCCCCATGCTCATATTTTTAGTAGAGACAAGGTTTTGCCATGTTGGTCACACTGGTCTCGAACTCCTGACCTCAGGTGATCCACCCACCTTGGCTTCCCAAAGTGCTGGGATTATAGGCATGAGCCACCTTGCCCGGCCAGCCTACATGTTTTAATTCTCTAATTTTTGCATCCATCCTATGAAGTGGGTATAGTTGTCATTTCCCCCTAGTTTGCAGATTAAGCCACTGAAGCACAGAGAGGTCATGTGACTTGCAACGCCAATAACTGGCAAATATGGGCTAGAACCTCTTACCTATCCTACCCCTCAATGAAGCTTGGCAAGGGCTTAGCATGCTGCCCAGCATGCAGTCTTAATGAATGGTACCAGTTGTTACTATTGTTGTTGCCGAAGGGGCTGTGCCAGAGGCTGGCTCATTAGCGCCCACAAAACACGACTCATCTCTCAGCTACGTGGGTTTGCAGTTTCTGGAGTCATCGGAGCAGCCTCTCCTTCCATCCTTGCTGTGTCCCAGTGAGAGGCAAGGTGGGAGGGTTTGCCCCTGGTCCCAGGCTTTGGAGCTCAGTTCCCCAGACATCATCCAGCCCAGCCTTTGCAGGTTGTGCAGTCCAGAGAAGGGAAATGGTTGCCTGAGGTCAGAGAAACTGGATTAGCACCAGGATTTTTGGCTCCAAGTCCAGTGCTCTTTCTGGCTCTCAGAACTTTCCCAGCCGATTTCAAGAGCAACCCCAGGCTTGGAGCATTTGGAGCATCCCTGGTGCGGTGCCTGGGAGGGTGCCTGGAGGCCTGAGTTGAGCCCTTGAGAAGATCCCAGTAGGAGCCTGGCTGATGGACAGGGAGAAGGGACTGGCTCCTCTGAATGGCTCAGAGGCAGGAGCTTGGCTGTGGCCAGGTCTGATTTAATTTGGCAGAGGCAGGCTGCAGCTTAGACCAGGCTGTGCCTGCAAGCCAGGGAATTGAAGGTTAATTGCCAGGGGCACCTCTTCCTGGCCCCCACCCCAAGCAGGAGAGGGCACCCATGAGCCTGTCACCTGGTCTGAGACCCCTGGAGAACTGCAGTGTTGCCTCAGGAGCCAGTGGATGGGGGACATGCATTATCCCCATGCTGGCCCCCTCATGTGCTGGGCACGGTGCTAGGTCCTGGCAGCCACGAGGATCTTAATAGGCACGAGCAGGGGACACTTTGTGCTGCCCAAGACAGGAAATAATTCAAGGAAATTCAGGCATCTTGGTTTGGAATTTCCCAGAAGCAGATCTGAGGCTGAGGATTGCGGCTCAAGCAGTTTGGAGGTGACACTAGAAGGCATCAGTAAGGTGACACAGGGCAGGGAAGACAAGGCTGCCAAGCGCAGTGTCAACGAGCTTCATCTCGCAGGGACTGGCACCTGGCTGCAGGCTGTTCCCTGGGGGCAGGGGTGCTGGGGCATTCATGCACCCCTTTTCCCTCCCTCCAGGCCATCCCCAGACATAGCCGGAGGGAGCTGTCCAAAAAGCCTGTGTTTCCTACTGTGCTTAGGGTGACTGCCTGGGGTTTCCTGGTGCCCTTCTCCTGGGGAGGCCTGGGCTCCAACCTCCCACTGAGGGAGCCACTGGTTGGTGCTGCAGGAACCAGAGGAAAGAGCCTGGCAGCCGCAGGGAAGGTCAGGAAGTCCCCACCACCACCCACCCCAGCTTGGGGACCCGAGCTGAGGCCCTTTGTCACTAGCTGAGTTTCTGTAACGAGTGTGGAGACAGGACTGTGATTCACTCAAGGCCTGAGGTCGGCGCCAACAAAGGTTATCAGGAAGGCCTGCAGGGAGGAGGCCAGGCTCATGTGTCCCTTGTTCCAGAAGAGCCAGATCAGGGTACCAGAGACAGTCATTGAGCTTAAGGAGGCCAGGCAGGTCCCACACAGGTGCTCAAGCCAGGAGCGCAGGAGGACACTGGAAAGGGAGAGAGACTGTGGGGGCTGTGGGTGTGCAGGGAAGGCTGCCAGGGAGCTGGGCCTCCAAGTGAACTTGGGTGCTGAGGGAGGGTTTGGAGGCAAAAGGAGAGGGAGACAGCCTGGGCCAGGGTGACCTTGAGTGCAGGCTTGGAGATTTCCCAGCAGAGGAGGGCAGGAGGGTAGGAAGGTAGAGAGAGACACACACAAAAGCTCACGATGGTTAGGAGTCAGCTGGCACTGGAGTCAAATCCCAGCTCTGCCACTGGGCTAGTGACTTAACTGACTATGCCTCAGCTTCCTCTTCTGGGACATGGGAGTAATGATAGCATCTTCTTCTTGGTGGGTGGCTACAAGGATTAACTGAAATAATGTACATGAAGTACAGTGAGCAGCTGGGCCGGGTGGTTCACACCTGTAATTCCAGCACTTTGGGAGGCTGAGGCAGGAGAATTGCTTGAGGCCAGGAGTTCAAGATGAGCCTAGGCAACATAGCAAGACCCTGTCTCTAAAAAAATGTTTTTTAATTTAAAAATATTGAAATACAGCCTGGCGCGGTGGCTCACGCCTATAATCCCAGCACCTTGGGAGGCTGAGGCAGGCAGATCACGAGGTCAGGAGTTCGAGACCAGCCTGCCCAACACAGTGAAACCCCTATCTCTACTAAAAATACAAAAATTAGCTGGGCATGGCTGGCGGGCATCTGTAATCCCAACTACTTGGAGGCTGAGGCAGGAGAATCACTTGAACCCGGAGGCGGAGGTTGCAGTGAGCCAAGATCGCACCTCTGCACTCCAGCTTGGGCAACAGAGCTAGACTCCATCTCAAAAAAAAAAAAAAATTGAAATATATAGTGCCATGGCTAGCACATAGTAAGCACCCAGGGAGTATCACTTCCTAGGTACAAGACTCTGTTTTCAGACTTTAGCCCTGTCAGGGAGAGGGGTGAAGGAGGCCATAGACACTGTAGTCCAACTGCCAGAGGAGAGAGACACACGTGAGGCAATAGTGCAGGACATTAGCAAGAGCATCCAGGCTCCACTGTGATGCCAGGGTGGTTTCCATGACAACCAAGGTGATGTCACAGAGGACGGAGCACAGGAGGCCGCGGGCTGCTGCCATTCCGTCCTCATAAATAGGCAGGAAATGTACTGTCTGCACTTGCTGACCCATCTGTGACAATCAGGGATGACCTCCTGGAGGAAGTGGCACTTCCACTGAGCTCTACTCGGGGGGGAAAGGAGGGGAGAGCAGAGATGCAGGGTCTGCCTATCCTGCCAGGCAGGGATTGAGAACAGGTGGAGGATGCTCGGGATGGTGTTAGCAGCGTCTGACCAGCCTCTTGAGACCATCCGGCAGCCCTGAGCTTGGTTACTGGTTGTCAGGGAATTCGTGCATTTATTCAGGAAACACGATTATAACCAGCCCTGTGCTGGGCCTGGCAAGACACACACAGTTCCTGCTCTCAGGGAGCCTACTGTTGAGGGGAAGAAATAGACAACAAACAAGGCAATGGCAAAAATATAAAGGCAATGGTGACAGCCACACAGGAAAATAATCCAGTGCTCTGCTAGAACAAGGTTTGGGGGGGTGCCAGAAAGTGTATTAGGCTGGGAGCTGGGGCCCAGGACAGCATTGGTCCGGCATCACTGCCCCCAGAACTTAAAAAACCTCTGCTGAGAGGAGGCTGTAAAACCAGCCCTGGTGAGGCCAGGCCATCCTCAGGCTCCTCCAGTCCAGCCACTGACCCACTGAGCAGCCACACCAGCGGCAGAACCACCAGGAGGCAGCCCAGGAAGCTTGACAGCTGCAGGTGCTCTAGAGGGGATGCTCCATCACCATCGGAAACCACAGTGCATCTCTTGAGCATGTGGTCATGGACGCTGTGACACTGTGACCCACTGTGCGGGTCACCAGCCAGGTTTCTTCCTGTTGGACATTCTCATGCCAGCCCTGAAGTTGTGACCTCCCTAAGGAAGAGTCTAGAACTCAGTGATGTCATTTGGGTATTTCTTTCTTTCTTTTTTTTTTTTTTTCTTTTTGAGACAGAGTCTTGCTCTGTCACCCAGGCTGGAGTGCAGTGGCACGATCTTGGCTCTCACTGCAACCTCCACCTCCCAGGTTCAAGCGATTCTCCTGCCTCAGCCTCCTGAGTAGCTGGGATTACTGGTGCACACCACCACACCCAGCTAATTTTTGTATTTTTAGTAGACAGGGTTTCACCATGTTGGCCAGGCTGGTCATTTGGGTATTTCTGACCCTGAGTCTTTGCCTTCGTTTTACCTTTCTCTTCACCACCTACTCCTCATTTAGCTTTTCTGTCTGGATTTTATGTGTCCTTCTTAGCCACAAGGTGGTAAATGAACAGTGTGGTGGTTAGGATTTGAGCACTAGACTGAGCCAGGTTGGCCTCCAATCCCATCTGTATCCCTCACAAGCTGTGTTACTTTGGGCAAGTCACATGCTCTCTCTGATCCTCCATTTCTCATCTGTAAAATGGGGATAGTAAGGGACTCTGCCACACAGGCATGTAGTGAGGATAAAATGAGCTGATGTGTGTCAAGGGTTTAGTTTAGCACCTGGCATAATGTAAATGCTTGACAAATGTAGTGCTCTTGTCAATAATAGTATTAATAATAATAAGAGCAGCACTACCACTCCCACCTTTGGGTAAGAAGAGCTCACTCACGGTGGGGAGAACTGCTCAGTGGTGACTCCCACCAAGGCCTGGCCCACGCCCGCCCTTCCCTCCCCCTGTTTGCCACCATACTTTGGGGTTCATGGGCACAAGCCTGCTCCGGGACCTCGGGGGCTTTACCTTGGTGTAGAAGCTCAGGAGAGGTTGCTTGGTGGAGGATGGAGGTGGCGGCCCACGGCTGGCCTGCTGGGACCTGTAGTGGACAGGCTGGTGAGCAGGCAGGGCCCTCACTGTAGTTGCAGCTGAGCTGGCCCAGGAGCATTCAGGGTTGACAGGAAGGCAGCTGGAGAAGGCTGGGAGCATGGAGGTATTACCTAGGTATTACCTAGGGTTCCTGGATGGCCCCCCTGCTACAAGCAGGACACAGGCTTGTCCTGTGAGCCTGGAGCTGGAGGCCTCTTTGCAAAAGCCCAATCAGGGAAACTAAGGCACAGAGAGGGCTGCCACCACCCAGGTCATGCTGCCTGCTCAGACAGCCAGGCCTGGAACCCATGTCTCGGGCCTCACAGGCTGGGATGGCCCTGGTTTGGCATCTTACAGGACTCCTCCCTAGACCCCGTCCTTTACATGTATGCTCTGGCAGACCCTGGGGAAGCCCCCAGGCCGCCCTGCACCCAGGCTAGCCCAGGAGCCACCCATCCCTGGGCACACAGGCCCTTGGCCAGGAGCCCGTTTGTCCTGCGTTTTGAGTGCCTGCTGTGAGGAGCATGGCAGCCACTGCCCTCTGTGGAACAGGCTCATTAAGTCAGCCTCTTGGTCCAGCATCGAGGGGGATCCAGACTTGGCTGTCACTCCTGTCGCCTCTGGGGAGACCCGTCAGCCTGGCAGCAGCAAGGGATTCTGGGGGAATGTGAAAGTGATAACAGTCATTCAGATGGACCTGGAAGTCCCCAGCTCTGCCACCCCCAGTGCTGCCAGCCACCAGCCACCAGTGTGGTCTCAGCAAAGTGGCTTTACCCTGCAGAGCCTGGGTTTCTTCATCTCTGTACAGACACCCCAAGCCTTGCTCCCCCCTCCCCCTGAGGCCAGCCAGGCCCGTGTCCCTGCTTCTTCCCATGCTGCTCCTCCTCCAGTGGCCACCGCCCCCACCTTCCTGGCTCCTTCTCTCAGTGCCCTCCTTTGGCCAAGCCCATTCTGTCCCAGGTGGTTCTGTCATTTCCCCTGCAAGTCACAGCTCTTCCAGAGTCCCTCCCTCTCCCCTCTCGAGGGTGAACCAGTGCTGGCAGCAGGGCCCTGTGACTGGCAGGTGGAGCTGGAGCAGGTGGAGGATCTGTGTATGCGCTCCCTGTTACTGAGCCTGACTGTGCACGGGGGACTTTATGTGTATTAACTTGTTTATCCCCCAGCAATCCAATTAGGTGGATCATTTCAGTCTCTGCACTTTATAAATGAAGACAGAGACCCTAAATAATCTGTCTGGCAGAGCTGGGATTTGAACCTAGGCAGCTACACACACACAGAGAGACACATACACACACATGCACACACGCACCATGGGAGCCAAGCAAACCTTCTGGCCATACCATGTCAGAGTCTGGACTGTACTGTCCAATAAAGTAGCCAGTAGCCACGGTGGCTCTTTAAATCTAAGTCTTAATTAAACAAAATGAAAAATTCAGTGTTTGAGTCATACTGGTCACAATTCAGTGTTTGAGTGCTCAGCGCCACTGTGGCCAGTGGTACCATACTGGACAGGACAGATAGAGACTATTTCCATTACCCCGGAGAATTCTACTGGACAGCTCCTTTGAGGGCACCACTGTTGGGGACAGAATTGGAACATTCAGTGCTATTGGGGGTCAAAATCAGAGTGGGCTTTCTGGAGGAGGTGCCCCTTCCTTAGGCCTTGAAAGTTGTGAAACACTAGGCAGGGCAGGAGGGGGCCTGTGGTGGTTGCAGCACAGACAACCGAGTCTGCAGCCTTGCCTCCCATTGCAAGCTGTGTGACACCAGGCAAGTGACTTAAGCTGACTGAGGTGCATCTGTAAAATGGGGCTAACGCAGCTGCCTCTGTTGGGCTGGGCACATCTGGCTGCTTGGTGCTTGTGGGTTTGTCACATGGTGTCTAGGAAAGTCTGGGAGGTTCAGGTTCCTTCACTGTAAGAGGCGATCACCCGGGCCTCCCAGGGCCATGCAGGTGGGCTAGGTGTGTGGGAGGAGTGTGGGGCCCTCCGAGTCCTCTTTCCCACAGAGGCCAAGGCAGAAACAAGCACAGCCTGACTTTGGGTGGGCTCCTTGGCCTCCATGGGAAATAGGGAGCTCCTTGGCCCAAGCTCCCAGTCTCAGGTCGAAACTAGGCCAGGGCTGGGGAGTTAGGGGCCATCAGCCAAGGATCGACCCAAGAGGTCTGTGCTCTGCAGTGGGGCCCTGGTATCTGCCCGTGTGTCACACACACCCATACACACACGTGACACAGAGACCAGGCACATGTCTGCAGATGGGGCCAGTGTAGCTTGAGGGGCAAAGCAGTCCTCTGGCTCCCCCGACACAAGTCCTCACCCCACCACCTGAACAAGGGAAACCAGAAGGAGCTAGAAATGTGATCCTCAGGCACAGAGCTGGTGCCACAGCCTTCAGGGAGAATCTCTCTTTAGGAATACTGCCGCTGGGTTGTTCTCAGCAACTTCCTTCTAAAATCTGAGCTGCTTCCTCTGGGGCTCAGTCCAGCCCCAGCTGCCTGTCCTGCTCCCCCAAGACATACAGCCTTCTTGCCCTCCGCACCCAGCATGCACACACACACACACACGCACACACACAGGCTTACATCTGTTCCTGCCCCTGCACCGTTGCTCACACCATCCCTTCCACCCCAAATCTCCTTCCTGCTTCTGCTCTTTTTAAACAGTCTTCATCTTTCAAGGGCTAGCTCTAGTGCCCCATCTTCCACATAGCCCTCCCTGACCACCCCAGACCACTCTGATCTCCCTGTCCTGGAAATTTCTATACAGTGTTTCCTTTGACCAAGCTTTGGGGCACCTGATCACAAGGGAACTTGTATGTTGTCTTTTCGTGGGTGTTTGCCATCTCTTTCCAGCTAGATGGACAAAAAAATGAAAAAGAGGGCAGGACAGTGTGTCTTCTGCCACTCTCTTACTTCATACACAAGACTGGGTCTACAACAGACCTTCAGTCAAGATGTGGATGGATGGTGGATGAATGATGGATGGATGGATGGTGGATGGATGGTGAATGGATGATGGGTGAATGGTAGATGAATGATGGATGGATGATGGATGGATGGCTGGATGATAGGTGGATGGATGATGGATAGATGGATGGATGATGGTGGATGGATAGATGGATGATGGATGGTGGATGGATGATGGTGGATGGATAGATGGATGGATGGATGGATGGTGGATGGATGTTGGATGGATGGTAGATAGATGATGGATGGCTGGATGAAGGATGGATGGATGGTGGTTGGATGATAGATGGCTGGATGGTGGATGGATGGATGGATGATAGATGGATAGATGGTAAATGGATGGTGGATGGATAGATGGTAGATAGATGATGGACAGATGGATGACTGGATGAAGATAGATGGATGGATGATGGATGGTGGATGGATGGCTGGATGGATGATGGACGGATGGATGGCTGGATGAATGATGGATGGATAAATGATGGATGGATGGATGGCTGGATGAATGATGGATGGATGGATGATGGATGGATGGTGGATGGATGGATAGATGATGGATGGATGGTGGATGGATGGATGATGGATGGATGATGGATGCATGATGGATGGATGATGGATGGATGAATGGATAGATGATGGATGGGTAGTGGATGGATGGATGGTGGATGGATGGATGATGGATGGATGGATGAATGGATGGATGATGGATGGATGATGGATGGATGATGGATGGATGATGGATGGATGAATGGATAGATGGTGGATGGATGGTGGATGGATGGATGGTGGATGGATGGATGATGGATGGATGATGGATGGATGAATGGATAGATGATGGGTGGATGGTGGATGGATGGATGGATGAATGGATGGATGATGGATGGATGAATGGATGGATGATGGATGGATGAATGGATAGATGATGGATGGATGGTGGATGGATGATGGATGGATGATGGATGGCTGGATGGTAGATGGATAGATGGTAAATGGATGATGGATGGATGGATGGATGGTGGATGGATGGATGGATGGATGGATGGATGGATAGTGGATGGATGATGGATGGATGATGGATGGCTGGATGGTAGATGGATAGATGGTAAATGGATGATGGATGGATGGATGGATGATGGATGGATGGATGGATGGTGGATGGATGGATGGATGGATGGTGGATGGATAGATGGATAGATGGTAAATGGATGATGGATGGATGGATGGTGGATGGATGGATGGATGGATGATGGATGGACTTGGAGAGAGTCAGGGAAGGTCTTTAAATATAGGATATCCTCCTTGACCTTCTCCTCAGGGACTTCATTGTTGAACCCCATCACCCCATTTTGTCACTCCCCCTCCCATGGTTCCCTAGGTCTGGCATGTAGCCCCTGGAAGTCCAGGGAACCCCCATAGCCAAGAACAGTCTGGCATTTACACAGGGAGCAGGATCTCAGGTGGCCTGAGGAGGAGCTCCTAGCACTCCATGGCAGTGGGCTGAACTGGCAATCCCCTGCCCCATTTTGCCCTCTAAGAAATCAACTGTGTATTCCTGCCATCCTCCCCACTTCCCCTAACCCTGCCTCCTCCCACTCCCATGGACTGCTGCTCAGTGTCACCATCTAGGTGGGACTCCTTGGAATGCACCTGATGGGAACCCAGGCCTGTCTGTCATCATGGTCCTGCATCAGTGCCCTGAGTGACAGAGCCAGGGTCTCACACAGGCCACACTGAGAAGGTAGGCAGTCAGCACCTCCTGCATTGCGGCCACCATCCACACTCCTAGTCTAGCCCCCTGTGAACCCAGGCTATTGGGCTACGGGTCCTTTCCATGGGCCAGATGCCATTTAAGAGCTTTGCACATTATCCCATGTAATCCCCACGACAGCTCTGTAAGATAGCAACTATTTTAACCCCCTTTTACAACCGAAGGTACAGAGAGGTGAAGTCACTTGTTTATATCACAAAGCACTAGGTGGCTGAACCAGGGTTCTAACCCACCTGCCCTTTTAACTCCCTGCTCTGAGGCCTGGACATGGTAAAACTTGTCCTGTGGCTGAAGACACACTTAGGGCCTTTGCCCAGAATAGTGGAACAAGTCAGAGGAGACAGACAGACAGTGCTTTGTTCTTTTGCTGTGGACAGGGCAGCAGCAGAGACCCTCTGGGATGTTCAGGAGACAAAATGCCTGGGGGGCGGGGTTCTGGGGTCTATGATGGCCATAGCATCTGGCCTCTCTGGGATGCAGCCTGGGGAGCCCCAAGACCCCTTCTCTCCGCAGGAATTCAGCTTTTTCACCCAGGGCAGGAATTCCGGCCCCTCTGGACAAGCCACATGGTCACAATGGGGTCCATTCTCAGAACCCTGGAAAACACAGGCCCTGCGGAGAAAGGACAGATTCTTGTTAAACACAAGGGCCCTCAGTGCCACGATTTAGATCAGGGAGCAAATGGGGGCAGAGAATGGCCTGCAGGCCCCTCTGTCTGTCTTGCCTGGAGGTTGCTGCCTCTGGAGGCCATTCCGTGCAAAGGCTCTCAAAAGCCAGAACAAAAACCCAGCTAGGGGCTAAGGGGTGGAAAAAAAACCCCAACTCTCCAGACCTCAGTGACCCAAAGCCCCTTCGCCCAGCCCTTTGCTCAGACCTTCCTCACTTGGTTTCTGGAAGAACATGCTCCATCTCACTATGGAGGTTTCACAGATAATTCGAATTCTCACAATAGCCCTGTGAGGACACTCAGAGTAGCCTCCTGTTAGGACTGGGGAATCCGAGGGCTCCTGCCACAGTGGGAAATATCACACTGCAGCTCGATACGCAGACAGACATCTGATGCAGGTGCCACAAAACAGCCTTGCCAGGGGTGACTCGCTGATCATTTCTAGTCTGTTCTTCTTAAAATGCTCATTGGGACCATTAAATTGATTCTGAAACTCACTAATGGGTCACTGCCTGTCATTTGAAAAGCACTAGTTTGAAGTGGCTTGTCCAGGGTCACCAGCCCCTGAGGGGGCAGAGCTGGGCCCAGAACCCGGGTCTGTGGACATTCAGCACTGGACTTTGACAGCCCCTCTCCTGCCCCCAACCCCCAGCTGTCAACCTCTCCTCTTAACAAAATTTTCCTCCAGCCAGGATCTGACCAAATCACTCCCCAATTCTGCAAACTTCTGGATTTCACAGCCAGACATCAAAGCCCTGCTCAGCCTTGCCTTTCCTGGCCCGTCCACCCACTACCCTCACTGCCCAGTCCACAACTGTTTGGAGCTGCTTGCTCCTGCTTGTAGAGCTTTCCCCCTGCATCCCTCTATGGATCCAAACCCCCTTGTCCTTTAAGGCCTCCTCCTCCAGGAAGCTACCTGGGATGTTCTGTAGCCCCCAGGACCTCTCTTTTCTCTGCACTGAGTGTAACCCCTCCTGTAATTCTCAGCGTGGATTGTCTGAGAATGTTGGCTTTCTCGTTGGACTTATGTCACATATATCTCTTCTGCCTGCCTGCACAGGCCTTAATGAGGTTGCCTACAGCGAGAGCTTAAAAAGTGCTTTTAGGTTGATAACAGCAGTCAAAATCATTATGTACCTCAAGAGCCCCACGTCACTCCCCTGGCCAAGGTTGCATCTTCTCCAGCCCTCATATTCTAGATAGTGCCCATGTCCCCAGTGACTGCTGGGCTCTGAAGGTCACCCCCAAGTCAGCTGTCTGGCAGCCCAGCCGGCCTCTTGAGCAGTTCCCAGTGGCTGTAGGCCCCGCAGACAGGCATCCTGGGCCCAGCAGCCAATGTCAGCTGGCAGACAGAAGGGTGAGAACATCAGGCTGGAAGTTTGTGTGTGTGTCCTTCTCTGCCAAGGCACTTGCCAGTGGGAGGGAGAGTGGTGAGGGGTGTGGCGGGCAGTGGAGGGTACAACCCTGCAGCATTCAGCAGAACTCCACCTGGCAGGTACTCAGCACCCTTCCACAGAGCCGGCCCAGCCAGGCCCAGCCCCCTTTCCTCTCTCTCCCGTGCCTCAGTGGCTCTTCCTGGCTTCACCTCTCACTCTGGGAACTCTGAACGGCAGGATGGCAATCTCCATTCCCCAGCGAGGGCCTGCTGCCCGCTGCTGGTGTGACCTCTCCTTGTGGCCAAATCCCTAGTGGGCCTCAGCGTGGCCCCTTTGGAGCATTGTGGGTCAGGGCTGTCTGTTTAGCTTCAGGAGCCTGGGCCAGCCACTGAAGCCTCAGACCTCAATCTCCTCATCCATGAAATGGGTGAGCACCTGCTCTGCCTACTTCAGAACACCAAAGAATAAATCCTGGGAGTTTTCAAGGGGAAGGCAGAGTGTGGGGAGCCATGTGTCAAAACAGGGGAACAACACATGTGAATTGTTCAGTGCCTTTCCTGCCCCCACCAGCCTCTCCCTGTGCAGTCTCCAACACCAGCCATTTCACTAGAGCATCCGGGGAGGGAGCACAGCGTGTCTGGCCAAGATAAAATGAAAGGAAAAAAGAAAAACCCTTTCGGGTCTACATTAGCATAAAAATGCAAGCCCTTTACATCTCTTGGTTTTGGGGCTCTGAGAGTTGGCCACTCCTTGGGAGGTTAAATGTGTCCTAATAGAGGGGTCCAGAGGCGTGCGTCCATTCCTGTGGGTCAGGGATGAACACACTTCCTGGTGCTCGGCGCTAGACAGAGACCAGTGGTTGTTCTGGCATTTGCGAAAGCCCAAAACTCTGAAAGTGGGGCTGGAATCACACCTGCCTGGCACTGTCTGCCAGCATCGTGGTGAGGTCCTTAAGGAGAAGCTCCTTTTGTTTCAGGGGCTCTGTAGGACCCAGGTTTAAACAGGTCTTTGCCACCTGTGTAGCAACTGAGGTGGGTCAGATGGGCCCAGGTATGAAAGAATAACAACAAAGACAATTTATAGCAGTTTCTGTGCCGGCCACTGTGCGAAGCCCTTTCTACACACTGTACATTGCATCTTCCCCAAACCCCAGGGGTTTGGTGCTATTATTGTCCTCGTTCTACAGATAGAGAAGTAGAGGCTCAAGAGGCCAAGAAAGTAGATCAAGGGCACCCCCCTGCCCCCACTGCAAGCAGCAGGGATTTGAACTGGAGGCCTCCGTCTCCAGAACCTGCTCATCCAAACATAGCTTGCATCATCCTATGGGGAGGGGCCAAGAGAGGAACCGTATCACCCGGGGATGGGGCGGGGTGGGAGTAGAGGCCCCAGGAGTCCTTGTTTAGATGGGGAGGGATGGAGTGCTGGTTGGAGGAACTCCACCCCTCTTTCCCAGCCAGGCCAGACCTGTGGACCACAGGAGATCACCCATCCCAGTTTGTCCAGTTTGAGCCCTGAAAGTCCCATGTCCCTGTTTTCCTGGGACTGTGGGTCACTGTACCTGTGGTTTGAGTCACCCCTGGACCAGCTGCAGAGAATGAATGGCTGAGTGGTCTGATGGGAGCTGTTTTAGGACACAGCTTGGGAGGCCTTTTCAATTACATTAGCCTCTGGCAACGCTAGAGGGAGATGCTAGCCCCGCCCTTCCTCCCCTCCTCTTCTTCCTGTGGCTCCCTGGCCGATATGATTCAGCAGCAAGTCGGAAGCAGGCTAGACTGTGACCTACCAGGAGTGGAGTCACCGGCAGGGTGGGGGCTGTCAGCACCAGCTCAGGGCAAGACTTGGAGCAAGGACGGAGTGTGGATTGGAGAAGGGGACTGATGGGAAGAGGGGGGGTTCTTGAGTTGTTAGGGAACTGAGCCCCAGCAGAGGGCCCTGCTGTCCTGCCAGACTGGAACTGGTTATAGGGCAGTGGGAAGTGGTCATGGTGTGAAGGGGGATCCCTGCCTTTGCGTCTTGCCCTCGTATGTGAGGGATGGGAGAGTCCCAGCCACTGGATACCTAAACTGCTTATCACCCTATTCAGCAGCTAAAAATATGAAATGGCTTTGCTAAAGGATGCCCAACTGGAAACTTCCAGAAGGTCTCCTATTAGGGCAGCGCCTGCTCGGGCAGGCCAGACACCCTGAAGGATTCAGGATTCCTCTTCGTTCCCACCATTCAGTCACAGCCTGGTGACCCCCACTGCCAGGACCTCAGCCTCCACCCCATTAACCCCATGTGCTGATCAGGCCCTCTGGGCTCTGCCTTCTACTCCTGCATCCACTACTCCAGGAAGGGGTGGTAAGTGGGCATTTGTCTTGAGCCTCAGAGCAAGGCCTGGGTTTTCTGGTCCCCAGTCCTGGTCTCACCCACTCACTATGGCCTTGAGGAAGTTGTCCGGCTTCTCTAAGCTTTGGTCTTCTCACCTGCAAGAGGAGAGCCCACACCCCCTGCAGGGAGGGACCCGGAAGTCCTCGGTGGGGAGGACTCTGAACTCTGGCTGAAGGACAGGCAGGCCAAGAGATATTTTCTAGAGGCTCCTTCAGCACTACAAGCACGTTGTTCTTACTGAGCATAAATGTTTCTTAGGGGTGGCTGGAGGCCTGATGGAGATTATGCAACACTGGAGCAGCCTCAGAATCCCCAGGGGAGTTTGTTGGAGATGCAGACCATGCAGTAGGTTGGGGTGGGGCCCTGCATCTGAATTTTAACCACTTTCTAGATGATTCCATTGAATAGCAGGCTGAGAATCACCAACCAGGGCCTGGCACAAAGGAGGCCCTCCAAGCATGTGAGTTTTGTGTCTTCCCCACTCTTTTTTTTTTTTTTTTCTTTTTGAGACAGAGTCTCACTTGTCACTCAGGCTGGAGTGCAGTGGCACCACCACAGCCCACTGCAGTCTTGACCTCCTGGGCTTCAAGCAATCCTCCCACCTCAGCCTCCCTTGTGGCTGGGAGTACAAGTGCTTGCTACCATGCCTAGCTAATTTATTTTTGGTAGAGATAGGGGGTCTCACTATGTTGCCTAGGCTGGTCTCAAACTCCCTGTCTCATAGGAACAGCCTGGGTAGCCTCAACCTGCTCAGAGCTGGAGAAGGCAGCCATTCCTGTGAGGCAGCCACCCCTGCCTGGGCTACTGGCAGCCAGGGGGATGGTCAGTGGGCCATCAGTCCTGGGCTTCTCCTGCCAGGACCAGCAGGAAAATTGTGGGACAGCAGAGGGTAGCTCCTCAGTGCCCTCACTCCCTGCCCTTCCCCAGTAGCCCTCAGTGAAAAGGCCTGAAAAGCTAATTTCCTCCTTGGGAGTGGAAAGTCTTCTGGGCAGGACACAGCTACGATCTAATACTCTCCTCCTCCTCTCAGGAATTCCCTGCACAGTTGAGCTTTTGGGGGGCACAGCTAGGACTCAGTCTCTGCCCAGTCTTCCTTCTGCAAGGGGGGCAAGCATGCCTTTGTTAAGGCCTTCCCTGGACTGACTGGTGGGAGCCAGGGGAGGGGGCAAATGGAAGCTCTCCCACCTTTCTGTAGTCCCTTTCCAAGGCAACGGTTTCCCAGATTCTCCTCCACACCATCCACGCTGCAGTTTTTATTCCTTCCAGTGGGCTTATAAACCACAGCCCTTCCCCAGATTGGGCAACCTTCGGCAATGGCTGAACCTCTGTTTCCTAATCTATAAAATGGATTAGGATGATAGGACCTTCCTCTTAGTGTGGGTGAGAGGATTGAAGGAGACATGGAATACCAAGGGGGTTCTCAAACAAGATGGGGAAGGAAGGGGAGAGAGTCAGAAATGCAGATTTCCTGGACCTTGCCCCCAGCATTCTGATTAAGTGGGTTCTAAGTTTTGGGAAAGGTCGATGCCTAGGAGAGGGGGAGCTCCCCACTCCTGGCTGTGCAGGCAAATCACCTTGGAGATTAATAAACACTCCAATGTTGGAGGGCACCCCTAGACCTCCTGGATTGGAATCTTGGGGAGCCTCCATGAGGATGACTCTGCTCCTTTCCCTGGGAGCCTGCTGCCTCTTCCTCCAAGAGAACCCCCTTCCACCGCATCCCCCCAAACCCCCAACCCCGCCTTTCCAGTGGCAGACTAGCGGGCTAGTTTGCTTCGACCAAAGATGGGCAGCAACTGGCATTTTCTTTGGCCCCTGGGGAAAATGGAAGGCATTTCCTTCGGACTCCGGAGAGAGCCCCAGCCAGCCCCTCCACTGTTCCCTGAGCACTGAACAGAACTTTCAGCCTTTAGGGGCATGTGAGGCTCAGGTTAAGGGAGCCAGCTCACCTTTCCCAGTCCCCTGAGGATTGGTGAATGGAGGGGGGTGGGAGGAGTGGGGAGATAAGGAAGGCAGGAGCAAGGGCAGGATTTGGGAAATCTGCCCATCTTTGAGTCTGGACTCTTTGCTGGAGGGCAGGGCAGGTAAACGGAGGCTGGGAGGGTGCAGTGCCTAAGGTCACAGCAGTTACTTTCTCTGACAGCATTTGAACCCACTTCCTCAGAAGCTCCACTTCCGTTCCTACCGTTCCTGGCCTCCCAGTTAACCTTGCAGTATCCTCTGTCCCCCCCACTACCCGCTCCTCACCCCGACTCCCCAGCTGTAGCCTTTGAGAAGGACCTTATCCATGGCCTCTGCCATTCTCGGGGCGTGCAGTGAGAGGAAGCAGCCACAGTGGCCCCCAGCGAGTCTCGGGTCTAGGACAGGGGCAGACTTTAATCAAAGGATCACACAAATCTGTGATTACCTGGCGGGTGGTTTTGAGGAAGACACGTTGAGGAGGTGACATTTCAGTAGTGACTTACGGGCTGAGTAGGCTGGGTTCACCTCCCAATTCTTTGCATCGCTAGGGCAAGCCATGCAAAGAATTGGGAGGTGAACCGCTCCGGTGGCGGGGAGAGCGGGCTCCCAGCGCTGGGTAGGGGCCGGGTTCCGGCGAGCGCCATCCCGGAGCGTCAGTTTCCCAGTTTGGGAAGTGAGGAGAACCTGCCTCGCCCTTCCCCGCCAAGGCTTAGGGAAGGTGAGCCCCAGTTAGCGGGGCGGGCTGGGGCGGGGCGGGGCGGGGCGGGCGAATCGCGCCTGGGGGCCGGGCTGGCAGGGGGCCCGCGGGCGGGCGGGCGGGCGGGCGCGGCGCGCAGTGCGTGCGGCTGCGGAGCGCGCGGCTAGCCGGCCGTGGGCATCACATGAGCAGCGGCACCGGGGACCGACCGCAGCCAGCCCGAGGGCGCCCCTGCAGCTGCAGCCCCGCGCTCGCGCCCGGCCCTAACCATGTCTATCTGTTGTTGCTTCTTTTTCAGGGACTATGGCAGTTCCAAGAGGAAATCAGGTAAGGGAGCCTCCGGGCGTTTTCCCTTCAGCCTTCCTTCCCGCTTCGTGCACGCGCCCCTCCGATCCTGCAGAGGACTTCTTGGGGGCGGGGAGGGGGGGGTTGTCCTTGCACGCCAGCCTACGGGTCCTGCCGGGCCAGGGGTACTCGCTTCACTTGCCCCTCCTCAGTCCATGGCCCCTGAGACCCTTGGTCCTAGAACCCTCGTTCGCCTTCCACCGACTCGCTCGGGCTCCCGCTACCTCGCTGTCCCTAGTGGGTGTGGGGGTGGGTGCATGGGGAGTGCGTGGGTGGCTCGTGAAGGGGCTAGGCCCCCGCACGGTGAGCAGCCGGGTCCTTCACCCCCGGGCTGCGGCGGCCGCTGCTGCGCAGTGCTAAGACTTCTCCGGTCCCTCTCGCGGTGCAGCGGTGATGGAAGGGTTAATAGAGACGCGGGGCTTTCCTGCGAGAAGGTGAAATTGAGAACCGGGACTGAAAAGGGGTCATCCTTGAGTGACTTGAGTTTTTAGCGCCTGCACCACAGACCTTCTTCCCTGCCCCAACTCTGAGCGTGTCCTTGCTGCGGAGGTGGGGGCTCCGCGTTTTGGCAGCTGAGACGCACTTGGGAGGGGGCCGACCCGACCCCCCCAACCCCCTCCCCGCCCCCCGCATTGGCCTGACAGGTGCCAGGGCCCGCCCAGAGTTTGGAAGGGGGTGGAGGCAGGGAGAGAGGCGGGCCAGCCCTCGGAGCTGTGGGCTGAGGGTAGAGCAGGATTGTCTCTGGAAGTGGGAGGCTGGGCTCCCCAAATGGCAAACGCCTGGATGTGGGCGGGCTGTAGTTAACTGGGGGAGAGTGGTCCCTAGGAGTTAGGGCTGTGTGTGTGCTGAAGTGGGGGCGGGGACAGACTGCTGCAGCGATCCGTGCTGACACGTGGATTGGCCATATTGACAGGGTGGCTGTACCTTGGGGTACATCTGGCCCTTGGGGATGTAGGAGGTAACACGTGGCTCCTGTGAATGGCTCCTGTGCCCAAGTGCCTTGGCCTGTGGATAGGTTGAGGGGAGTGCCCCTGTGTGGTGGATGGATGTAGAGTGGGGTAGATGTAATTGTATGATATGTATGTTTCTGTGTGTACAAGTGCTTGCTCACGTGCCTATTGGGACAGGGAAAGTTGTGTCCTGGTTTATGTGTTGGGGGCGTGTGTGGCTGTGGGGTTCTGTGCACATGTGTGAGTCATGATAGCTGTGTGCTGTGAGGGTATGTTTACTTGTTTGGGTGCATAGGCTGGGGGTGTGTGTGTGGTTGAGATATATCTGGTTATGGGTTGGAGTCTGTGTTTGTGTGTATTTGTGTACCAGTTTGGGACATGTCTAGCTGTGGGATGAGGTGTGTGTGCACTTGCCTATCACCTGGGTCTGGGGTGTCTCAGGCAGGCACACCCACTGGTGCAGAAGGCCATTTCCTCCTGTGAACCGTGGGGTGAGCCTGGGGAAGAGCATTCCTCCACTGTCACTCCAGGCAGGTCTCAAGTGGGAGAATGGAAGGCGCAGCAAAATGGGGGTTGTGTTCTGTCACCGCCCACACAGGAAGCTTGCCCTGGGCCTCAGACGTATAGTGTCCTGGTTGAACCTGGGCTCAAATTCTGGCTCTGTGTGACCTTAGGCAAGTTTCATAACTTCTCTGTGCCTCAGTTTCCTCATTTTCTTTAAAACAAAAATGCTAATGTTATCTGCCTCACACATAGAGGATTAAGTATGTTAATGTGGAATAGTCCTGGCACCGAATAACTACTGTACAAGTATCAGTTCTCAGCAGCAGCAGCAGTAGCACTTTCTGAAGGCCTGGGACCTAGTCCTGCCTCCATTGCCACTTTTCTCCCTATGTGACCTTGGGCAAATTCCTTCTCTATGCTGGGCCTCAGTTACCCCCATAAAGGCAAGAGCTGGAACAAATAACCTCTCAGGTCCCCCGCCACAATCTCTGGGGCTCAGCTTCTGTGCTGCTTCCTAAGCAATGCAGGGCCACACCCAGGCTGCCTCCCCCAGGGAAAGCCAACCCCCAGTTTCTCTGTCTTCCACTCTCACGCCAGGAAAAGGATGGATGGAGAAATTTAATTTATATTGGTGTGCTTATGATAATGGCCACTTAGTGTCATGGTTGAAAATGCCAGCTCTGAAGCCAGACAGCTGGAGTTGAGAGTCTGGCTTCTCTCCTCTGTGACCTTGGGTAGATTTCTTAGCCTCTCTGTGCCCATTACTTCTTCTGTACATTTGGGATAATATTCATACCCATTTTGTGATGGTTTATTATGTGTCAACTTGGCTGGGCCACAGTGCCCAGATATTTGGTCAAGCATTATTCTAGATGTTTCTGCAAAGGTGTTTTCTAGGTGAGATTCATATTTAAATAAATCAGTGGATTTTGAGTAAAGCAGATTACTCTCCATAATGCAGGCTAGCCTCATCCAATTGGTTGAAGGCCTCTTAATGGAACAAAGACTGACACACACACACCCTCCCTCAGCAAGGAGGAGTTCTGCCAGCAGCTGCCTTTGGACTCAGCTGCAGCTCTTCCCTTAGTCTCTGCCGGCCTCCCCCATCACATTTTGGACTCTCAAACCTCCACAATCACATAAGCCAGTTCCTAAAATAAATCTCCCTCTGTCTTCAAGCTCTCTATGCACCTCCCATTGGTTCTGTTTCTCTGGAGAACACTGACTAATACACACCTCATATGGTTATAACGAAGATTAGATAAACTAATATATGTAAGCATGTTTAGAACACTGCCTGCCACCTAGAAAGCTCCCCTGGAAGTGCTAGATGCTGTTATCGAATGAGCATCTACTATGTGCGAGGACATTTTCACGTTTCCTCATTTGCTGATCAGAGCCACAGTACATGATGGGTGGTGGGATTCCCATTTTGCAAATGAGAAGCTGAGGCTCCGATGGGGTGACTGCCCACACACAGTCCTTGGCAAACTGAGGATTGGAGTCCATGTTTAGGGCTCTGTTCTGCTCTATAATGAACCTCACGAAGCTTCCCAGGGTCACTCCAGCCAGGGACATTTGCGCAGAGGAAATGGATGCCATTCTGGGGTTCACTGTAAATCTCTTACTGAGCATAGAGCTTAGACTTGAGGCAAGGCTTAGGGATGGTGGAGTCAACAGAAGAAGAAAGTTCTCAGGAACTTTCTGGAGGAAGCAAGGCTGGTGACCTTGAAAACTGAAGGACAGTTTGGCCTCAAATTTATCTGCATCTTTCTTCCCTCTATTGAACCTGCTCCTTCCAGCATCTTCCCCATCTCAGGAACTGGCACCATCCACCCCATTGCTCAAGCCCAACATCTAGAAGTCACTCGTTTTTTGTTTTTTGTTTCTTTGAGACAGATTCTCCCCTGTTGCCCAGGCTGGAGTGCAGTGGCATGACCTTAGCTCACTGCAACCTCCGCCTCCTGGGTTCAAGTGGTTCTCTTGCCTCAGCCTCCCGAGTAGCTGGGATTACAGGCACCTGCCACCACACCTGGCTAATTTTTGCAGTTTTAGTAGAGACAAGGTTTCACCATTTTGGCCAGGCTGGTCTCGAACTCCTGACCTTAAGTGATCCACCCATCTCAGCCTCCCAAAGTGCTGGGATGACAGGCGTGAGCTACTGTGCCTGGCTGAGAAGTCATTCTTGACTCTTGTCTTTTACCTGCCAACTCGAGCTGCAGAACCAACTGTCTCCCCACCTCCACCATCACATGCCTTAGAAACCCCTTCATCTCTCCAGGAAGACCCCACCTTCCTACCTGGTCTCACTGCTTCTCTATTAGACCTCTATCTGACATTCTCCACACCACAGCTAGAGTGAGCTCTTAAAAAATATTGATCAGCTGGGTGCAGTGGCTCACTCCTGTAATCCCAACACTTTGGGAGGCCAAGGCAAGAAGATCACTTGAGCCTAGGAGTTCGAGACCAGCCTGGGCAACAAAGCAAGATCCTCTCTCTACCAAAAAAATAAAAATAATAAATTAGCCGGATGTAGTGGTGCAGGCCTGTAGTCCCAGCTACTCAAGTGGCTAAGGTGGGAGGATCACTTGAACCCAGAAGTTTGAGGTTGCAGTGAGGCATAATTGTGCCACTGCACTACAGCCTGGGCAACAGAGAGAGACCCTATCTCTAAATAAATAAATAGGAAGGAAGGAGGGAGGGAGGGAAGAAGGGAAAGAAAGAAAGAAAATAACATACTTTCCTGCTTAAATTCCCCCAGGGACTCCATCCCACCCAGAACTAATTCCCTACCCTGGCTCACAGAGCTTGTGTGACTTGGCCCCTGGCTGCCTTCCTGACCTGGGCTTTACCCCTCTTGTCCCCGCCCATCACACTGCTCAGCCACACCAGTCACCTTCTGCTCCTTAAACGCATCAAACACATTCTTCTACGTGGCCTTTGTACTTGCTCTTCCCTCTTGCCTGTAATGTTCTTCCCTGATCTTTCACATGGCTGGCTCCTTAAGATTTCTGCTTAAAACTGTCACCTTCTTAGCGAAGCTGCCTGATCCTGCACTGTCCAGCCTCCCCCGCAGATTACTCCTCTTCTTCCCTCCTCATCGCTTCCCACACTCTAGTGATCCTGTGTGTTTGCTTGCTTCTTCTCTGTCTCCCACCACCTCAAGAGCAAAGACCTTGGCTGCAGGGCTTGCACCAGCCCCAGGGTCCACTGGTACTTTTTGAATGGGTGGGTGGATGGAAGAAAGCATGCATGAATGAGTGAACCTTGTGCAGGCTCAGGAAAGAAAGGTCATTGTGGCTTTAAATTGGGGATCATTGCCTGGAAAGAGGAGACATTTTTCTGGTTTGGGAGCAGAGAGCGGGAGGCTTTGGTAATCCAGAGAGAGCACATGCACAAAGGTAGAGGGATAGGACTAAGTGTGGCTTGTTGGGAGACTGACCTAACTGAGCATCAACTATGCCAAGCACTGCGCAAGGTGTCGAGGCTATAGGAACGTGCCTTTCTACCCTAGAGAAGTTTGCAGTCTGCTGTGGGTGATGAGCTATATAGAAGAATGTACTATTAGATGGAGGGAAGTGAGGGAGCAACATGGTTACCTGAGGAAGAGCAGTCCAGGCCAAGGGCACAGCAAGTGCAAAGGCCCTGGGGTGACGGTGTGTGCTGGCTGCTCATGATGCAGTAGGGAGGCCTGTGGCTGGGATGAAGAATAGTGGAGGGTAAAGTGGAAAGAGGTGAGAGCAGAGATGTAGCTGGCAGTGGGGAGGGAATAGGGTGAAGCAGCACCATGTAGGGCCTTGCAGGACATTCTAAGGATTTTGACTTTCATCGAGTGAGATGAAGATTCACTGAGGGGTTCTAAGTAGAGGCAGGGACATGATCTGGCTTCAATCATAGAATGATGGGGATTGACTAGGCAGGATGGGTTATGATGTGCAAGGTCGCAGGGGGCTGCTAGCCAGGTGAGATAGGATGTGGGCTCTGGCAGCAGTGGAGGGGGCAAGGCACTGCGGGTGTTGGACAGACTCTGATGATTGGATGTGGGCCTCAAGGGAGAGTTTGTGTGGGAGCTGGGAAACAACTGCATCAGGTTGCCTGGGGTCCCACTCTTAGGCCGACAACTTGCCAGTCATGTGACTTGGGCAAATCCCTTCGCCTCTGAGAACAGATTATCTCACCTGTTCTGTTGTATCAGCCAGGGTTCAACTAAAGGAACAGAACGAGTGGGAGGTATATATTAAGCGATGTAGTGTAAGGAACTAGCTTACACAATTGTGGGGGCTGGCTAGGTAAGTCTGAAATCCTATGGCAGGTCATGAAAGGGGGCAGGCTGGACCCCCAGGCCCAGGCTGGAGCTGCTGTCCGCAGATGAAATGTCTTCAGGGAAACCTTCACTCTGCTGAAGGCCTTTCAGCTACTGACTCAGGCCCACCCAGAGTGTTTTAGATAATTTCCCTTACTTAAAGTCATCCGGTCATGGTCTTTAATAACTATAAAAATACATTCCCAACCAGGCGCAGTGGCTCATGCCTGTAATCCCAGCACTTTGGGAGACCGAGGCAGGTGGATCACCTGAGGTCAGGAGTTTGAGACCAGCCTGGCCAACATGGCAAAACCCCGTCTCTACTAAAAATACAAAAAATTAGCTGGACGTGGTGGCGGGTGCTTGTAATCCCAGCTACTGAGGAGGCTGAGGCAGGGAGAATCTTGAACCCAGGAGGTGGAGGTTGCAGTGAGCCGAGATCATGCCATTGCACTCCAGCTTGGGCAACAGAGCGAGGCTCTGTCTCAAAAAAAAAAAAAAAAAAAATTCCCCAGCAACACCTAAATTAGTGTGTGATTGCATAACTGGGGACAGTAGCTTAGCCAGGTTGATGTGTACCACCTGACCATCATACCTGTCAAATGGGGTTGTTATAGTAGCAGCGACCTGGCTTGCCCCAAAGTGCACAGGGTTCAAGGAGGTGATGCCCTTTGAGGGGTTTTGTGCTGTGCCTGGCAGTAGGAAGGGCCTGTTGTTGTTAGCTGTTGTTGCTTCCCCAAGGTGGGCACTGCTCCAGGAGCCCCAGTGGGGCTGGAGCAGACTCCCCAGAGCAAGGGGTTCTCTTGAGACCTGCAAAGATCTCATGCCTCTCACCCAGTTCTCTAAAAAGCTGCATTTCGCCAGGGCACCTAGCCGGGAAGTTCTGAGATGCGCCACTAGGGGGCACAGGTGGCCACGGAGCCTCGGGATTGTCAGGGCCCTGGGGCTGTTGTCAGGAGAGCCTGAGGGTTCATCCAACCCAGGAGTCCTGTGGAAGCTCCAGCTCGTTTACATGCAGATGAGGTTGCTCAAGAGTGTTGTTACAAGCTTGTTCTCTTAGGCAAGTGTTGATGTTCCTCATGAAATCCTGTTTACTTTATTCTTCTCCTTGGAAAAGTGGTGAGCTCAGCCCCACTTCTATCTCAGTGATCATAAAACTGTATTATTAGCTGAGTTCATGAGATCAGCATTAATGTAGTTTCACTGCAGAGAAGCAGTGTTGCCTGGGGTTGACAGTTTAGGTTTTGGCAACAGGAAGACAGGGTTTGAACCCCAGCTCTGCCATTTGTTATTGCCGTTTTAATTATTGATAGATTAAGAAAGAAGGGGAGAAGTTGGTCTTTGAGTTGAGACATTTATTTCCATTCTGTGAGACCCAGGAGGGGACGACAGGGCGTAGACTCAGCCATTGCTGAGTATTCCGTTGAGTTAAAAACGTGGACTCTGGAGCCAGAATGCTTAGTTTCATGTCCCGGCTCTGCCTGCTGTGTGATCTTGGGCAAGTCCTTCTCTATGGCTCATTTCTTCACCTGTAAAATAGGGATAATCAGGTTTTTTTCATGGGGTTGAGGATTGAGTGAAAGTTCCTGAAGTGATAACTCCAGCACCGTGCCTGGCCTAGAGGAAGCACTAAGGGTGAAGCAGCTTTTACTATGAATAGGAGGCAGCACCGGAGGGGTTCGTCTCAAACAGGAGAGAGCGCTGGTTTCAGCTTTTGCCCTTTCTCCGGAGTGACTCCTCAATCAGACAGGGGGAAGGTGGGGTGTCCACTATCTCATCATTGCCAGGAGCCTCCCTGCAACAACCAGGGTAGGTGGTCTTGTCCCATTTTATAGACCAGGAAAGGGAAGTTAAGGAACTTGCCCCAGGTCAGCCAGACACAGGATTCTCTTTTTTTTTTTTTTTTTTTTTTTTTGAGACAGAGTTTTGCTGTTTGCCTGGGCTGGAGTGCAGTGGCACAATCTCAGCTCACTGCAACCTCCACCTCCTGGGTTCAAGTGATTCTCCTGCCTCAGCCTCCCAAGTAGATGGAATTATAGGCGTCCGCCACCATGCCCAGCTAATTTTTTGTATTTTTAGTAGAGATGGGATTTCACCATGTTGGCTAGGCTGGTCTTGAACTCCTGACCCCAGGTGATCCACCCACCTTGGCCTCCCAAAGTGCTGGGATTACAGGTGTGAACCACCATGACTGGCCTTTTTTTTGTTTTTGTTTTTGTTTTTGCTTTTTTGAGACAGGGCCCCAGGCTCTGTCGTTCAGACTGGAGTGTGGTGGCACAACCACAGCTCACTGCAGACTTGACCTCCTGGCTTCAAGCAATCCTCTCACCTCAGCCTTCTGAGTAGTTGGGACTACAGACATGCACCACCACGTCCAGTTAGTTTTTGTAGAGACAGGGTCTCGCTATGTTGCCCAGGGTGGTCTTGAACTCCTAGGATCAAGTGACTATCCTGCCTCGGCCTCCCAAAGTGCTGGGATTACAGGTGTGAACCGCAGCACACAGCCTAATTTTCCTTTTTATGAGTTTGGTTTTTAATAAAGTGAATTTGCTTAGAGCAAGACCCGCCCATAAGTTCTGGCCACTATTAAGGGTTAGTCTATGGCCGGGCGTGGTGGCTCGCTCCTGTAATCCTAGCACTTTGGAAGACCGAGGCAGTTGGATCTCCTGAGATCAGGAGTTCAAGACCGACATGATGAAACCTCGTCTCTACTAAAAATACGAAAAATTAGCCGGATGTGGTGGCCCGCACCTGTAATCCCAGCTACTCGGGAGGCTGAGGCAGGAGAATCACTTGAACCCAGGGGGCGGAGTTTGCAGTGAGCCAAGATGGTGCCACTGCACTCCAGCCTGGGTGACAGAGTGAGATTCCGTCTCAAAAAAAAAAAGGGTTAGTCTACCTGAAAAAGTTCCTCTATTCTCCTCCTTTTATAGAGGAAGCTTTTAAGAGAGGGATGGCCACTTGCCCAGGGTATGGGGTGGGCAGAACCTGGTCTTCTGCTGGTCAGCACTCCCACCAAGCCCTGGAACCAGGTGGAAGTGTGAGGAGGGCTGTCAGGTGGAAGTGTGAGGAGGGCTGTCCTGAAGCACAGGAAGCCGGTCTGTGAGGTCTCTGGTACCTCCCTTCCCCGCAAGGTAAATACCTCAGCAGGGCACTAGCAGAGCTGGGCTCTCTGGCCCTCCCTGGGCCTGCCCTGCCCAACCAGCAGCAGAGGGAGATGGAGGGAGACGAGGCAGTGGCAGCAGGCCTCCTCCCTCCAGAGCGCAGGCTTTGTGAGGCTTTCACTTCTCTTAATAGTTTGTTGGCTCCTGGCCCCATGGAGTGCACAGCTCAACTGAGAAGGTGGGACCTTTTCAGGGATTCATTAATACTAGGCAGGATGGCTTGGGATCTGCAAGGTGGAAGGAGGGGTGGCTGGCCATTGTGGGAGAGGCTGGAGATGGCCCTGAAGGACAGAGGAGATTGTGATGGGCTGAAGGGTGTGGGTAGGGCACCCTGCAGGAGGGACAGCCAGGCATGAGTAAGGATGTGGAGCTGGAATGAGTTTTTGCTTTTTTGTTGTTGTTGTGGGTTTTTCTGGTGTTAATTTTTAACATGGGGTCTTACTTAATGGCCCAGGCTGGAGTGCAGTGGTGCGATCAGGGCTCACTGTGGCCTTAAATTCCTGGGCTCAAGCGATCTTCCCACCTCATCCTCCCAAGTAGGTGGAACCACTGGTGTGCCACCATGCCTGGCTTATTTATTTATGTAGGAGACAGTCTTGCTCTGTCACCCAGGCTAGAGTGCAGTAGCCCAATCTCGATTTACTGCAACCTCCGCTTCTCAGCTCTCGTGCCTCAGCCTCCCAAGTAGCTGGGACTACAGGCACCCGCCACCATGCCTGGCTAATTTTTTTGTATTTTAGTAGAGATGGGGTTTCTCTGTGTTGCCCAGGGTCGTCTTGAACTCCTGAGCTCAGGCAGTCCACCCGCCTCAGCCTCCCAGAATGCTAGGATTACAGGTGTGAGCCACCATTTCTAGCCTTTATTTTTTATTACTGATTTGTTTATTTATTTGGTAGAAACAGGGTCTCGCTTTGTTGCCCAGGCTGGTGTTGAATTCCAGGCCTCAAGTGATCCTCCTGCCTCAGCCTCCTAAAGTGTTGGGATTACAGACGTGAGCCACCACACCTGGCCTGGCATGAGCTTGAAAAGTCTGAGGGAAGGAGAGGGGCCCATCATCCCGGCAGGAGCGAGGGTAGAGCAGGAGATGAGTCTGGAAAGGAAGTCATGGAGAGTGTATCATAAGCAAGACCTTTTAAAGCAATTTCCGAGGCGTTCTTGTCCTCCTGAGCTACCCATCCTCAGTGAGAAAGGCCCAGGCTACTTAGAGAATGTGGCAAAGATCTTCCTGCCACCCTCCAATGGCCCATTTCAAAAGTGAGCGTGTCTTTTGAAGGCGTCAGCTTCTGGCACATCTTACCCAGGCTCGTGGTTTGTTTTGTTTTTTTTTTTTTTGAGACGGAATCTGGCTCTGTTGCCCAGGCCGGAGTGCAATGGCACGATCTCGGCTCACTGCAACCTCTGCCTCCCAGGTTCAAGCAATTCTCCTGCCTCCGCCTCCTGAATAGCTGGGATTACAGATGCATGCCACCATGCCTGGCTAATTTTTTGTATTTTTAGTAGAGATGGGATTTCACCATGTTGGCCAAGCTGGTCTTGAACTCCTGACCTTGTGATCCACCCTCTTCGGCCTCTCAAAGTGCTGCGATTACAGGCATGAGCCACCGCAGCCAGCCTCTGGGCTGGTGTTTTTAAACAGTTTTTATTTGCATGGCTCTGGGTCCTCAGCCTGATTTTACCCTTGGAGTTCAAAGCCATCTAATTGGAAATGAAAGGAGCCTGATTGATTTGGCAACTCTGCGGCCAGCCCACGTGGCGGTGATGCGATGGAGAAAGTGAGTGCTGCTCACGTGTGTGTCTGCGCCACGCTCCCTGGCTCGAGGTGGCTGAGCCCCACTGCCCAATTGGCCTGGACACACAGAGCAAGGCGGAGCGGGGAGGGGGCAGGGGCGTGGCAAGCGCTCCCCGGATCCTGGAATCCCCAGAAGGAGGCAGCTAGTTGGAAGCCTCAATTCCCTCAGCCCTGCTTGCACAGCTGCCTCTGCCCCCTCACTCCTATCACCCAGTTTCTCCTGCTAGGAAAATAGGAAGTTGGTCCAAAAGGGAACTGCATGGGCAAAAGTGAACTGCAGAATCTTGAGTCTGCTCATTGAAATACAGATTCCCAGGGCCTGCCCAGACCTACTGAATCAGCGTGTCTGGAGTGACGCCCAGGTATCTGCATTTTTTCATTTTCTTAAGAGACAGGGTTTCACCATATTGCCCAGGCTGGTCTCAAACTCCCAAGCTCCTCAAGCAGTCCACCCACCTCGGCCTCCCAAAGTGCTGGATTATAGATATGAGCCACCGCATCTGGCCGATCTGCATTTTGTGTGTGTGCGCGCGCGCGCGCGGGCGCGTGTGTGTGTGTGATGGAGTCTCACTCTGTCACCCAGGCTGGAGTGTGGTAGTGCGATCTTGGCTCACTGCAACCTCTGCCTCTTGGGTTCAAGTGATTCTCCCGCCTCAGCCTCCTGAGTAGCTGGGACTACAGGTACCCTCCACAACACCTGGCTAATTTTTGTATTTTTAGTAGAGACAGGGTTACACCATGTTGGCCAGGCAGATCCTCCTGCCTTGGCCCCCCAGAGTGCTGGGATTATAGGCGTGAGCCACTGCACCCAGCCAATCTGCATTTTTGACAGGCTTCCCAGGGCTTCTGAAATCAAGCTAGGGTTGCGTCTTTGATGGGTCATCCATGTGGGTTGATGGCCATGTTCAGGGTAGACAGGCAGCAAGATGGCAGGGGGATTGGCATCCCCAAGATGAATGGTGCCTGGATGATGCCTGGATGGGACTGCTCCTTGAAGAACATTCAGTTGTCTCCTGAGATGGGAGGGTGGGCTACGGGGGCAGGAATGGAGGACAGGACTCCCAAGTCTCTTACCCCTGAAACACAGCCCAGCATTTGGAGTCTTGGAGAATGGCTATCTGAGGGGCCTACCCAGCCCTGACCTGATGAGAGACACCATCTGCCTTTCATTTCCAGAAGGTTTTGTTGCTGGGGGAGGAAATACCCAAATTGTGGTCCAGCAAAGAAATGTTTCCCACCGTGGCCCACGGCCAGAAAGTCACTGGTTCCTCACTTCAGCGTTTGGTTTATAGACACGTGACAGAAGAGGCAACCTTTCCAGTGATGACAAAGCCGGCGGAAAAACAAAGACATGGGGGAAATGTGCATTACTTATTGTTTTAGCACCTTTTTCTAATCTAAAGTTACTTTTAGAAACAGAAAAGTGGTGTGTGTAACTTAGTCGGCACGTGGCATTTTTAGAATTGGTCTGTTTCGAAGTGTGAAAGAAAAAAATATTTTTTTCCTGAGTTTCCATAAAACTTAGAAGTTTACAGGAAAATCATGCTTTTCCCTGACTCTCTTCTTTCTGCCTTGCCCCCTGGATTTCATCATTGCCATGTGTGGCCCAAGCAGCCAGCTTGAAAATGTATTTTGTTATTTATTGTTAGAATAAAGTCTTGCACCAAGACAACTGGGTCATGTTAGAAAGTCCCTTTGCTTCCTTGTGCTCAGAAACAGAGTTTGCTGGGTGTGGTGGTTCACGCCTGTAATCCCAGCACTTTGGGAACCTGAGGTGGGAGGATCACTTGAGCCCAGGAGCTTGAGACCAGCCTGGGCAACCTAGTGAGACCCCTTCTCTACAAAAATAAAAAATTAGTCCAGTGTGGTGGCACACACCTGTGGTTTCAGCTACTCGGGAGGGCAAAGAAGGATTGTTGAGCCCAGGAGGTTAAAGCTGCAGTGAATGGTGATCGCACCACTGCACTCCAGCCTGGGCAATAGAGCAAGACCCTATCTCAAAATAAAACATAAAGAAGGCAGGCCGGGTGTGGTAGCTCACGCCTGTAATCCCAGCACTTTGGGAGGCCGAGTTGGGCGGATTACTTGAGGTCAGGAGTTTGAGACCAGCCTGGCCAACATGGTGAAACCCTGTCTCTACAAAAATACAAAAATTAGCTTGGTGTCGTGGTGGGCGCCTGTAATCCCAGTTACTCAGGAGGCTGAGGCAGGAGAATCACTTGAACCGGGGAGGCAGAGGTTGCAGTGAGCAGAGATGGCGCCATTGCACTCCAGCCTGGGTGACAGAGCGAGACTCTATCTCAAAAAATAAATAAATAAATAAAATAAAAGAGAAGGCAGAGCTGGCCATCTCTTCACCATCCTCCCCCTTGTCACTGCTTCTGGATCCCTGTGAGTAAGGGTGTCCTCAGCTCAGCCCTGGAGCACCTTAGGCTCTTTGAGTGTTGGAAGAGGATCAGGTCTGGGTACATAACTTCCCAGCTGGAGGGTCAGATCCTTGCTATGCTAAGCAGTGATGACAGGCTGGTGACAACAGACCAAACTAAGACTGTCTTTGTATGTTGGCAATGGCCCCCCCAGGGGGACCTTGCAAATATGCAGATTTTAACATCCCTCATTTCAGATCTGTCAGGGTGGGACAAGTTCTTCTGGCCTGTGAGCTCCTGCCATACACAGTCCTGGAGCCTGCTGGCTCTGAGTTGCTCATTTGCATTTGGCCACAGGGTTCTGGTCAGGGGAACTCCCCTCTCCCCCACCCTTCCTCCATGACTTGGCTCGCTCCTTCTGCTCCAAGCCCATGGCTCAGTGGACACTAGGCAGCTGTCTCCTGGGGCGCAGGGAGGGTACCCTTGAAGGCTAGTGGATAGGAAGCAAGTTTCTGAATGGACACTGGTACTAGGTCTTCCTTCTGGGATGAGGTGGCTCCTTCCAGACTAAAGCTGGCTTTTCTGGCTCTGGCTGTGCCTGCCTTCTAGGTTTGTCTACTGCACATCTGACAGGTCTTGTGATGGAACCTCAGTGATACCAAGATGGAGACAATGAGGTCCTTGTCCTCAGAGGACTCCTGGCCAGATGGGGGAGGTGGGCAAGGAAACAGCAGTTTTAAAACAGTGTCACAAGTGCTGCACGGGGCTGGGGCCACGCCATGTAGGGGTCTCTGAGCAAGGCACACAGACCTGCATGGCTGCTGAGCCTAATTTACTGAGCTTTCTAAATGGGTCAGCTGGGTGAAGAGGACAGTACCTGTGCAGAGGACATCTGTTCAGTGGTAGGAGCCACTGTCCCCATGTGCCACGTCTTCCATGTGGGGCATCTCTTTCATAGCCCTGGAGCACCTACTGTGTGGTTCTGTTTCAGAGGAGCTATTGCAGATTGCTACTTGTTCAATAAAATTATTGAAGTTTAAAATGTTCTAATTAATATGTGTTGGCCCAGGAGCCACCTCCCACCTTTTCCTTATTGTTAGGAAGAGCCCAGCCGTTTCCTGGGAGACAAAGGAGGCCATGAATCTTGACTCCTTGTGATTCCAGGATCACTGTCCTGCAGCCAGGTTCCTGACACTAGGAGATGCACATGAAATATCCTCCATCAGGGAAGGAATCTCCCTCCAGTGAGAACTCCCGAGAGGCTGATGATTGACCAGGATTGACAGGACAGGGAAAGAGCAGCCCTTTCACATCCCAGGTCAAGACCAGTGAGGCCCAGAGAAGTGTCCCAACCTTCCCACGCTGGGAAAGGCAACCAGGGCCAGGGCTGAGCACTGAGCACCAGGCCTCCTTCCTGGCTTCTCCCCTCTCTGGAAGCTTAGCATTAGACAGAGCCGCCGAGCTGTGGTGCTGAAGGGTTAA
Organism: Homo sapiens; assembly: GCF_000001405.40. Classification (NCBI taxonomy): domain Eukaryota; kingdom Metazoa; phylum Chordata; class Mammalia; order Primates; family Hominidae; genus Homo; species Homo sapiens. The sequence goes on along the minus strand of NC_000010.11, from coordinate 103,678,451 downwards.
CTCGGGGCTCCCCAGAGAGCCGCACACTCCCGACCCTCTCATCTTCCAGGCCCTCTCAGCTGCAGCCTTCTGGGCATAGCTGGGTCACGTGAGAGCCAGATGTGGGGATTTCCCAAGCAGTGGTGTGTGCGTGCGCACTGCGTGCATGCACAGCTCTGTTTACGTGGCATCTCAGCGCTCAGGGGATTGGTCTGGACCCACGCAGAGGAGGGGAGGGATGGGGTAAGGAAAGGCTCAGGGGCTCCCAGCAAACACCATGGGAGGCTGCACCAAGCCCTGCTCCCCCCAGACATTACACATGAACGGGTCGTTCCTGCTCCGGCTCCTGTTTCCTGTAGCGTCCATCCTGCCAGAGACTGTACTGCTTAGGGGTAATTTTTCTAAAAATCTCTTTGAAGGGCATTAAAGCAGATGCTGGGAGCCAACGCCCTTCAGGGTGTTCTGCAGGCTCGGAGGCCTGCACGGGAGCCACTGTGCCCAGCACAAGCCAGGCCTGTATGCCTGTATGTGGTTCCGGAGGCCAAGCCTGGACTAGAGAGGGCAGAGCCGTGGGTATCAAGAGGGTCCTGGGGCAGTGGGGTAGCCGGGCCTCAGTTTTCCATGCACCCTTGGGCTTGAGAGCAGTGAGTATTCATCTTTCCATCAGCCACTGAGGGTTAATTGGGCACCTCCTGCATTCAAGGTGTTGTGGGGTGCTGACAGGGATAAGGCCTTGAAGGAACTAAAGGTCTGATTGAAGAGACTCATAACAAATCTTTAATAAGCACCTACTATGCGCTATGCGCTTGCTAGGACTATAGCCCTAACCAGACGTTTGGAGCCAGTGGGAACAGTCAGTGAACAAAGATCCTGCCCAGGGCATGATAAGGGAGACAGAAAACCTTGAAAAGTGGGTGTCCTCAACCTCAGTCCAGGAATGAATTCTCCTCCTACCCCTGACCCCCCATCCCCACCCCTGTCTTGCACCAGTGGATGGCAGCGTCCAGCCAGATGTCCCTGAGGCTCCGTGAGCCCTACCCCAAAGATGGGTCCAGTTATACCTTCAAGGCCTCCAGGACTCAGCCCTGCCGTCTCCTCCCTCAGACCTTCCGGGACCCAGCCTGTCTCCCCAAACCTACATGACTCCTGAAGCAGACAGGAATGCTGGGGACGGTGTCTGTGGTTGTGTGTCTGATGCTTTGAGACAGAGGGTGGAGAGTCAGATGGTCTCAACCAGGGGCCGTTGATGCTCCCGAAATAGTTGGCGGTTGATTCATTGATAATCCGATAGCAAGAGTCCAGTCTGGAGAGAAGGAGACATTCCACATTTTGTTGTCCGGGGAGGGGAATGTCTGTCCTGAGTCCGTTGCTATTGACTCCATCACTCACTCGCGGCTCTCAGGGAGACTGAGCCAGGGAGGAGGCGGATTGCAAGACTCGGGGCTGGAGACCAGCGACTGCTGACTTCATCCCACTGCCCAGCCTCTCTGCTGCTCCTTCTCTGTGTGAACGCAAATACTGGCTTTGGCTCGGGCTTCTGGGGGAGCTGGAGGGTGGGGGAATTGGAGGGAGGATCTCCCAGTAAGTGAGGGAGGACCACCAAGGCAGGCCACCCCAGGGAGGGAGGTGGCTGGGATCCTGGAACTCAGAACAAACTTGAGTTTGTCTCTTCTCTGCACACAAATGCCCTGGGGTGGGGAGAGGTGAGAACCTGAGAACTGAGGGGGAGGCCGCAACCCAAGGGGCTGCCATGGGTTGGGCAGCAGCTGCTGGGATCAGAGAGGCTCTGAACCTGCCAGCCTCCCTGGCCAGCACCCCTCTGTCCACCCACGGCACCTCTCACTAACCCAGCACCTATCTTTAACCAGGAAGCTTCCGGTCTTCTCAGCAGGGTGGAGGGAGGTGACAGAACTACCTGCTACTCCCTGCCAGGGCAGCCCCTTCTAGGCAGCCTCAGTGCTCCTAGGGCATCCTTGGCTTCTCCGTCCACACCCACTTAGGCTGGGCTGACCCTTCTGGCCCCAGGCTTGGCCTAGGCAGGCACCCTTGGACTTAGTCCCTAAGGGGCTGTGGAGGGTCTCCAGGCCCAGCCCCCACTGCACCCCATCCCCCGCCTGAGCAGGGAAACTGCTCCTTGACTGCATAACCCAGGGCCAGAGGGTCAATAGTGCATTCCTACCCTGGGTTGGGCTGCCCCCACACGTGTTCTGGATTCCAGGGAATGAGGCAAGTCCTTTCTTGCTGCATTTACGAAAAGCAGCAGAAATAAAGAAAGCCTTGGCCAGTGGCCAGGGAGGATCAGAAAATGACATCCCCCATGAGGACCCTTTGTTCCCAATTCCTGGCCAGCCTGCCTGGGCTTAAGTCTGATGCCATCACTTCTTGCTGTAGGGCCTTGGGAAAGAACCTTAACTTTTCTTTTTTTTTTCCCCCGAGACGGAGTTTCGCTCTTGTTGCCCAGGCTGGAGTGCAATGGCGCGATCTCGGCTCACTGCAACCTCCGCCTCCCGGATTCAAGCAATTCTCCTGCCTCAGCCGCCCAAGTAGCTGAGATTACAGGCATGCACCACTATGCCTGGCTAATTTTATATTTAGTAGAGATGGGGTTTAACATGTTGGACAGGCTGGTCTCGAACTCCTGACCTCAGATGATCCACCCACCTCAGCCTCCCAAAGTGCTAAGGTTACAGGCGTGAGCCACCGCACAAGGCCAGAGCCTTAACTTTTCTGTGCCTCACTTTCCTCATCTGTAAATTACAGACTGTTGTGAAGATTAAACAAGAAAATGCTCATAAATGTTTAGCACAGCACCTAGCATGAATGTTAAGTAAGTGGAAACTGGTATAATTATTCTAGCTCCAGCCCTACGACTTATTTGCTGTGTGATCTTAGGCAAGTCTCTTCTCCTCTCTGGTTCTGAGACCCTAAATAGTCCTTCCAGCCTGTGGGGGTACCACCAAGAAGCCAAAGATGTAGCAGAGAGAGGGGACCTGGAGACAAACAATGGCCTGGCTTTCCATTTGGGATTTGCTTTCTGTCTTTAAGAAGATATCCATCAGAAATTCAGCTCTACTAGATTTCTTCTTGAGTACTTCTGTTTATTTAGCTCAGTGGCCCCAAACCCTCAGGTCTTGGGCATAGCTAGCTACATAATTTGCAGGATCCACTGCAAAATGAAAATGAAGACTCTCTCATTCATAAATTATTGATGAAACCCCTGACAGAAGAGCATTAAATCAGCTGCAGGGACCCTTCTAAACCTGGGACCCTAGGCCACTGCCCAGATCACACCTCCACGAAGCCAGCTCTGCCTTGGAGGCTCTGAGTGTAGGAGCAGGCCTGGGGTCCGAGCTGCTGCAATAACAGTATTCACCCCTCGCCCTCCAGTGCAAGGGCACTCTTTTTTCATGCCATGGGTATCTCTGACCAGCTGGCTGCTGCTTATCCTGGAACAAGCTTTTGTAGAGTTGCCCACATCAGAAGCAGCTCACACACTAAACAACTGCCCCCTGGACCAGACTTCCACCCAGGTGTGCTTGGATTGGAAGTCATACCTGAACTATTTGTTTTCTGTCATCTTAATTGGTGTTTGTTTTTGTTTTTTTGTTTTGTTTTATTTTGTTTTGTTTGTTTGTTTGTTTGTTTGTTTTTAAGAGACAGAGCCTTGCTCTGTTGTCCAGGCTGGAGTGCGGTGGCGTGATCTCAGCTCACTGCAAGCTCCACTTCCCAGGTTCAAGCAATTTTCCTGCCTCAGCCTCCTGAGTAGCTGGGATTACAGGCATACACCACCACGCCTGGCTAATTTTTGTATTTTTAGTAGAGACGGGGTTTCACCATGTTGGCCAGGCTGGTCTCAAACTCCTGACCTCCTGATCTGCCTGCCTTAGCCTCCCAAAGCACTAGGATTACAGGCGTGAGCCACCGCGCCCAGCCTGGTGCCATGTTTTTTAAGACTTTTAAAGAATTACGAATTGGCCATCCGTGTTTTTCCCAGATGACATTCACGTGGCTTTCACTGTTACGCCTCAGCTTCTGCTGCTCTGAGCATGACAACCTGTTTCAGGTCCTCTAAAGTGAGTATCACATAGGCCAAACTACTTTGTAAAGGACCGATAACCCTGTTGGGCTGTCGTAAAGATATGAGTTGCTGTGTGCCTATACAGTAGTGCCTACCACAAGGAAGTGCCCTGTTCATGGCAACAATGACAATTACTGTTACTACTGAATAATAGGACTAGCATCTCTTAGGCCCTAATTATTTGATGGCCTGAAAGTGGTGGCCGAATTTCCTGGTTTCCTAACCAGAAAGGAAAAGAAACGTGGAGTCTGCAGGAAACCTAAGAAATCTAGCCCTGTACAAAGTTTAGTTGTATGGGAGAGGAAAGGCTTAAACTGCAGCAGTTATTTAGAAACCAGTTCAAAACTGCAATGAGGTAAGAACAGTATTCCCAAAGAGAGAGAGGGCTTGAGTGCTCCAGTGTGTAGAGATACTGAAGGATGGAAGGGCATGGAGAAGACAGGGAGGTGTTCATTCCATCGGGCCCCTGGCCTGTCACCCCTCCCCTCCCCAGAGCCCAGGGTGGGGATGTGGAAAGAAACTGACAAGGCTAGTGACCCTGCCCTGGTCCCCTGAGCCTGTGGTTCTCTTTCATTCTCCGTGGAGTTTTCGCTGTTGGCTGTACTCATTCTGGTCTCTCCCACCTGGGCTCATGGCCCACTCTGGATTTATTAGTTTGGATGGATGGAACTTGCTTTACACCAGGGAAGCATTCCTGGAAACATGGTTTCAGACTAGATTTGGATAAATTCAACCCAATTCTCACTGCTCTGGAGTTACTCAAGGTTAAAAGAAGCCTTACTATGAATCTATAAGTGCCCTTTTAAAAATTATTTTATACTTATTTATTTTGAGACAGGGTCTCACTCTGTTGCTCAGGCTGGATTGCAGTGGCGTGATCATGCCTCACTGCAGCCTCGACCTCCCTGGGCTCAAGCAATCCTCCCACTTCAGCCTCCAGAGTAGCTGGGACCACAGGTAGGCACCACCACGCCTGGCTAGATTTTTATTTTTTGTAGACATGGGGTCTCACTATGTTGCCCAGGCTGGTCTCCAACTCCTGGGCTTAAGCAATCCTCCCACAGTGGTCTCCCAAAGTGCTGGGATTACAGACGCGAGCCACCATGCCCAGCCTTTATTATTATTATTTTTAAGACCAGTCGAGTGCAGTAGTGAGATGGGGAGAAAGAGTGGAAGAAGAAGTTTGACGTGTAATTCACTGGGAACAGTTGAGATACTCACCATCTTCAGAGCAGCCAAGGACCCTCTCCTAACCTAGGCCTATCCAGTTGTTCCTATGAAGTCCTTGGATGTATGTGTGCTGGATGGGGTGGGTTGTCCTTAAAGTCAGGGGCACCTGCAGTGTTGTTCTTTGGTTTCTCAGCATCACCTGGGCCTGTCAAGAATCAGGTTCAGCATCTAAGTACCTTTGGGTCCCTGTATTTGGCCGGAATCTCCAGGCCCCTGGTTTTCTCCTGGCCTGGCTTCTTGCTGGTATTGCGAGCAATGCCAGGACGGACAGCCATGGCAGGGACATGAGCACTATGGGCTGTGTGAGGGAGGGACATGGCATACCTGCCATTTCCAGGAACCTACTGCTTTTGCTTTCAGCTTTGTCCCTACCACTTACTCCTCTTTGTGTCCAGAGGCCTAATTCCCAGCCCTCCAAAACCTTTCCCAGGCATTAGGCCATTTCAGTCTTAACCCTGCAAAGAAGGCAGGGCAGGTGTTTTTTCCCCGTTTACAGAAGAAGGAACAGATGTTCAGAGATTTCCTAGCTATCCCAGAGTCAGCGAGCTAAGTGGCAAAGCCAGCACAAGAACCAAGGTTGCTTTTATTCTTGCTCCAGATCTCTGCCCTCTGTGCCTCCTGAATCATCCGCTATTTTGGACTCGGGTTGCCTCAATTGAGCCTGCATTCAAGTGGTTTTCCCAGGAAGGACAGTCCGTTTCTCTGGAAAGATTCATTTCCGCTGTGGTCCCCTTGTGTTATGGAGACTACCAGTTTTCTGCTGGGAAGGTCTAGAACGTCAGACAACTGCCTCAGGCAGGCCATCAGACAAGAGCAATAGGCCCAAATGCTTAACTGTACAGATGTGAGCACTGAGGCCCGGAGTATTTATTTATTTATTTAGACAGAGTCTCACTCTGTGGCCCAGGCTGGAGTGCAGTGGCACGATCTTGGTTCACTGCACCTTCTGCCTCCCGGGTTAAAGCGATTCTCATGCCTCAGCCTTCCGAGTAGCTGGGATTACAGATGCTCACCATCATGCCCGGCTAATTTTTGTATTTTCAGTAGAGACGGAGTTTCGCCATGTTGGCCAGGCTGGTCTCGAACTCCTAACCTCCAGTGATCCACCCACCTCGGCCTCCAAAGTGCTGGGATTACAGGGTGAGCCACCGCCCAGCCAAAGCCCAGAGTCTTTAAGCCACTTGCCCAGGGCCACACAGTGTGTTCTCAGCAAGAGCCAGGGTGCAGGTTTCCAGTCTGATGCCCTTTACTTTCTAGCAGGCCAGTGACCCTGCTCTGTAGGGCCGTTGGTTCTGGATCACCAGAGGAGATGAAGGCAGGGACAGGAGGAAGGCAGGAAGCAGTTGGTTCATGTCAGTCACAGCTGCTCACTTGGCTGCGCCCCCCGCCTCCCCCCCACTGCTCCTTCACCCCTGTCCCTCTGTCTCTCCAACTCCCCGTCTTCCCAGCCCTTAGCCAACAGCCTTGTCTGCCTCCTGGCTGGAGGGCCAGGGTTTGTGAGCCAGGGGCTCTCCTCTGTTCATTGTAATGAGGGAGAAGGGGTCCTTCCCACCCCTCGAGAGCTTGCTAGGGTGGGCTAGAGAGAAGGGGGAGGGACTTTGAGTGGGAGCAGCAGAACTGGATTAATTCTGCAGGTCAGGGGACTGGGAAATAAATCATGTTTTAGAGAGAGGTTTCTTTTTAAAAAGACAGGCTTACTTCTGGTCTGCTTCCCATTTTCCTTTACGGAGAGATACGGGAAGGCCTGCTTATGGGGACTGAAGGGGACAGGCATGAGCTCCGGTTGTCTGCTCACAGGCCATGTCCGGCCCCCTTTTCGTTTTATAAATAAAGTTTTATTGGAACACAGCCCACTCATTCTTTTATGTATTGCCTGTGGCTGCTTTTGTACTATAAGAATAGAGTTGAGTAGTCTCAACAGAGACCATCTGGCCCCCAAAGCCTACAGTGTTTATTCTCTGGCCCTTTGCAAGCACCTGTCCAGCAAAGCAGGTCTTCTTGGGTTCTCCAGGCCCAGGCAAAACAGCTTTCCTTGGCTCACTGAAAGAGGTTAGTGCTTTCAGGTCTCCTTATGAAGAACCCAAAAGGAACCCAAAGTAGACAAAGTGGTCAAGCAAACTGAAGTGGAGAGTGGCATGGAGAGAGGGCCAGATGGCGCTGGGATGGGCCTGGTGCTAGGCCTGTTCAGGGGCATTTCAGGGCCTTGCAGCAGGCAGCCCACTTGGCCACATCTCTGGGATGCAGCAGCAGGGAGTTGAAACTTCAGCAAGATGTGGGCACCAGGCAGCAACACCCACATTCTGAACCCAGACCTCCTTGGCCATACCAGCTTAAATCCTTGTGGAGGCCCTTGGTGTGTCTACCTTGTCTCAGCCCTACCAGGGCTTGAAAGCTGGGCCAGCATTGCTCCTGCTCCCCAAGGAGGCTGCTGACTGCTGAACCTGGGGAGGGGCTGTAACCTCAGATTTTGCCCTGTTTGTCTCTGGGTGAGGTCCCCTGGAGTCCCTCTACCTTCCATTCCAGATAACCCGGTGTCTGAGAGTGACTGTGGGGCAGTATCTCTAACAGGGTGCCAGCTTTTTCTTGGTGCATCCAGTATTGAACACTGTCTAGTTCTTGTCCTTGCAGGCCGGGGGCATGATTTTCTGGGTGTCCCCAGAGCTGATTGAACCCAGGGAGGCAGGCTTATGCTAACCACGTTCATGGGAGTTACTGCCAGTGGCGGCTAACCATTATCAAGCACTGACTATGTAGTAGGCACTGCACTGGGCACTATTACATATTATCTAATTTAATTCTCACAGCAACCCAGAAGGTAAGTATATCACATCATCCAGATTTTTACAAGTTCAGGAACAGGCTCAGAGAGGGTAAGTCACTTCTTCAAAGGAGCAGAGCCTATATTTGAACCCAGGCAGTCAGACCCCAAAGGCCTTGCTAGACCGCTCCACCAAAGCCCCACTCTGCTAATTTACAATGAGAACCAGAAGGGGGCCAGGCTTTCTAGTTCTACACCGGGAGCCAACCTGCAATTGGAAGGTGGCTTGCTGAGTGAGGGAAAGAGTCAGGTGCTTTAAATAGAGAGCAGCATCAAGCTCTGATTAGCTGAGGTGTGTGTCCCTGCAAGAGATGGACACTGCTGTACTAGCTGTGTGATCTTGGGCAAGTTATTTAACCTCTCTGGTTCAGCTTCTTCATCTGCAAAATGGAGGGGATAATAGTACTCATCGTTGTAGGTTTGTTGGGAAAAATACCAGTTACTATATGCAAAGTGCTCAGCAGGATGCTTGGCAAAGGGGAAATGCTGTATAAGTGTTTGCTGCTGTTTATCAGTACTCTCTGAATGGGTCAGGCTGCTCTCCTGGCAAGCGCCTGGTGGGCAGTGCGAGAGTTTGTCTCTCAGACCTGCAATTCAGCGTTGCCTTTTAATTGTCCCCACTGCAGCCAGTGCTCTGCTCCTTTGGAGGTGATGAGCAGCCCAGCAGAGAAAGCAGCAGCCTGGGGATGCCACCAGACCTGGTTCCATGTCTGAGAGTCCTCCCCGGTAAAATGGGGCTAAACATGCCTACCCACTTGATGGGGTTGCCATGGGGACTAAATGAGTCACTGTAGTTCGACTGCATCAATGCTTTTGACATGGTGGCCCTCTTCTCTTCTATTCTAGAAATACGCAAACCATTGATTAGACCAAGAGCTTTCTGCCTCATTCAGATGTTAATGGTATCACATCTCAATCATAAGTTCTTTATGCTGCTTTGATTTTGCTCCTTCCTCTTGGCAGGAGGACAACTCTAAATCCCATTTCACAGGTGAGGAAACTGAGGCCCAGATTGGACACCACTGTCTGAGCCTGGAGTAGAGCCCTCATCTCTTCTGGTCACTCAAGGTCCCTGTCCTTCTGCTTTGGGGTTGGGGAGCAAGACTCCCTAAAACGATGCTCCCTCTGCTCTGCTGGGGCCGATCTGTCTTCCTCAGTGGGTGGGGCTGCAGTAAGGGCTGGATGACACATCAGGGTCTAGTGGGTGTGGTGCCCCCAGGCCTAGAGATGGGTCCTGGGTGCTCCAACCCTGACATTTGAGGTTCTGGGTCCAGGCCACTGAGCCCGCTGGCCTTTGAGGATCCTTGCAACCATCAGGCCCCGTGGGACCCAGCCACCCACATGGCCAGAAAGGAAGGGTCAGGCTGCCTTGTACAGGGCTGTGATAACCACGGGCCCCGTTCCAGGGAGGATCGTGTGGGATTCTCTGTGCTCCGAAGGAGTCCTGCATTTCGGCGGACACCTCATTATCCCTGTCCCAGCCGGCTGTGTCCCAGCGCCTCTGTAATCACACGGGCCCACGCCCAACAGCCAGCCCAGGGCCAGGAAATCACTCTCCTCCCTCCTCCGCCTTCCGCCCGCGGCTGGCCGAGCGCGGCGCCTGCAGCCACTCACTGTGGACCTCCTGCCTGCCTAACCGTTCTCTCTCTCTGGTTCTCCTCTCCTGCTGCCGCTTGCTCTCGGGGACTCGGAAGTGTGGCTGTCCAGCTGGGCTGAGTCGCCCAAGAAGGACGTGACAGGTACTGCCCAGCGTGCATGCATGTGTGTGAGCATGTGTGTTCCAGGTCCGTGTGCGCGGGAGCCGGTGCCTGCAGGCCCTGCGCATGCTTCCCTGTGATGTGCAGCAGCTGTTTGCCAGCATGGCAGGGGGTCTGCCACTTGCTGTGCCCTCTGCCTCCCCAGTCAGATCTGAACATGGGGCCCTTTGCTGAGTGATGACCACGTAGCTCAGCGTGTAAGCACGTGTGCTCTGGACCCAGGGTGTGTGGGTCTGAATTCCAGCTCTGCTACGTCCTGGCCATGCTGCCTTGGGTGGGGTGTGTAACCTCCCTAAGGGGAAGCCATCCCACCTCGTGGGGAGCCTGGCACACAGAAAGTGCTCAGGCAGTGGTGGGGCTTTCGCCATCTTCAGCCTTATCTCAATTGGCCGTCTCAGTGAGAGAGCCCAGCCAAAGATGGTTCATCTCACTTTAGGCAGGTAAACTGAGGCAGAGAGCAGCGGGCCCTGACACCCAACCCTCATTTCCAGTGATCTCACTGGGGAGCTGCAGATTTGGGGCAGGGGGTGGGGCAGTTCTGTGACTGTGACTGAGGGTGGGTCACAGCCCCCATGCCCAGCAATCCAGAGCTTGGCCTGCCTGGCTGAGATGGCCCTCAGGGACTAGGGCCTTGGCCTGTGTCTGGGAGGAGCTGGGCAGGGGTCAGGGACTTGCCTTCAACCTTTAGTCTTATGGGACCATGGCAGAGAATCCCGGACAGCAGGGTTCTCAGCTCCTGGATGGAGATGGTCGGAGGAGGGATGGAATTTCCAGAAGGGTCTTCTATGGGACCCCTCCATTTTTGAGGCTGTTACACACCCTGACCCTCTAGCCCCAAACCTGAGAGCAGAGGTTCAGGCTGGGGGAATAGGGGACAAAGCAGAAGGGTGGGAGCTGAGTGGGGTGGTGGGGCTGGGCCAGCCCCAGTGTTTAGAGCCCAAAGCCCAGCCCCTACTGCTGCAGCTGTGGGCGGGGAATGGGAGGTAAACGTGTTGGGAGGAGTCCAGAGGAGAAGAGAAGGCAGTGGGTCGGAGGGCGTTGCAATCTCCTTCTGGAGTTTCCTGTGACGAGGGCCTGGGCCTGAGCTAATCACTGGGCTCCTGTCCCTTTTTCCCCTCTCCACACGCCAGTGAGCCAGAGCCCACTTGGCCCACAGCAATACATTTTATTCACCAAACGTATAGCGGAGGGGCCAGCAGTCCCAGTCCAGCCTGGGAGGAACCAGTTATAAGGGGCTAGAGGGACTTTTGTAGGATGCCCAGGGTTGGGGAGTCGTGGGGAGCCTGGGGTGGAGGCCAGCACAGGGCCTTACTAGCTCTGTGACCCTGGGGAGGACACTTAACCACGTCTCAAGATGATCCCAGCTGTTTGGAGTGAGAGGCCCAGGGGAGGCAGTGTGGGCTGGGGGAAAACCCAGCCAGACTGCGAGTCCAGGGCCAGAGTCTCTCTGGGCCTTGGTTTCTCCATCTGGAGGGTTGGAGGGTTCTTTGAGATATGAGACAGGAAACTCAGAGGTAAGGGCTGATGTTGGAGATCCTTATAGATCAGGGGCCTCAGGTTGCTTAGCCTGGCATCCCCCCAGAGTAGGCCCAGGGGGCTCTGAGCTGCCTCTCAATCCAGCTGGCAAGTACCCGTTACCTGCTGAAGGTAGGGTCTGGGAGGGGCATGTTGCAGGGACACAGCCCCCGGCCTCCCTTCCCCACCCTTCTCCTGGCACCTGCAGCCCTGGCACCGAGCTGCCTGCTGGTGAGCCCACGAAGGAACCAACAGCTTTGCTGCTCCTCAGATCTCCCATTCCCTCCACTTGCTTTAAAATGACCATCTATGATTTCCATAGGACTTGAAGCCCCGTCACTTCATTCCGTGCTCAGAACAATTCCCATGAGGTAGGAACTGCTATTGTTCCTGTTTCCAGATGACACTAAAGCTCAAGAGAGGTTACGTGTCCTCCCCAGGATCTCAGAGCTAGTAAGGGCAAAGCAGGACTGGACCTCAGACCTTTGGACTCTAATTCTAAGCATTTCCATCATGAATTTCAGGTAATTACTATGTCCCATGTCATGTCCTGAGGCACCAGTCCTGGAGTGTCGAGAGACTCTTGTCCAAGGCACATACTTTGGTTGGGGAGCAATGCCCAACATAAAGTCCAGGAGGGAACAGAAAAGAGGGAACAAGAGTGATCAGGAGCCTCCTGGAGGACAGAGATGCTTGGGGAGAATTGGGAAACTGGGATTGGTAGAGAGAAGGGAAAGCATTCCAGCAGGGGGCAGCAGCTAGAGCACAGACTTGGAAAGTAAGAAGCTGCATGGAGCAGTGGTGTTGGGTGTTGGCGCCTAGTGGGTGCTCGATACATGTGTTGAATCATGAATGATGTATTGAATGGTGGTGTGGGGGACGGGGATCAAGGAACTTGGGGAGCTCAGATTGGCAAGAAAGACTGGGCTTGAATTTGTCCTTTATAGGCAAGAGGGAGCCGTGGAAGGCGTTGGAGCATGGGACTGACTTGGCAAAAGCCCAGTTGAGAAGTTTAAGTTGGCAGCCAGGGTTCCATCCAGGTGGTAGTTGAAGGAATGCAGATGTGAGGCAAGGGTGGGGCAGGGGTCCAGGGGACCCCTGGGACCCCAGCAGGTCCAGCCAGGGGCTCTGTAATAAAGCACAAGGGTCCATCTCTGGATCAGACTCATGCAAAGGCCCCTTCCAACCCAGGAGAGGCTCTGCTGTCTAGAAGAGGTACACCCCTTCTCCATGCTCCTGCCAAGCACTCCTCATCTAAAGACACCAGGCTCCCTCCACTGCCCCCTCCCCACTCAGGCAGACTCCTCCAGCCCCTAGTTCTGCAGGCCTTGGCTGAGAGGGGATCCAGAGTGGCCTCTGTGGGATGACATCACCGCCCACTGCCTGCCTGGCCTGCAAGTGGTTTCTCATCTGGATACCTGCTCGCAGCTCCCGCCCGCCCGGCTGCCCTGGCCAGGGAACACCCTAAGAGGCAGCTGCCAGAGGGAAGAGCTGGGAGCCTGCCTGTGCAACGGGAGGGAAGGGCAGCCAGAAGGACAGAGTGTCCGTGTGTCCATCCCACAGCCTTTGGAGCAGCTCCTGAGAGAGGCCATAGCCTGTCTGTGCTTTCCAATGCCTAGAGAATATTTCCTTAACTTTTCTACCTGTGTCCCAGAGAGTCAGCCTTCAGGAAGGTCAGGCCAATTTTCCAGGAAAGTGGTGGGGGGAAGGGGTGTGGGGGTGTGGATTTAACTCTGCTTTGAAACCCTGCCTCAGATTTTCTTGGCTTGGATTAAAATGAGCTGATGTCTGTCCACTCCCCAGCACCTCCTGCTCGTCCTCCAGGCATCTTCTGGCCACAAAGCTGGGGCTTCTTTCTCCTCCTTACCTCAGTTTCCCCATCTCCCCTTTCTCCCTTCGAGTTTGGCTCATTTTCCCATATTCCCATATCAGAGTCAAGGTATTCATATTGACACCACAAACCAATGAGTCCCTCTGTTCATCTTTCTGCCAGTTCACGCGTTTCACTGGTTCATTTCACACTTATTGAGTGCCTGCCACCTAACAGGCACTGTGGTCTGGTCAGTAGAGGTGGCAAGAGTCAACTAGAAACCCATACTCTAGGCCAGGCGTGGTGGCTTATGCCTATAATCCCAGCACTTTGGGAGGCCAAGGCGGGCAGATCACTTAAGGTCAGGAGTTCAAGGCCAGCCTAGCCAACATGGTGAAACTCCATCTCTACTAAAAAATACAAAAAAAAATTTAGCCAGGTATGGTGGTGGGCACCTGTAATCCCAGCTACTCGGGAGGCTGAGGCTGGAGAATTGCTTGAACCTGGGGGGCGGAGGTTGCAGTGAGCCGAGATTTTGCCACTGCACTCCAACCTGGGCGACAGAGCAAGACTCCGTCTCAAAAAAAAAAAAAAGAGAGAGAAAGAAACCCATACTCTAGTCTTTATTAAGCAGCCGCTGTGTCCCAGGTACCTGGGATGTAATGGGCCCTTCCCTAGGGACCAGGCGCCGGTGGCCCATTATAGGCCACATACAGTGCAGAAGTTAAGATCATAGGCAGTGGTGTCAGGTGGGCTTGGGTTCAATCCCAGCTGTGTGACCTTAGAGAATTCACTTACCCTCATGAGGCTTGCTTTGCCCATGCGTGAAACGGGGCCATCACAGGACCTACTGCATGGGGTTGCTCTGAGGATTGGACGAGGCAGCTCGATGCTGTTGGATGCCTCCAAGTCAGCACTGATGAAGGCTTGCTGTCACTATTGCTATGATCTGGCCATACTCAGGCCTTGCGGGCTCTCTAACCTGCCACAGAACTCTCTATTCTTGTTTGTTGCTGGAGCCTTTCTTTCCCACTCTTCTCATCCAGTGCCCCCACACTGGGAAAGGAGGCCCCATTTCTCGTAGGGCAGGGATGGCCCTTTTTGTGCCGGGTGCGCTTAAGAAGTGCTGTTGGCCACAGAGGCTCCAGGCATGGAACAGGCACTGCTGTTCCCCTAGGGGCACAGTGGGAGGTAGTCCGTCAGCGCAGCACCCGGCGCTGCCTCTGCCCAGCTGGCAGGGGCAGGCACAGAAGCTGGCATGCCTAAGTACAGAGGCGGGGCAGGCCCTACTGCCCGGCTGTTGGTTGCATTTCTGCCTGAAATACAATCCCGGCTTTAGCAGGGCTGCTCGGGACTGTGCACGTGCGAATGTATGTGGCACACTCAGCTGTGCAGGGTCCCTTCTGCTTCTCCAAAGGGCTGAGATGGGCCTGCAGGGCCCACACCTCATGGGAGAAAACTGCCGGGGGGCAGTGGGTTTCTTTCCCTGGAAGGAGGCCTCCCTTTGGGATTTCCTAGAGTTCTGTGGCCATTGCCGTCTGCCCTAGGTTGGAGGGAGCCTCCCCCTACAGAAGGACCCAAAGATCTAAGTAGTGCTTCTTGCACCTGGGTGCACACAAGCACCATAGGGACACAGGGGGGATGTCCAAAAACTACTCATGCCTGAGTCCCAGACCAAAGAAACCTGTCTCTCTGGAGCCCAGCATCAGTACTTTTAAAAAGCTCCCTGGGTGATTCTGTGCTTCCAAGTTGAGGATTACTGTGCTAGAAGAACCAGACTGATGGAAACAAATCAGAGGCAGTTATTCTGCAATGGAAAGACAGATGGGCTTGGGCCTGAACAAAATCATACTGAATGAATGTGATGCTCTTCATAGCAGCTGTGGGAGCTAGAGTCGTCTCTTGCCTGCTGTAGAGGGGCCTCTGGTTAGTCTTTTGTGAAATGGAAGATAAGGGGGATGTTGTGGGCATGAAATGGGGCGGTTAATGTGCCTGGCACATCACATTTGCCAAGTCAAACTCAGGCGTGTGGGGAATGTGGCTATAGGCTGAGGCACCAAGGGGGCTGTGTGGAACTTGGAGACCCTCAGCAATTTTTGTAGCCAGGCTAGTGACATGAAGCCCCCTAGCCTTCAAGGAGATTGGCAGACATATAGTTTATGCCAGTCGCAGTGGCCTATGCCTATAATCCCAGCACTTTGAGAGACTGAGGCGGGAGGATCACTTGAGCCCAGGAGTTCAAGACCAGCCTGGGCAACAAAGTGAGACCTCAGCTCTACAAAACATAAAAAAATTAGCCGGGTATGGTGGTGTGTGCCTTTGGTCCCAGCTACATGGGAGGCTGAGGTGGGAGGATTGCTTGAATCCAGGAGGTCAAGGCTGCAGTAAGCCATGATTGCACCACTGCATTCCAGCCTGGGCAACAAAGACCCTGTCTCAAAAAAAACAAAAGTATACTAGGAATTCCCTTTGGGCTGGGGGTGGTCTGAGAAGGCTTCCTGTAGGAGGTGACTAGTCCATTTCTGGCTAGTGGATCCTTTTCACTCCTAGCTAAAAGCACATCATAGGCCGGGCGCGGTGGCTCACGCCTGTAATCCCAGCACTTTGGGAGGCCGAGGCGGGTGGATCATGAGGTCAGGAGATCGAGACCATCCTGGCTAACAAGGTGAAACCCCGTCTCTACTAAAAATACAAAAAATTAGCCGGGCGCGGTGGCGGGCGCCTGTAGTCCCAGCTACTCGGGAGGCTGAGGCAGGAGAATGGCGTGAACCCGGGAAGCGGAGCTTGCAGTGAGCTGAGATTGCGCCACTGCAGTCCGCAGTCCGGCCTGGGCGACAGAGCGAGACTCCGTCTCAAAAAAAAAAAAAAAAAAAAAAAAGCACATCATATTTTAAGTGTCTTATCCCCCCCCGCCCCCCCCCCCGCCAATAATGGTGATGGGAAGAGTTGAAGTGCAGAGGTTTAAGCAGCATCCAGTGCCACTCAGCTAGGAAGCTAAAAGGGCACCCAGCCTGTCTGCCTTCCTGCCTGGTGCCTGCTTAGCAAATGTCGTGCTGGTCCAGTGGCTGAGGAGGACAGAGAAGCTGCTTGCTCCTGGGAGTCCACCTGCCCTCCCTCTGCTGCACCCAGCTTTTGACCCCTCAAGCCCCTCAAACTGCCGGGGCCTGACCACAAGCCCCGGCACTGAAAGGCAGAGAGAAACTGAGTCAGTCTCTGCAGCCAGAGGGCCCTCTCTGGAAGCAGGGCTGGGGGCAGGCCTGAGGCTGGTCCGACTGTACCCGGCCTGGGCTCGGTGGCAGCGCCTGGGTGAGCCCGAGGGGCAGGAACGGAGCGAACTTGAGGAAAAGTTGGCGGGGGGCGGGCTGGGCTCGCCAGCCGCTGGCGCGGGGACTTTCTTCTTGGGTTTCAAGTAAACAGTCTAGGCCTCCTCCCCCTCCCCTGCCTCCACCCCCGGCTCCTCATTCGACGGGTCTCATGTGTTTCTATTTAAGGGTTGCGAGTAAACCCCAGTGATTGGCGGCCTCAAACCCTCTTGACTCCTCGCCTGGGCCTGGGCCGTGGAGAAGCTCTCTCCCGCTCTCTCCTCTCCCTCTCCCGCCCGAGGGAGCAGGGCTGCCTTTTCTCTCGGGTTTGCAGGGGTTGGGGGCAGAGGCTGGAGCCTCCTGCTTGCCTTTCCTTTGCCTCTGGCCTCAGCCCTCATGGGCCGCCCACCCGCTGGCTCGCCGCCCTCCCCGATGCCCCTGCCGGCCCGAGAGGGAGGCCGGAGAGACCCCGTCGGCCCCAGGCCTCCCCGCAGGCTCCCTCATGCCGGGCTGTGACTAACTCATCGCAGCACAAGGCTTCTTTCTGAGCTTCCTTGGCCTCCGCCTCCGCTCTGCCTCTCTCTTTCCTCCTCCTCCTGCCCGTCCCCTCCCCGGCCCCCTGGCTCCCCATGTCCCCCGGACCCCGCGGTGCAGCGGGCCGGTCTGGGGCCTTGCTATATGGCCTGTCCTTGGCGCCCTGTGAGCTGCGAGCCCCGGCTGCGGGCTGCCCCTGGGAGCGGCGCTGGCGACAGAGCAGCCACCCCCGAGGAGGCCGATGGACAGGGGGCGCCCTGGCCGCGGGGCCATGGCTGGCCGCTGGCTCACCGCGTGCTTTCTGCCCTCGCCAGGTGCCGACGCCACCGCCGAGCCCATGATCCTGGAACAGTACGTGGTGGTGTCCAACTATAAGAAGCAGGAGAACTCGGAGCTGAGCCTCCAGGCCGGGGAGGTGGTGGATGTCATCGAGAAGAACGAGAGCGGTGAGTGCCCTGGCCAATGGCCGTCCACTGGGGTTCCGGTCTGGCCCCCGGGCCGAGCTGGTTTTTGTTCCTCCCTCCTCCCCCACCGCTGCAGCTATACGTTATTTCCATCTGGCAGAGAGAGGGCCGAGGCGGCTGAAGTTTCCCCCTGTTGGTTTGGGCTGCAGGCCAGCAGTTTGCCTGGTGGTGGAAGAATGTCTCCTTGCTCGGGGTAATTAACCAGCCTGTGTTAATTGCACGTTTCAGGCACAGCGCGGGAATAAATGGCCAGCCCTGCTGGGGTCCCCGTGCCCTCGGAGGCCCGTGGGGCAGGGTGCTCTCAGCTCAGGGATGCCCAGCAACAACCACGTTCTGAGCCAGGGTCCAGGGTCCAGGCAGGACAGCCCAGCCAGCTGGTGGGGAAGGCAGGCCCTGCTGTCACCATGGGGTCCAGGGTCCCCGGGTCGCTGGCAAGTTTGTGGAAGGGCCAGGCCTGCGGGCGTTGGTTGGGGTCTGGTTGGGGATCTGACTGCCCCCTGCCGAGCTGGAGGCCCCAGGACCTGGAAAGCAAGCGCAGTGAGGGGGATGCAGCCAGGCCTGGGCCAGGCAAGGTCCGGCACTGACAGGGGCCGTACTGACAGCTGCCCGGGGCAGCTGGTTCTCAGGGTGCCACGGAGGGGGCAAAGGTACCTTGGTGTCCCTGGCAGCAGGAGTCATGGCAGGTGAAGAGAGGAGAGCCCAAGCCTGTCAGTCCAGGCTTGTTCGGCCCCCAACAGGGCCAGGGCTGGGACTCGAGCCCAGGACATCCATCAGCCCACAGCCTCCCAGGGCTTGCATGGGTTTCTGGGGTGTTTTGTTTCAGTTTCGGTTTGCTGCAGGGAAGGCCCCTGTGCTCAGAGCCTCTCTGAGTGGTGTTTGGTGGATACTTCCAGAGGGGAGGAGCCTGTTCTCCTCTCCTAGTCCCACTCTATGCCTTGCCAGTGTTTAAACCCGGAAAGGAAAGGCAAAGCATAGGACAGCAGTGCCTGCTCCGTAGAGACAGGAATCGAGACACAGGGAGGTTGCGGGGAAGGGAGTCTCCTGAGATCCAAAGCAGAACCCTGTGCCTCCTGGTGGCCAGGAGCTGTGGAGATGCTAAGGAAATCCCAGTGGGCCTCCTGGGGGAGGTGGGTGCAGGCTCCTGCCACCAGTGGCTCCAGAGAACAGGGCTGTGATATGCGTATAGGGTCTGACTTGTGGCCCTCCTGCTCTGAGGTCTTCGAAGTGCCTGCTCCCCTCTCAGGTCAGACTGTGTCTGCCCTTGTGCCTGGAGTCATCACCAAGGTGGTCAGCAGTGACAGTCCTCCCTGGCAGAGCCATGTCCCTGCTGTGAGGCCTCAACCTTTCGTCCCAGGTGCCCACACTGGGCTCCTCCCTGGGCAGCTTTGTCCTCAGCCTTTGTCATGCTCATGGTGCCACGTCCCTGCCCGCAAAGTAAGCTAGCAATGTCATGGGGGTCTGGCTCTGGAAACCCCCAGTACCTGAAGACCCAAAGCAATGGATCTCTAATGGTGACATGGGAGACCTCAGGCGAGGGAGATGTTTGTTGTAGAGCTTGCATCAGGAAAGGTGGTTGGTTCTTCTCAGAACTTCTGGCTAGGGAAGTTCTGAGCAAACCAATGGTTCTCCCACCACGCCTGCCTGTCACACCATAGCCGTTTAACCCTTGAGCAGCAGGAGGTAGTGAGCCCCCATGTCTTTGGGGGCTGCCAGCCACTGGCCAGGATGGCTGAAGATGAGAGCACACAAGAGGAAGTCATCCTGCTGGAAGACTCCAGGATTCCCAGGGCATGTGCGCCCTCTCCCCTCCTATCCCATCTACAGGACCCTGGGACACTGGAGTCCTAGGATTGGGGGAAGGAGCCTTGACAAAGGGGGAGATGCCTGCTCTCCTGAGGAGCTGCTGATGGCTGTTAGAGGTGGCCCAGGCACCCCAGCTCCCCACGGCCACCCGTGGCCAGAGCAGGCCAGTCTGGCACGCAGACTGTGTGAGGGAGCTGCTGTTCTTAGAAGCCGCATTCTACCTGCCACTGCCTGCTGGGGGGCTTCATGTCCCTTAACTTCTCTGGGCTTCAGTTATTCCTTCCATAAAATGGAGATGACCTTGTGGCTGGTTGGAAGCAGGGGCTGGAGCAAATGACCTCCCTGAGCTCTCTCTCAGGTCTGAACTCCAAGGCTGGGAAACTTGGTGGGACTCAAGGTGTCGGGTAGAAAGAGTTTCCCTGAACATGGCTTTTCTACTTCTGGGAGTTTCGTATCTTTACCGTTGGTAGAGACAGCTGCTCAGCTGCAGATATTTGCACAGGACCTGCAGTGCTGTGCCTACCTATTCAAACCCGTCTGTTGCTATCTACTAGGAGGCCTGGAGTATACATCCAGCCTAACCAGAGAAATGAAGTGGGTGGAGGGGAGAAAGGAAGAGGGCCAAGCTGCAGATCTCTGGGATGGTCGCTTCCCAGTTCAGGGAAGCTGGAGGCCTGACGGTGGGGGAGAGGAGGCGTCTTGTGCAACCTGAAGGAGTGGTGAGTGAGGCTTTTGAACTCAGGAACAAAGACCCAATTGTGAAGCCTTTGACCTTGGGACACAGTGGGTGTGTTGAGGCATTTCCATTTGCGTTGTTGGGCAATGGCCCCAGCCAGCACCATCCCCACCTCCCTGGGCCTTGCCTTGCCCACAGGGTGCCAGGACTCTGCCTTTGTCCCCTCTCACTTGGCTGGGAGTGCCTCAAGTAGAGTGTCCACAGGGGGACCCAGCCACCTCTGGCTCTGCCTGCTCATCAGAGCCCCTCTGTGCTCTCATTGGTCTAAAGAGAGATGTGCATGGAAGGTGATTCTGAGTCAGTAAACACCAGGTGGCAGGCCACATGCTTCACATACATCATTCTTTTGGGATATCATGGAACAACACCATGCAGTAGAAGGGAGTTTAACCAATTTGTGGCTGAAGTAATAGGCTAAGAGGCTAAGTAATTGCCTTAGAGTCCAAGAGCTAAGATCTCTCCCCTCAACAGAGGTCATGCAGGGAGGCTGAGAATGGGCCCATCCCAGGTGGGAAGGGTAGAAGTCCAAGTTGGCAATGCTGTAGGTTGAGGCGAGATGCAGGCTGGGTGAGATGGCTGTAGAGCTCCCTGGAACATCTGTGGGGAAGGTTGTCTCTGCATCCCTCCTTCCAGCTAATGGGAATTCATGTTGTTCATTGATCCATTGAACTTAGGGACAAGAAACAGCTGAGAGGGTCTGAGGAAGGTGATGTGTACCTAGGACTGAGGACAAACCTGTTCCAGAGAACAGGAGTCAAACCCAAAGTGAGACTTGAATAGCTTTAAGGAAAGCATTTGTGATCAACCAGTGGGCCTAGGGCCAGACCAGAAGAGGACTCTTTTTCTCCATTGATATACAGGGACACATAGAGCAGGAAGATTCATAGCTTTGGTAGCTTTGCCACCCAGCAAGCCATACCAGGGCATGCAGCCGCCATTGTTACTTTGTCTTTGGAAACCCCTCTACCCTTGACATAAGCAAAAGTGCATAAGGCGCCTCCTCTTTAGGACATTCATTTGCCTCAAATACTGCATTGGCTTCCCTCTCCAGCAGGCATAATTTCTGGCAGCGTGGTGACATCAGGGTCCTGGTCACTCTGATTTGTGTGTTGAGCAAAGCTGCATCCAACTTCCTAGGATTGTTTCTTCTTAGGACTGCAGGCCAGGGGAAGAAGTGGGGAGATGAGTCAACAAAATTTTTCCTGCCTCACCTTTCTTCTCTGAGTCTTTGCTTACTTCCTGGCACCGGGCATGATACATTGGGAGTTCTTATACTTCCATGGAAGCAAGAAATTTTGAGCTCCTGGTCCATCATTTTTTTTACAAGTGAGAAAACCAAACCTTGGGAAGAATTTGAGAATTTTTACTCCCCTCTAGGGTCAATGCTTTAGTCCCAGTTGAGTTGTGAGCGGAGAACAGAAATTCACTCAGACTTTCTCAAGAGACTGTTGAAGCAATAAAGGAAAATCTCACCAAACCCAGGGGTGAGAAGTAAATCAGCCTTAGGAGGCTGGAACTGGGAACCAAAAGTCAGCACGAGCCAAAGCAGCTTCTCTGTCTCTCTTACTTACCATGTAGATTTTTTTTTTTTTTTTTTGAGATGGAGTTTCACTCTTGTTGCCCAGGCTGGAGTGCAGTGGCATGATCTCGGCTCACTGCAACCTCCACCTCCTGGGTCAAGCGATTCTCCTGCCTTAGCCTCCAAGTAGTTGGGATTACAGGCACCTGCTACCACGGCTGACTAATTTTTGTATTTTTAGTAGAGACAGGGTTTTACTATGTTGGCCAGGCTGGTCTCAAACTCCTTACCTCAGGTGATCCACCCGCCTCGGCCTCCCAAAGTGCTGGGATCACAGGCATGAGCCACCGCGCCCAGCTACCATGCAGATTTAAAGCACAGCTATGCTCTTCTAACTGTAGACCAGCCTGCCTTCTCCTCTCATCCGACCATGACAGCAGCTTGTTTGAGTGGCGTTGGTTTCTCAGGACCAGACTTGCATGACTTTTCAGTTGAGATCTCTCCCGACAACTGAGTTTGACCTCTGGTTCTCTGAGTTCAGAATTCGAAGTTTGAATCTGATTGTTTTCTCACCAGCAATGGATTGGCAAACGTTAGATCGGGTGTCCAGCCCTGGTCCAATAAGCTGTGTCCTGGAGAACCATCACAGAGTATAAACATGGTTACCTAACCAACCTCTTCAGCAGAGGCTGTTGGTGGGTAGGTTTTAAAGAAAAGTTACCCAAAAACATGGTGGCTACAGCCATTTTACTTGTTCAGTACCTGTGCATGTGGTGGAGAGGGTGAAGAATCCAGAATTCCAGTACGGGGTTTAAGATCTAAGTCTATATACTGTGTGATATAAGTAGAAATCAATTTGTTTTCTGATGGTTAAGAGGGGCTAGTGATACATACTACATGGGCTTTCTGTAAGGATGAAGTATACTGTATGTAGGAGTGGTTCATTTATTCACTCGTTTATTTCACCATTCTTGAATACTTGAATACTTTGTGCTAATTGTGTATACATCCATGAGGTTCCTGCCTTTATGGAGCTTAGAGTCTAATTGATGTGCTCATTCTGGTAGACTGTATTGTGAGCCTGGGATAGCCTTACAGACTTTGCTTGCTTTTTTTTTTTTTTTTTTTTTTTTTTAGACAGGGTCTTGCTCTGTCACCCAGGCTGGAGTGCAGTAGTGCAATCTCGGCTCACTGCAACCTCTGTCTCCCAGGATTAAGTGATTCTCCTGCGTCAGCCTCCCGAGTAACTGGGATTACAGGCGTGCACCACCATGCCTGCCTGATCTTTGTGTTTTCAGTAGAGATGGGGTTTTACCAAGTTGGTCAAGCTGGTCTTGAACTCCTGGCCTCAAATGATCCACCTACCTCGGCCTCCCAAAGTGCTGGGATTACAGGTGTGAGCCATCATGCCCAGCCTGCATTGTCTTAAACGGATTTTATGTGTATCTTCTACATCTTGCTTAGATTCTGTGCTTACTATGTAACCACCTGATTACTATTATAATTCAGACTTCCACATTCGCCTGCTCCTAGAAAAGAAGTGTCCCAACAAAGATAGGCTAGGCTGTTTCTAGAAGGGCAGGTTTATTGTAGTCTGCATTGCGGAAAACTGAACTAACATGCTTATTTCTGCAACAGTCTTTTAAGAGTTTGGCTCCAGTGAACCAGACTCCATTTAGATGTGGTGCCACAGAGGTGGTGCCTGGCCCCACGAGGTCCTGTCCCAGCCATCAGAAAGCCTTGTGCACTGACAGCCCTTCTCTTCAGAGTGCAGCCTGTGTGTGTGTTCTTGCTATATCAGGCTAATCAGCAGAGTCCCTTTTGGCCCAAGACGATCTCCAGTGTGCAGCCGTTACCCACTTCACAGAGCTGGCTGGAGGGGAAAGGGCCTGGGAGCATAAAGCCAGGAGCAGAGGCAGGCATGCTAGCCCAGTCTTGGGCCCTTCCACTCAGCTTTATTCACTCCAGGATCAAGATTATGTTGAGAAGGAGACTGCAGGATAGCCTAGCAGTTAGGAACATGGACTTCGTGTTAGAGAAGGCTGCTTTTCATCTTGATTTGGTTACTTCCTGTGCTGATCCTGGGGAAGTTTCTTGGGTCCTCTCAGCATCAGTTTCCTTACCTGTAAAATGGGGATAATTGTACCCACAGCTATAGGGTTGGTATATGCTAATTCTAAAGGAATTCAGGGCCAGGAATGGTGGCTTATGCCTGTAATCCCAAAACTTTGGGAGGTTGAGGTGGGAGGGTAACTTGAGGCCAGGAGTTCAAGTCCAGCCTGGGCAGCATAGTGAGGCCCTGTCTCTACAAATAATAGTAATAATAATAATAAAGACAAAAGAAAGTTAGTGCTTCATGCAGGGCCTGACACACAGTGGGTGCTCAATAAGTGACAGCCACTAGAAAGACCACTGATTGGGGCAGCTCTGCCACAGATCGACCCTGGGACCTGCAGGGGGCCAGTTTCTCTCTTGTGGCCTCAATTTCCCCCATCTGGTCATAGAACTGACTTGGTGGTATCTGAGGACTGTCACTCCTGAGGGTCTGTGAGGTGGCTATAGCAGCAGAGGGGTTTACTGTCAGGCAGTGAGGCCAGGACAACCCATTCTGGGGCCAGACTCACTCCCCTGGAGTTCTTGCTTGGGCAGTTATCCTTGTCCCAGCCTAATCAACAGAGTCCAGCAGGAAGAAGGGTTGGCGACACAAGTCAGGGTCCCATTGGTGGCCTCATGGGATTGGGGGCTTTCATGACAACCCCACGCTGATGGTCCCTCAGTAGCCCTGTTGCATGGTGCAGAGCTGAAGTGTCAGGGGTGAAGACAAGCATAGTCGAGAAGGCTTCCTGGAGGCATTGAGCAGGGCTGGGAGAATGAAGGGATTAGACAGGCAGAGCGAGGAGTACAGGGCGTGGTGGGGCTGCGACTGCAAAGCAGGCATGCATCTATGTGCCCCAAGCAGAAGAAAAGCGGGAGCTGGGCAGCAGGAGGTGGGAGGGTGGGGCCTCGGGAAGCTGGTGAGCCGGAGAACTCCCTGAGAAGGGTGAGCCTTGAGGCAAGCCCTCCGGGCTGTGTGGGGAGGAGGGTGGCAGGCACAGGTGTGGCAGGGGCTGGGCAGCTCTGCAAATAGTGCTTTCTTCCAGCTGGATCCACAGTGCCTATTGTCAGGGAGGCATCCAAGGGCTTGTCAATGCCAAGTGCTGCCAGCTACCTGCGTGGAGCCAGCTGCCAGGCAGGCAGGTGGGGCAGTGAGCATGGGGGTGCTCCCTCCACCATGCTGTCACCCTGCCCAGGTTGGACAGGCCTGGTGTCCAGTTGCTGTGGCCTGACTCTGTGGACCTACTGGCTCTGTGGACCTCTCATGTCCCAAACTCCTCCAAGGCCATTTTCCTTGAATAGTTATTTCTCAGCAAAATATATGGGTTAGTGGTGGCCTCGGTGTGGCATGCAGCCCTGGAAATCCCACAGAAGTGCCAGAGTGACAACCACTGCTCACCCGAGTTGTAGCCTCAGGGCAATACCTGGCCGCCTTCCCTTTGGGGGACAAACAGGTTTCTACTGACTGAGCCCATGAGCATCTCCAAAATGTTATTTTTCCAAGTTTGAACACCAAGGGGCCTGTGAAGCTGGTCTTCCGATGGCTGGTCGGTCGGTCATCAGTAAATCTGTACGAGCTGACTAAGTGTCAGGCTGGGATCCAGAAGTGACAGAGGCCAACAAAGCCCTCATGGGGCTCAAATATTGCGAAGAGACATGTGACAAGTAAACCAAGGAAGTAATTCTAGGTGTTGACAAGTACAAGTCAGGAAACAAGCAGGCGCTGTGGAGACGTCAGCAGCAGGGAGGGGGCAGGGGTGTGGTCAGGAAAGACACCACTGAGGTGTTGTTAAAGCTGGGGACAGGTGGGCCTTGGTGAATGCAGGGAACAGCAGAAGGCCCGCTGGTTCTGGGAGGGCAGGAGTGAGCAAGGGCAGAGACGGGTGCCGGGCCAAGGAGTATTATTCTAGGTACAGCTGTCACTGCCTGCCTACTCGAAGCCCCGCAGCGGAGCTGACAGAGGTGACTTGCCTCCTCTGACTCAGGTGTACCTTTGCACAGGTGTCCTGTGAGTGGGCAACCCTGGAGATCCTCTGCCTGCCCCCAACACACAGACACTGCCTTTGTCCTCAGTGGAAATGACAGGTCTCTCACCCCCCTCCCCGGCTGAAGTGCAGGGAAAAGATCACCCCACACATTTTCTCCACTGTTACGTAACAGATTTCAGCAAAGTGTAAAGCAAACACTTTCTGGGGAGTATAATTTTTCAGGACCTTGGGGAATTTGGGTTGGGAAATTGCCCCTTCCTCATTCTCTCCCCAGCTTATCCTGTGGCCATGTGATATTACACCCTTCAGCAGTTGGGTTTTCTGTAATTGTTCCGGTGGGAGTGGGGGATAGCTGCCCTCATCCCTCTCAGCATCTTTTCAGATTCCATAACCTCATCCTCTGGGTTTCCAGTGCTGACCTAGAATCCTGGCCTCATTGTGGGGGTGTAGCTGTGGTGACCCAGTTCACCCAGATGGCCTGCAAAGTCTGGGGGAGCCAGGGCTCAGCAGGACTCCCCATCCTGGGAGCTGAGCTGTGGAATCCCAGGAAACTGACGGAAGCTTCTGGCTCATAGAACCCCCGAGTTCATTTCCCTCTGAAATATGCCGTGCATGATTATCATTGGTTTTGTTTCATCCAACTGTCTTAGCCCCAGCTCCACACTCCCCTTCTTAGCTGGGCATCTCTCAGGCTCCGGCTAAAGTTCGTTTGCCTCCCCTGAGTTTTTATTGGATCGGATTGTGGGGAAGTGGCCCAGGAGCACCATGGGAAATGAGCAAAGGCCAAACTCAGAGTAAGTTTGCCAAGGACTGTCCATAAAGCAAGTGAACTGTGGGTGGGTTTTGAGACTGGTGTGCGATAGCAGATCCCTCTCTCCTCTTGTGACGGGGCCCGTTGGCAGTGCCACAGGTTGCCCTGGGATCCCCATGTCCTGGAAAGCTCTAAGGACAGTGGCCAGAAGCCTGCATGTTCTGTTCTTCCACACTCCTGCCAGGAGGGTTATTGGGGAGGTCAAGGCCACCTGGAGAGATGCCTGCTCGTGCTAGCTAAGAGGGGGGGATTTTGGACTTTTTTAAAGGTGATCTCTTTCTGAATCACAGTATTTTATGTTTTACAAGATATAAAACCATGCAGTCTATAAAACATCTTGGCAAGAGGCAGGATGGATGTTGGCATTCTGTCTTTCCAAGGAGGAAGTTGAAGCCCAGAGAGGTGAAGTGACTTGCCCCAAGGTTGCACAGCTGGGAGGTGGGGCATGAGCTTCAGTCACTGCCATTTGACCAGGGTTTGGAGATCTGGATATTTGCATTGTAGATTTCACTTCTTTGCAAAGCCAAACTCCAGAGTGCTTCACCACATGAGTTCCCTGGCCACAGAGCACAGGAAAGCAGCGGTCAGTTGTGCTAAAGCCCCACTGGGGCAGGAGAAAGGCCAGGGGCAGCAGGTCAGAGGGAATCTGAAAGGGAAGAGAAGCATGTTGACTCTTTTCCCACAAGAGAGTTGCACGAGCATTCCCACCTTTGGCTTACCAGGTCCTTGGGGAGGGGCTGGTCTGTGTGGGTAGGTCAGTCTGCTTACCTGGTGGGCAGCACCAAGGGTGTGAGGTGTGTAGCTGTGGGGACCCAGCTGCCGGGAGGCTGGTCAGCACTCCAGCCTACAGTGCCTTCTTCTTTCCACTATGCAGACCCATCCTGGCCACTCCCCCAAACACAAACCCCCTAAGGAAGACCTGCCACCTGCCACCCTCTCTCCTTCCGCACCCCTACCCCAGCATTCATCACATCTCAGCCCTCAGTGAAATCCTATATGCAGGGGCTGCTTCCATAGGATGTGGTTTGCTCATTCAGTCAACAAACATGAGCATCTACTGTGTGCCCTGTGGCATGGCCAGCACTGGGGTGCACGTGGACAAGAGGCAGCTGTCCCTGTCTTCCCATTGCTGAAGGTGACAGCATCCTAGGGCTGTCTCTTTACCTGCAAGGTAAAAAGCCCAGGTGTAGTGAGTCAGTCATTTTCACTCTGCACCTACAGTGTGCAAGGCAGAAAGCAAAGTGTGGCTGAGGACTGGAGCTAGGACTCAATCTGCTCTGGGCACCGTGAGCTTTCATGAATACTGTCAAGTTTGCTCAGAGACAGGGACAGGGCCTGGACTGGGTGGGTCCAGAAGGCCTACTTCTGGAGAAGGTAGGCCTTGAACAAGGGGCAGGCCCCAGGTGGCTGGCAAAGCTGAAGGAGGAAGGTGCTCCAAGCAGAGTGAACCTGAATGATGCATGTGGAGGTGTGGAGGGTGAAGTGGACAGGTGGACAGGTGTGATCCAGCCACAGTGCCTGGGGGCTGCCTGAGAGAAGCTGGAGGAACTGGTCAAGGGCTTTGAAGGGCCTTAAATATAGACAAAGAGAGCTTTTCCTCTGTTCTTCCCCATTGCGCTGAGGGGCTGAGGGATAGCGGAGGCCTGGAAAAGTGAAGCCACGTGCCCAGCATCATAGTGAGTTTGAGGCAGGGCTGTGGCACATCTGTGGGCTGCTGGTGCAGTGGTGGCTGTCTCTGAGGTCCCAGGAGGACTGGGGAGTGATGCGGCAGGTGCCAGGTGAGGGGAGGAGGGGGAGCAGGGCTCTCCAGCTGCTGCCGCTGCTGAGCTGCTGCCGCTGCTGAGCTGCTGCTCACCTGGCCTGGGCCCTTCCGCCTGTTACTAGGGCTAGAGCCTGGAGCCAGGCAAAGGCACCTCCCCATCCCTGTGCATTTAAAGAGCCTGTTTTTCTAACTCCCCTCTCCTCTCCCCACAAGATCAGCTTCACGTGCCCCAACTGGAGAATGCAAACTCCCCCATCTAGCAAGGCTTCTGGGGGCCAGTGTCAGGCTGGGAAGGATGCATGGTGTGCTCCAGGGAAGGTGGGGCTGCCCTACAGCTGGCTGAGTCCCCCCTCAGGTCCAGAGGCTCTGCCTCCTCAGCCCCTTGTGTTCCTCCCTTCCCCCAGGAAGGGGGTGAGGTTGCTGTTGAGGTTGGCCAGGCATCCAGCTCTGGTGTTTCTGGACATGATGTCTTTCTCTTTTGTTTTCTGTACTTTTAAGCGGCATTCTCACAGGCCCCAGCCTTCTCTCTGCTCAGCGTGCTCACCATCTTTTGATTACAGCAGCATCTTGAGCTGCTGCGATCAGGGGTAGCATACAGGTTGGCAAGGATACAAGGCTTGGGGTCTTGCGCTTGAGACTGCAAGCCAGCACCTGAAGCACTGGCTACTTGAGTCTCCCATGCCTGGTTTGGCCAAATGACCTTTCTGTGCACTGGTGGGGCTTTCTGCCAGTTCTAGACACTCACTTCTTGCTCGAGGCATTGGGTCAAGGAATAGCCACTTGGCATGGTGCTCAGAGTGTCATGTTAATGGGCAGAGCAGTGGCGTGCCATCGAGGGAGGAAGGCCAGGCTTTGCGTAAGAGGAGCTTGGTCAACCCAGACTCTAAGCTCAGCCACCAAACAGCCAAGTGACCTCAGGCAAGCCACTTCACCTCTCTGAGCACCGGCTTTGCTCATCCACAGCATGGAGGGGTGATTAGGAGTGGAGACAGTGGCCATGGTTGCTTTCCAGATACCAAGCTTCCCCATTCCCCTGACGACTGTGCTGTTACCAAGCTGGGCAAGAAGCCCACTTTATCTCTGCAGTTCTGGAGCTCCTAAGATTCCATCTTACCCCTAGGGACCTGAAAACGGGCCAGTTTCAGCTCAGAGGGAGCAGGCGAGGGGAATTTGACCATGTTGGCAAGCCTTCAGCCAGCTCTTCCCCGCAGCCAAATGGGTCACTGGCTACAAACGTCTTTGGGTTTGTAATGATGATCACAGGGATCGTGGACTCCTGAACACCTTTGGAATGGGCTTTGTGCAGCCAAATGCATCACAGATTAAATTTCTGGAGAAGGAACAGCTGAGACATAGTCTTGAGCTTCCCTGAGCCACTTCTGTACTATGGCAGCCAAAGGGTGTGCACACGCACGCGAGGGGGCACGTGCATTTTCTCCCCTGACAAAAGGGTGGGAGGTGGGGCAGGAGCAAAAGACGATCTGATCTTGCAATTTGCAATAGCCAGTGGGCCAGCTGGTGCTTCTCGTGGTTTTTAGGATAGTGCCGGGAACAGAAAGAATATGATGAATGTCATGGAATTTCATGATAGGAGTTTGGGGTGGCTTCCCCTCCTTTTTAAAATAATGTTTTGAAAAGTTGCCCTGGAGAACTGCTGAAAGCAGAGAGGCTGATGGACGTTTTTGGTTATGTCAGATGAGGACAAGATTATCCAAGTGAGCGAGGGTGTCTCTCCCTGTCGGCTGGGCTGCGGGGTTCCAGGGCCGCCCTGCCAGAAAGCAAGCAAAGGGCCCGTAATCACAAACAGGCTGGGATCAGTTACAACCAGAAGTATTACTTTAGACTCTTGGCTTTGATGGGGAAGAATGCAGTTTTCCTTGGCCCCCTCCCCCGTCCTTCTCAAGTTAAACAAGAGCCATGAAAGCAATAGCTCTGGCGCTTAAAGAGAGGCTTGGTGCAGGGATCTCAAAAGCCAAACATTGGAGGGCTCCCCTGACCCCCACTGGTATCGGGGTAGGGATTTGCCTGACCCTTTTACTACCCCATTTCTTCTTGTGTGCACTGGGGAATCCTGTTTTTCCATACTCTTTCTTGTCTACCTGGGCCCTTCTCATCGCCTCACCTGTGTCGTGCCCACCAGCCCGTGTCCTGGCATTCTCTGAGTGCTTGCCATGCATCTTTCCTGCGTGGATATGTGGGTGGGAAGGAAGTCGGGCAGGGATAGCAAAGAAGTGGCTAGCACGTTGGAGCAGACCTTAACCAGCTCCTGAAGATAACAGAATAGGAGATTCTCATCCCTCCGGGCTCCAACCCACCCCTAGGGGACCCTCTTCTCCTCCCCTCCCCCTGCCTTAACCAGTGCCTCCTGGGCAAGCATCTGATTGACTCTTTCGTGCTTGGGCATGAACGACGCTGCTCCGGAGCACTGGCATTATGTGGAGTGTGCTTTCCCCAGCATTGATAACCGGAGCAGAACCAGGGTGGCTTGAACCTCATTGCCCACAGGGTGGGATTTTAACTGGCTGCTCCTTGTAGGAGAGAGAGGATAGTTACCTCGGCACCTGGGCTTTGCATGGGGAGAATGAGCATCCAGGGTTCCTGTCTCGCTGGCTCCCTCAGGAGAATTTAACCCTGTTCTTCTGTTTCCAAGCACCATGTGCAAGCACCAAGTGAGGCTCCATGTCCCAGGCCTGACTGCACAACCAGACACAAACTTGCCTCCTTGGATTTAAAGGGCCTCTACATTCAGTGGAGCTAGAGCATCTTGTTGGTGCTCATGTGCCAGGTGAGAGGAGCATTTGGACCTCAGGGGCCTGACCTGCCCTCCACACCCTGGTCTCTCCACTCCCAGGAGGTCATCCTACCACCTCAAGGCCCTTGAAGGAGAAAATCCATTCTAGAAGTGGTTCCAGGGTAAGGGGCTGGGTGGAATCATAGCCAGGTTGGGCAGGAACTCTGACCCAGAGACAGGACAGTGAGATTTGAGGGACGGAGACATCCAAATCCAATCTAAGGGCTATGCCAGAGCTGGGGAGCTGGAGCTGATGCCATGATATTGCAGTATTGCCCGCTTCCTGGGGAGTGAAGCTGTGGCTCCTCATGGGTGACAGCTGGGACTCATTGGGGGTATCTTGGCCTGCCACAGCCAGGGTATATTTAAAGGGGCAAAATAATCCCCTACCTCCATCCCCCCACCCCTGACTACTATTATCTGACTCCGTCTAGACCTCCCCATAGAGGCCTCCCTCCAAGGGAGGTGGTTGGAGGACCCCATGGAGGCTGGGAGATGGCAGTGTGGCAGGCAGGCCAGGTCAGTGACTTCCCCCAGCTTTCTACCCATCTCTCTGCCCTCAGGTACTTGGATCTTCCTGTTAAACAGTGGTAGAATATTGATCAAAGGCTGGGCCTTATTCAGAGCGGAGAAAACCAGAACCCAGCAACCAAGCAAGGGTATAGTCAGGAGCTAGAGATCAGACATTTGTTCATTCAATTCACTCATTCCCCAGCCTTTATCTCCTGCTGTATGCCAGGCACTGATGCACAGAGGTGAACAGGAAAGACTTGATCTCCATCTTTATGGAGCAGACAGTCTACAGGGGACACATACAGTTGCCCGCTCTGACCCAGCTGAGGGGACTGTGGTTGCTGGTTGGTTGTGGGACAAGGTGGTTGGCTCTCTGCAGGCCTCTCCCCTGTGGGTGCTGGGGGTGGGAGGCACCAGAGATTGACAGGTCAGTGTGGGAAGAGCTGTATCACTCACTGGTACTCATGGGTGTCAGTCACCACTGCCTGACCAGTCACTGTAACTGTGGCGAGTCTCTAGAATGAGAAACCTGGTCTGGGCCAGTGTTGTGGGGTATCTGGACTAGGGGAGTATCTGGTTTGAGTGTGGCCTTTTCTCCTTGGATTGGGGTGGGATCCGTACTAGACCAATTCTTGGGAACCAAGAAGACAAGATGGTTCCCAGAGGCAAAAGAGACAGGAAGGGAATGGGGCAGGAAGCCGCTCAGTGAGAGAACCTAATCCTAGGTCACCACAAACCTAGCTGAGGCCCCAGGATGGTTATCCCAGGACAAGGGGATTTAGGGCTCAAGTTAGACCCATTTGCTGCTTTCTGGAGACTTAATATCAGAAACCGATGAAACTGATGGGAAAGACAAGAAAGAGATTATTAAAGCACCTCCTATATGTCAGGCAGGGAACGAAACACCTTTTTTCTTATAATTATCACCACTGCCCTGTAAAGTATGGGTATTGTGATGCCTATTTTACAGTTAAGAAGGCCAAGGGCCAGACGGTTCAGGTCATCCACAGTTCTCCCCTGTACACTCTGCTGCCTCTTGGTGAATCCACTGGAGGCTTGTGCCATGGTTGTGGAGCTATTTTTGGTATGCCTCTCTCCCCACTGTCCTCTGGGAGTTGGGGCAAACAGGTCTCTGGGGCTGCCCATTCCAGTGCCCTGAGTTGCACCCAGGAGGACTTTGTTTGTGGTCCCTGGATGAGAGGCAGTGCCACCAAGATTCCCAGTAGAGGCCTGCAAACAACCTGTGGGGCTGCCTTGAATGGGCTTGGGAGATGCTGCTAGTGGCACCCCCTGCATTCCTCCAGGAATGTCGGCCCGTTCCTGGTGATTAGCCTGTGGGGCCTCCCTGAGCTTTGATCTTCCATTCCTGTAAGCGGAGAGGCCCAGATGGAAATGGCCGGGTCAGGTATCCAAGCAGACTACATGAGCTGTCAGGACTGGAAGTATTAGCTCACTGGATGATCCTGGGCAAATTATGCAACAAGCAACAAAAACCTCTGTGCCTTGGGTCCTTGAAGACAGATCCTCCTGGGTAAGCTAGAGATGCTTGCTGTGGGTCGAAGTCATTTCCCCAAATTGGGGAACTGGAAGAAGGAACATTGCCCAGAGGCTGAGTCACCGCACAGGATTCTAGCAGAGCAGAAGTTGCGGGGGCCGGCAGGAAGACAGCTGGAGAGAAGATGCCCAGTGCTGATCCCGCATTGGCCCCAGGAGCTGGGCTTCAGAGAGTCTGAGCTTGTCAGGATGCCAAGATGAGCAAGATTCGGCCTATGTCCTCAGAGAGCTCTTGGTCTAGCTGGGGGACTGGCCAACCCAAACCTAAGGTCAAGGTGATGGGGGAGCCTTGAGTTAGGAGAGCAGAACGCTGGCTGGCAGGGGAGTCAGGGGAACATCACAAAGTTAGTGGCTTTGAAGGACGGGGCCTGGGTACTACAGCAATGAATCAAAGACATCAACACATTTGGGGGCTTCTGAACCCTGCTGCATGTGCATTCAAAAAGCAAGACGGGGTACTTCTCCCAGGCCCCAAGAAAGGCTTCGAATCCTACTCTGCCACTGAATAGCCACTCTGTGGCCAGCATGTGGCCATTCTGCTCCTCAGTTTCCATATCTGTAACATGAGGATAATATTGGAAACCCATGTGGCTATTGGGAAAGGCCAGCTGTGAAAGAAAATTGTCAAGTGGCATATTCACCCTCCTATCCTTTTCTCTGATGGACAGGGATGGGCTACCATCCAGTTTAGGCAGTAAGTTCTACTGGGGATAGTTAGGAGTCCGTCGGGTTTCTGAAATGGCTTAGAATAGTAACCCCTCTGCCCCCACCAGCCTATAGCCTGGAGACTTTTTTTTTTTTTTTTTTTGAGACTTGGTCTCACTCTGTCGCCCAGGCTAGAGTACAGTGGCATGATCACGGCTCATTGCAGCTATGACCTCCTGGGCTCAAGTGATCCTCCCACCTCAGCCCCCGAGTAGCTGGGACCACAGGTGCGTACCACTATGCCCCGCTAAATTTTTTAAACTACATTTTTAGTAGAGACAAGGTTTCACCATGTTTTCCAGGCTGGTCTTGAACACCTGGACTCAAACGATCTGCCCACCTCGGCCTCCCAAAGTGCTGGGATTACAGGTGTGAGCCACCGCACCTGGCCTATCCTTTTCAAAGCATTTTTCTCATCTATTATCTCAGAGTAACTCTCTAAGGGTAAGTAGGGCAGGTGGCTTTGTTTCCATTTTTCAAAGGAAACAGTTGAGACCTCAGAGCTTGCTTGTGGCCAGGCTTGGATTTGAACCAAGGTTCGGCAGATTCTTTTTTTTTTTTTTTTTTTTTTTTTGGGATGGAGCCTCGCTCTGTCGCCCAGGCTGGAGTGCAGTGGTGCAATCTCAGCCCACTGCAAGCTCCATGTCCGTGGTTCACACCATTCTCTTACCTCAGCCTCCCCAGTAGCTGGGACTACAGGTGGAGGCCACCACGCCCTGCTAATTTTTTTTTGTATTTTTTAGTAGAGATGGGGTTTCACCCTGTTAGCCAGGATAGTCTCGATCTCCTGACCTCGTGATCCGCCCGCCTCGGCCTCCCAAAGTGCTGGGATTACAGGCGTGAGCCACCGCGCCTGGCCTGGTCTGCAGATTCTTTACCCCAAGCTTCACCTGAAGAAGATCAGTGGTTCCCCGAGAGTGGGTCGTGCAAACATGTGCTGGGCGGACACAGCATTGAGTGGCATTGAATCTCGTCATGAGAAGTTTCTTTCCTTTCAGTTCTCTTTCACTCCACATTGGGTCAAGGGGAGAATCTCCATTTGGGGCTCCTGTGCTGTTAACATCTGTCAGACGCTGGCTGATGTCATTTGTTTGTTTGACCAAGAGCAAATCTGACCCAGGCTTAGAATCTTGCTAGAACTTGCCTTGCTCTCTTGTTGAACTTCATGGCATTGTTTCATTGTATGTGTTTTTCCGGAATCTCCCGTCTATACCTAGGAATGCTGGTTTTCCATCCACTGTAGCATAGGAAAATGTCTTTTTGAAATACATGTTTAAGTTTTAAAAAATAAAGTCAACTTAAATAAACACACTAAGATGACACTAGTGTAGGTGTTACTCAGGTTCATTGGTTCACCTGGCCGGAGGGCTTGGGGAATGCAGAGTTAAACGACCCCAAGTGGGACTCTGTCTCTTAGGCACCTAGGGTGCCCTCTGCCTCTTGTCTCCTAGGGTGACACCAGTGGCTCCCAAATTCCAACTGGGAAAGGAGCCTGGAAAAGCATCGGCATTCGTGGTGGCTGCTCCCCACACCAAGTAGAAGAATCCACGTTGTCAGAGAGCTGCTAACGTCAGGCGGTACTGGATTTTTGCAAGCCCTCTATTTAAAATTCCCCAGAAATTAAATAAGGAGGCTTTGGAGGGAGGAATGCCCTAGACAAATTGTGGAGTGGGTTTGTTTTGTTTATGGAGATGGTCTTTAAAGTCTAAATTGTCCCCGTTTTATTTTTGCCCAATTGAAGAGGGGCTGAACTCAGCTGGGAGGGAGGGGATGGTTGTCAGCCTACAGCTTTTAGTTGAAACCAAGTCCATTCTGGGGCCAAGAAGCTTCCATTTTTAGCAAAGAGAGAAAGGGGAAAAATATACAAACTCGTACATGTACGCATCTTAGGCACTGGAGTAAGCCAGTTAAATGGATAAGGATAATCTTTATATTTCAAGTGACCACAGCTCTCTTCTCCAGGCTGCAAATAGATCTATTAAGCACCAGGCACATTTCTGGGCACTTTCCATTCTTTTCTTTTCTTTTCTTTTTCTCCCCACAACACTGGTAGTAAATACATGCTGTTTCATATTCCCATCTCACCAATGAGAACTTAAGCCTCATTCTTCAGTCTCTTCCTTCAGCCAATCTGAAGGACCAGGCACCACACTAGTCTGACGTTGGCTTCCTAAAGCTGTAGTCCACCCAACACCATGATACAGGGGAGGATCTTAGGTGGCAGAGAGGCAATATCAATCCTTCTGCATCACACAGTGGGAAAAGTTTGTCTCATTGCAGTTCTCTTCCAAGCCTTCTGACTTATCTCAGTTTGATGTTCGATGATCTTTAACCCCTGTCTAGCAAATCTGTGTAGCAAAGAAAGAGCGGGCCACAGGCTCAGCCTCTTCATTTGTGGCACGGTTCAAATGTACTACATAGCTTTGTTTTCATCGTGTGTGCTTTTCTGGTTGGAGCCAGTGGTCCTCGTTGTTTATTCATGGTGGCAATCTGAAGTTTCCTTAGCAAATTTCTTTCTTGAAGTTAAAAAAAAAAAAAAAAGGCAAATTGCTTTAAATATACAGTCCATTTCCAGACTTATGATGGTGTGACTTACAATTTTTCAGCTTTATGATGGGTCATTGGGGGTATTAAGTACATTTTGAACTTGGGATATTGTCAACTTAACGATGGCTTTATCGGAACGTAACCCCACTGTAAGTCAAGGCACATCTGTATATGTTATATGAACCACAGTATATGTAATTCAAGGATATAGCAAAGGTTGTGTGTGGTGTGGAAATACCTGAGGTTTGGGGAAAGCAGATTCAGAGTCACTCTTGCCTGGCAAAGCCCTTGGGTGAGATCTCGTGCCAGAACGCTCTTTCAGCCTGGGTGTCCCTGCCTCGCCCTACCATGTGGGCTTAGAGGAGAGGCAACTTGGAGGCAAGCCTGAAAACCACCTCTCCATGAGGAGTGGGAAAAGCCACACCCTCGACTCTTCCAAGACTCAGGGCTTCGTAGACACCAGTGGAGTGGAGGAGAAGCAGATGAGGGACTGGGTTTCTTGGCTCATCTGTCAGATGGGAATTTGGGGCATAATAGAGCAGGCATTTGGGGCACTAATAGAGCAGGCATTGCTGGTTTCCTTCTGCAAGACAATGAACAGCTGAGCTGGAGTGGTTTTAAGGGTCGCTGAATGAATGCTGTACTGGGTATGAGACCTGAGTGCCAATCCTGGCACCTCCCCTTAGCCACACACTCCTTGGGTAAGTCTCCCATTCTGAGTTTCCTAAGGCAGCCTAAGATTTCACGGACCTGGGGACAGACTTCTGCCCCAAGACATACTGAACACATGGTCCTCAGAACTCCTTTCTCATCCTCACTGCCAGGAGGGGGACCTGCACAACTCAGGCTGCCTGGACCCTCCCAGCTTGCACCTAAGATTTTGGCGTCATGGTTGTTAAAATTGATATTGCCCTTCCATTTGCTCCAAAAAGTTTGAACAGTAAATTTTAAGATCCTCATACTAAGCCATGTCCTTTTGTCTCTCCATTTAAGACTTTGCATCTTGTCAGATTTGAGCTGTCATTACCATCTGTTCAGACCTCTTTTTTGGCTCCTAATCCTGGCACAGCTTTTGCTAAATGAGATCGTGCTGCCAGTACTGTGTCTCTGTCCTCATCCTGGGTTGATTAAAACATCCAACAGGACAGGTTCCCATTGGAGCCACTCCGTCCTGCTGGGTTGTGCCAGCCCTCGAGCTGTGGATCTGTCAGTGCTTCCCTGTAGCCCCCAGGGCCCTGGGGGATCATGAGGGACACAAGGGCCTGGAGGTCTCAGCTGTGACACATCCCGGGCCCACCAGTCCAGTAGCTCACTCACTGCCAGGCCCCCTTTCTTCCTGTTGCACCCTTCTGACCGACACTGCCTGGGTGAGTGTGCAGAGCCCCTTCCCAGGCTCTCCCAGCATTCCTTAGGGAGTCCATGTTTTACTTAACCACGACCAGCATGAGGCTGCCCTTCTCTACTCTGGAATTCACCGCCTTCTTCTCTAAAAGCTGGGACCGTTGCCCATTTTGTGTCCTTGGGTGTTGCTCCCATCTCCATGTCTCCCACGATTGCTGATGATGACTGGAGGGCTCTTTGTCAAATGCTCTTGGGACCCTTCTCTGCGGCCAGCTGGTGAGAGTGCATTGAGGCAGCCTGTCCATGCTGTCCCTACCTCTGCCTGGGGTCTACTTACCCTCTGGGGATCCGTGTGCCAGGCTGAGACCCTTCCTTCTGAGAGCGAATGCTGAGCTGCAGACAGGAGCCCAGGAGACCCCTCCTCCCTGTGCCACACCCTCCTCAGGAAAGAGACTTAGCTCTTTCTTTTTTTTTTTTTAATTTTTTTAGATGGAGTCACGCTCTGTCACCCAGGCTACAGTGCAGTGGTGCGATCTTGGCTCACTGCAACCTCCACCTCCTGGGTACAAGCGATTCTCCTGCTTCAGCCTCCCAAGTGGCTGGGATTACAGGCATGTGCCACTACACCTGGCTAATTTTTGTATTTTTATTACAAACGGGGTTTCGCCATGTTGGCCAGACTGGTCTCGAACTCCTAACCTCAGGTGATCCGCCCGCCTCGGCCTCCCAAAATGCTGGGATTACAGGCGTGAGCCACTGTGCCTGGCCGACTTAGCCCTTTCTTACTCTTTCTCTTGCTGGAACAGCAGGGAAAACACCCTTTTTGTTCCCCTGAGCATGTCCTCAGGGCTCCACCTCTGAGAATGTAAGTGTCTTGACTGGATTCTTAGCAGGCCACCCCTTCCCGCCCCACTCTCCTTCCCTGACTGCCACTCTTCCATCATCTTCCATCGTCTTGCCTTTGACAGCAGGTCTCTCTCACCATCCACATCATTTACAGTTGTGACATTAGAGTTTACCTTCTTGCATCTTCCATCTTTCCTGAGCGCCTCATGTTTAGGAATCTGGGCACAGGCTCACACCTCTGTGCTCTGCTTAATAATGGCACTGAGAGAGGGCACCAGCTTGAGGTGAGTGCCTCATTTTCTTTTTTTCTTTTTTTTTTTTCTTTTTCTTTTTTTTTTTTTTTTTTAAGACGGAGTCTCGCTCTGTCGCCAGGCTGGAGTGCAGTGGCACGATCTTGGCTCACTGCAACCTCCGCTTCCCAGGTTCAAGCGATTCTCCTGCCTCAGCCTCCCAAGTAGCTGGGACTACAGGCACACGCCACCATGCCCAGCTAACTTTTGTATTTTTAATAGAGACAGGGTTTCACCATGTTGGTCAGGATGGTCTCAATCTCTTGACCTCGTGATCCACCTGCCTCAGCCTCCCAAAGTGCCAGGATTACAGGCATGAGCCACCATGCCCGGCCTTGAATGCCTCATTTTCATCTGGAATAATCCCCTATGAAGCCATTAGAGTGAGCCCATGCAGCCTGTCACTCTGAGGTTCAATTCAAGTCTCTTCTCCTCTAAGAATTCTTTTCTGCCTAGTCATTCTCATCTCTGGATATCTCTGGTTCCTTGGCAAGCATTGTATCACCCACCGCCATGTCCACTGCATGGGGCTGTCTGGGTCGCCCTGCCGCACCCAGCACAAGCAGTCTCGTGCCAAGTCCCCCTGCAAGCAGCCGCCCTTCTCATCCATCCACTGCTCTGCAGCTCCTGGAGAGGCCTCATGCCATCTTATAATCTCCACCTCAACCTGTCTCCGACCCCCACCCGTGCCAGGCACAGAATCAGACCCACATGTTTTCAGTAGAGACCTTCTGAGGTCAAGGGTAAATGACACTGACACCACGAGGGTCTCTCTCTCCCCCTGAAACTCCAGACACCCAAGACCTACCTGCTTCCCTGGCCATCCCTGGCCCCAGTCACCCAGGCGCATTGAGGTCTTGGTTCCTTCTTTAGAATTTCACTTCATGTCAGCGCTTTGCGACTTGTGCTCGTCTGAAGGCACTATTCTGATTCCAATCAGGCACTATTCTGAAGGCTTTTCAAGGATTAGCTCCTCTAATCCTCGTAACAACACTGAGATGTGGGTACTTTGGGTCGGTTTTGCAGATGAGAAAATTGAGGCAATTGCCCAAATTCATGCAGCTGGCAAGTAGCAGAGCTGGGCCTCAATCCCAGGCAGCCTGGCTCTGGCGCCCTCGCTGGAAACCATTCTCCGCTACCTGTCATTTAACCATGTGTCCCTCTCTGCCTGCGTTGCTTGTTAGTCAGGCCTCCTTCTGGGTGCCTCACCCATGACCTTGGTCTGCTCAGACACACCAGAGCCCTGTGGGCTTGGCGGGGACCCAGCCTAGCACTGGCTTCTGGGCCTGTTCGGTGAGGTGGGCAGGCTGGAGCTGAGTGGGAAGGTGGCAGCAGCCCAGGCTGTCTTGACACGGACTCCACGGAGCCTTCCAAATGGTGACGTAGCAGCCTGTGCTAATGGTCTTGGAATCCAGGCCCCAGGTGCCCAGGGGAGGTTCTGGGTCCCTGGTGGCCTCAGAGCCCGTCTAGGGGAGGGAAGGCCCTGGGCAACGGAGCAGGGTGGGCACAGGTAGGACCCGCTGAGTGGCTCATGAAGGCAGGGGCTGTGTGGGTGCACGCAGGAGGGACTGGAGGAGTTTCTCGCTCGCTCCTGTTTGCTTTGGACCATGGAGGCGCGTGTCTTGGCAAGAGCTGCAGTGACAGGGCTTTCTGACCAGGGGAGGCCTGGCCGAGGGTGGGCAGCCTTTCACTGGTCTTAAAGGCACAGCACTCGCAGACAGCCTGCATTTCCAGCTTCTCTGGTTCCACAAAGGCAGAAGCCTTAGCTCTGCCTGGAGGTCATGGGAAAGGGGTCAGGCTGGGTCCAGGACAGCAGCACTCACTTGGGCCCAGCCTTGTGCTGGGTGTGGTATGGGTAGGTAGGCAGCGCTGGTGCCATGCGCCTGGCCAGGATGCCCTCAGCCCTTTCTTCCTCTCAGTGTCTCCCCACCCGTCGCCACTTGGAGCTCGCAAATGCCCTATTCCCTTCTCCAAACCCGCACCAAGCAAAGAACTTGGAATGCCTAGGAAGATCACCCTTCCAAAGGGTCAAGGTCTGAGCTCAGGTTTAAATCATGAATAGAGGTGCTTTGAGAAGCAGGTCAGGGTGCTGGCTGAGGGTTCTGGAAGTGGGCTGCTGCTGTTCACCCACCCCGAGCCTATATGAGGAGGAGTTTGAGGCAGGGCCTGTCTTCCTCTTTTCCTAGCTCCACCATGCACCCTTCCCCACCTGGATACCAAAACCCTTACATAGGCCTGGGCATGGAATGAGTGCAGCCCACATTCTGAGCTCTGAATTACCTGGTGTTAAGCCAGATGTGAAGGACCAAGAGTAACTCACGGGGAAGGAAAACATGAAGCCTGGAAGTCATCTAAAGCCTCCTGGGTTTTTCCAAACTCCAAGCTCTGAGTCTCATCCTGCCTTGAAATCCTCTGGGTTTGTGCCCAGAGCCTGAAGCCCAGCCTTCTCCAGCAGGCCTCAGGGCCAGGGCACAGGCGGCAATCGAACCCCGCGTGTGCCATGCCTGGGTGATGGGGGAGTAGAGCATGAGTCCCGGATGCGTGTTGTTCACTGCAGTGTCCTCGTGCCTGGAACAGGACCTGGCCCGTACCAGGTGCTCGGGAAATACTTGCTGGTGAAAATCTCTGGGTATTGCATACACCATATGTTCCTGATGCCACTGGGCATCCCCAGGTACTTAGTATTACTCTGGTGTGCCAGTGAGGCTCAGAGAGGGCCAGTGACCTATCTCAGGTCACGCCAACAGTGAGTGGTAAAGCTAGGATCCTAACCGAGGTCTGTCTAGGAAGAAGGGATTAAGAAGCATCCTTGGGCTCAATCCTGGGCTGAACAGGGCTGGGAGGTTTGGGAGTCAGAGCGGGAGGACGAGAGGATTTCAGAGGGAGAGGAAGGAGTGGGGGGTCTCCCCTCCCCCCACCAGCTGTTTTGTCCTAGGCTGAGCTGTGACCTCAGAGGACTTAATTAACATCCTAATTGTGTGCAGCTGGCCTGACTCTGGCCCTAACGAGCTCATTATTCTCCCTCCTTAAGGAGGCCATTGTGGCCTAGTCACCCTGGGGACAGCAGTGGCCTGGGAGTGCCCGTCACTTCCTGCCGCCCTCAGTCAGGCTCCCCCATTCCTGGAGAGTCTAAGGCCCTGGTCCCTCTCCTGGCCTCTTGCTCTGTCTGGCTCACTCTTTCATTTCCCTCTGTCTCTCTGTGTATGTCAATCTGTGCCTCAGTTTCCATCTCTACTCTTTTTTTTTTTTTTTTCTTAAGATGGAGTCTCGCTCTGTCACCCAGGCTGGAGTGCAGTGGTACGATCTCGACTCACTGCAAGCTCCGCCTCTCAGGTTCATGCCATTCTCCTGCCTCAGCCTCCTGAGTAGCTGGGACTACAGGCGCCCGCCACCACGCCCGGCTAATTTTTTTGTATTTTCAGTAGAGACGGGGTTTCACTATGTTGGCCAGGCTGGCCTCAAATTCCTGGCCTCGTGATCCGCCTGCCTCGGCCTCCCAAAGTGCTGGGATTACAGGCCTGAGCCACCGCGCCCAGCTTCATCTCTACTCTTTCCCTCCCTCCTCTGGTGTC
Organism: Homo sapiens; assembly: GCF_000001405.40. Taxonomy (NCBI): domain Eukaryota; kingdom Metazoa; phylum Chordata; class Mammalia; order Primates; family Hominidae; genus Homo; species Homo sapiens. Next base: position 103,636,092 of record NC_000010.11, on the reverse strand, counting down.
AGCATCAGTCAATTTGAGAGAGATTTGAAATTGGCCAAACAGGTGGACTCTGCTGGGCCGGTTCACTGAAGATGCTTAGCCTGGATAGAGGGAGGACCTGGTGCTTGGGCCCCAGCTTTTCCCTCCCGGGGCTGGGACATCCTCCCTTCCCTGCCCTGAGCTGGAAGTGCTGGCCAGAACCCCCCATGTTGCTGCCTCCTCTCCTCAGCCCCTGGGTCATTGCAAAGTGGGTTGTTACTTAAGGCTCACAGAGCATGGCTGGCTGTAAATGCCAGGCTACATGTTCGTTCTTTCTGGGCCTCTGCCATCTGGAAAGGGCTGGGCCCTGGCACACAGACATGGCCCGATGGAAGGACAGGCCAGGGTGAGGCAGCTTTGGGGTATTGTCCAGTTTGGGATTCTCCTAAACAACTTCTCCGGTCTAGGGGTTTAGCCCTGAAAACCAGGGCTAGAGACTCCAGAATAAAGGTTTCTGCCACACACCGTGTGTACCTGGGGTCCTCTCTCAGGGTTCCTCTAAAACAGGCTGCAGTTTCCCATTCAAGGGAATGAGCATGGTAGCCCCTCCCCTGGCCCCTGTCTGGGAGGGGTCATCTCAGCATAAGGGCACTCCAGGCAAGAAGACCTGCCTAAGCAAGGCCCTGGCAGGCATCAAACGCCCTGGCGGGTATCAGAGGGCCTGACTGCCAGGCTGGGCTGAAGGGTGCACTAAGGGGTCTCCTAGCCAGCCCAGGCCCCTTGGGAGGGTCCCCACTATCTCTTGCTGCCACCAAGCTCCCTGCCCCACCTCCCAAAAGATCCTGCTTCCTTTGTACCTGGAAACCAGGGTTGACTTCTCAGGGAAGAAGCCAGGTGTGGCAGCCAGCCAGAGAACAGCTGCCCCGAACCTGGGCACAGATAGGGCCACTTTCTCAGTCCACTTCCTTCCATCCTTCTGAAACCCCTGAAGGTAGCCCTAAAACCCCAGCTTAGAGCAGATGCATAGGCACACGCCCACACACACTCAAGGCAGTTTCCCCAGATGAGTGAGTGCCTCCTGATGCCCTCAGGCTGCCCTCTGCTTGTGCACTGCACAGATGCCACCTGGCCACCCGTGGGTGCTGACCCTCTAGTGATTAACGACCACCGCCATGTGGATAATAGCTCAACCTAAGCTACCTCCCTGCAGTGTCTCCTTTATTCCCCTCAACAACCTCAGGAAATACGCTCCATTCATTCCTGTCATTACAAAGAGGGTGACTGAGACTCAGAAAGGTCTAGTAACTTTCCTCAGGTCACACAGCTAGGAAGCAGCAAGCCAGGACCTGACTTCGAGTCTTTCTGACTGAATACCCCTAATTACCTCTGTTCCCAGAGGACCCTCAGCTGTACACATTGACACCCAGGTACATGCAGGCTGGCATCTCTCCTCATGGTGTGCACATACAAGACACCTGCTCAGAGATGTGTCCATTCTCAAGTATCTGTGTAAAGTACCAATATTCAGGGACATACATTCTCAAGGAGTCACCTTATACTCGTGCATGCAACAGACCTGTACCTTATCCGCTGACAGTGGCTAAGAACCTGGGTTCTGCAGCTGGACTCCCTGGTTGTAAAGCCTAGAGTCCTCATCTGCAAAGTGGGATGGATGATGACAAGAACATTTATTTCTCAAGATCCTCGAAGTGTGAATAAAGTCATATATGTGGAGCAAGTGCCTAACACAGACCGCCCTGCTCAGTGTTCAGCTGTCAATGTGTGATACACACATGTGCAGACACGGCCTCGGTGCTATGTGCATATCATGTCCAAGCACACAGGGCCTTTCTCCTTGGCTCCAAAGGCCTCCTGATCCCATATCTGGGTCTCTTCTCCACTGGAGGCATCCTCTCCTCTTCTTCATTCTTGGGGAAGCCTTCCATGTAAGTCCTGCTCCTTTCCTTCCCCAGGAGCCAGGGATCCCGGATGGAGGATGGGTCTGCACTCACAGGCAGCTGGAAGCTCCCGGGGGCGGAGCAGGCCTGGCCTCCGCTCCTACCTCTGCCACACAGGCCTCAGCACACAAGGAGAGCTGGGCAAAACTTGCTATGGAGCCGAATGTACGGCACAGGGGCCCGCTGGGCAGGGCAGCATGATGGTCTGTATCTCAGATTGTGTGGGTGGCCCAGGGATGTGCCCAGGGTTGTCTCTGAGTTCTTCCCATCTCAACATCTCTGCTGCACCAGAAGCTTCTATGGTGGCTGGACCACATTAACTGCTGACCAGGAGCTCCTCACCCTAAGATATTTAATAGCAACTTAGGATCCTATTAGAATCCTATTCTCCCGCTGTGCCGTCAAGACTTGGAGCTGAGTCTTTTTTTTTTTTTTTTTTTTTTTTTTTTGAGACAGAATCTTGCTCCATCGCCTAGACTGGAGTGCTGTGGCATGATCTCGGCTCACTGAAATCTCCACCTCCCGGGTTCAAGCGATTCTCATGCCTCAGCCTCCCAAGTAGCTGGGATTACAGGCATCCGCCACCACACCTGGCTAATTTTTTTGTATTTTTAGTAGAGACACAGTTTTACCATGTTGGCCAGGCTGGTCTTGAACTCCTGACCTCAAGTGATCTGCCTGCCTCGGCCTTCCAAAGTGCTACAGGGATTACAGCCGTGAGCCACCACGCCCAGCGTTTTTTTGTTTTTGTTTTTGTTTTTCAGACAGAGTCTCACTCTGTCACCCAGGCTGGAGTGCAATGGCATGGTCTTGGCTCACTGCAACCTCCGGCTCCCGGGCTCAAGTGATTCTCATGCCTCAGCCTCCCCAGTAGCTGGGATTACAGGCATGGGCCACTACACCTGGCTAATTTTTGTATTTTTAGTAGAGACAGGGTTTCACTGTGTTGGCCAGGCTGGTCTCAAATTCCTGGCCTCAAGCAATCCGTCTGCCTGGATCCCAAAGTGCTGGGATTACAGGCTTGAGCCACTGCACCCAGCTGGGGCTGAGACTTTTATCCTCACCAGCCTGGGCTTGCCATGTCATCTCTAGCATGTGCAGAGTGGGGCTGTGTGGCTTCAGGTCTCAGGTCCTTCCTGTGTCAGACTCTGTTTTTGTTTTTTGGTTTTTTTTGGCCGGGGGGAGGTTTGTTCTTTTTGTTTCTGAGACAGAGTCTCGCTCTGTCGCCAGGCTGGAGTGCAGTGGCATGATCTCAGCTCACCGCAACCTCTACCTCCAGGTTCAAGCGATTCTCCTGCCTCAGCCTCTCGAGTTACTTGGGACTACAGGCACACATCACCATGCCCAGCTAATTTTTGTATTTTTAGTAGAGACGGGGTTTCACCATGTTGGCTGGGCTGGTCTCGATCTCTTGACCTTGTGATCTGCCCACCTTGGCCTCCCAAAGTGTTGGGATTACAGGTGTGAGCCACCGCGCCCGGCCCAGGCTCTGTTGATGCCAGGGGAGATGACAGCTGCAGAGAAGAGCCTGCCACTACCTTGGCTATGGGCACTCCACTGAGCAAAGATAGACAGGCTCAAATACCACCTAGGTGGGCACAGGTTAACATGAGCAGAGGCGCCCACCCCGACTCTATGCAGACCTCCAGGAACCCTGGCGTGAGTCACACTGTTGGGCCTCTTGGAAAGATTCCCTGCGCTGACCCCACCCATGGCTGCTGACAGGCCTCTGCCAGGTGCCAGCAGCTCAGACGTCAATTGTGGCAACCAGGGCTCCTGACCAAAGTCACTGGTGCACCACTGAGGAGCAAGCAAAACCTGAACCCCTGGATGTGGCTCAGCTCCCCAGAAGGGCTCAGGCATCAGCTAGTGAGCCCCGTGGGGCTTCCAGGCTCCCCTCCAATGCATGCAGAGGCACCGTTTTCTTTCCCACAGGATCTGAGAGTGCAGTGGTAGAGAGGAAGTGTGCTGGGGGAGGTGTGGACAAGGGTATGTGGTTGGTTTTTTTTTTAGGTGGGGTCTCGCTCTGTCACCTAGACTGGAGTGCAGTGGTATGATCACGGCTCACTGCAGCCTCAACCTCCCGTGCCCAAGCCATCCTCTCACCTCAGGCTCATAAGTAGCAGGGACCACAGACACATACCACCACCTAGGGTGGTTAGCGTGGGAAGTGTCAGGATGAGACATGGGAACCAGAACCGTGCGCTATTAACATTTTTTTTTAAGAGATGGGATCTCACTATGCTGCCCAGGCTGGTCTGGAACTCCTGGGCTCAAGCAGTCCTCCCACCTTGACCTCCCAAAGTGCTGGGATTACAGGCATGAGCCACCCCCACCTGACCGCTACTGACATTAGAACCTGCACCTGCGAAGCCATGTGAGAGCCTCAGCTTTCAAGAGCCTCCTGTAAGTGACTCCAAGTTGGGAATTGTGGTGACAGCTCTTTGGGATTCTTGGGGGTTACATCCTGGTAAGCAGAAATTTGGGGAGTGACCACATGCCCAGAATGGCTTGGTGGGCTCCGTCCTTCCCTCCTGAGGTCTGTGGCAGCAGGTGCCTGGTTGACTTTTGTTCCTCAGATTTGGCTCACGATGGGGGACCTTCAATCATGATCCTTAGTGATTGTTAGGGGTGGCATCAGCAAGGACTGTCTCTGTTCAAATGATTGAAACCCAGCTCCAGATACAGTAGTCCCCCCAACCATCTGCAGTTTTGCTTTCTATGGTTTCAGCTACCTGAGGTTAACCGTGGTCCGAAAATATTACAGTATTTTGAGAGAGAAAAACCACATTCACATAACTTTTATTACAGCATATTGTTATAATTGTTCTATTTTATTAATTATTGTTAATCTCCTGTGCCTAACTTGTAAATTTCTATTTATTATTAAATTTATAAATTATTTATTTATTTAGAGGCAGTCTTGCCCTGTCACCGAGGCTCCAGTGCAGTGGCACAATCATAGCTCACTGCAGCCTTAAACTCCTGGGCTCGACTGATCCTCCCACCTCAGCCTCCCAAGTAGATAGGACTACAGGTGTGTGCTACTACACACGGCTAATTTTAAAATTTTTGGTAGAGATAGGGTCTCACTTTGTTGCCTAGGCTGGTCTTGAACTCCTGGCCTTAAATGTATAAGTTAAACTTCTTCATAGGCATGTATGTATAGGAAAAAAATGTATATATAAGGGCTTGGTACCATCTGCAGTTTCAGGCATCCACTGGGGGTCTCGGAATGTATACCATGTGGATAAGGGGGATTACCGTAAGGTAAACGGTGCAGGAAGTTCGTTAACTCATTGCAGCTAGGAAGTCTAATGGGATGGCTTAGCTTTAGCACATCTGGAACCAGGAGCCCAAATGATGGAAATCAGGACTGAGTCACTTTCCATCTCCTTTTTATCTTTTTCCTTTTTTTTTTTTTTTTTTTTAAGAGAAGGGAGTAGGGGTCTTGCTATGTTGTCCAGGCTGAACTGGCCTCAAGTGACCCACCTTAGCCTCCCAAGCAGCTGACATTACAGGCACAAGCCAGCGCTTCTGGCTCTCTATCTCTTGACTCTGCTGCTGCTTTATTGACTTAATTCTCAGGCTTCTCACCCCATATGCCCCCTGCAATTCCTGAGTTTTGTGGGACTCAGGTTTTAGATCATCAAAGCACCCACGTTTGCTCCTAAAAAAGCCCCTGAGTGGCTTTGCTTGGAACCATCAACAGTGTCCAGAGAGATGACAGACTAATCAGGAGATGAGTGGCCAGATGTGCCCACATCTGTGGTAAAGGAGGCAGGGTCACATGACATGCAGCCCAGGGAGACAGGAAAGCCCTGCTCTGTGACCTCCAGCCAGCATCTGTGGGAGAACAGCTGGGACTGGTGCTTCCTGGCAGAGGCTGCTGGGGTTCCTGAGAGTACTCCCCCAGAAGCTCAAGAAGGGGGAAAAACATCCCAGGCAGAGCCCCTTGCAAAGTCCATGCCCTCTGGCTGTTTTGGGGCCTCCATCAGCCACAGCTTCTGAGCAACCAAACCATGGTGGCCTGGGCATCAGGGAGGATGGTGGTGCTGCTCCAGGCAGCCCTCTCAGTGCTCCATGCTGGGTTCAGAATGTGCAAGTGGCTGTGGGCAAGATGAGGGTGACCCCCAGCCACCTTCAGGCAAAAGGCAGGGGAATTGACATGCAAGCCTCAGTAATATTTTCCCAACCTGAATCAGGCAGAGGGAACGAAGGCAGGTATCCACTCCAGGCCCAGGGCAATGAGGCAGCTGAAATGCTCCCTGCATCCATTGCTGCTCCTCCCCTCCTCTCCCCAGGGGGACAGGCCTAGGCCCTTTGCCTCTGCTGGATGTCTCTGTAAAGGGTAGACAGGGAAAGGTTGTTGGGCATTCTCATGGAGACAGAGCCCTGGGACTCCTTGACTAGCTAGTGAAGGTTGGGCTTTTCCTGGGTCAAGGGAAGTAGACAGTGAAACCCCTTCCACCATGTCAACAAATGGGTCCTACTGGCTTTCCTCCCAATAGCCGAATGTGGAAGGAATGGCGCCTCTTGTTTATCCAAATGTCAGAACAGCCAAGGTGCAAGTAGAGGTCAGGTGGGGGCTCCCTAGGGGCCAAAGTCCACCTCCTCCAGCCTGACCTTGGCCCCAGTGTGGGCATCCCTTGCCCACTGTAGCTAGCTCTCAAGGGTACTGCATGCCCCAAGCATGGTCTGGACCCTTCCTGAGTTCCCATAATTACAAGCCACCTGGAAGCAGTCTCATCACCCAGAAGTTGAGTGAGTACAGATATCTGGTGCTCTAATAACCACTGAGCCCCAGAGGCCAGGGAAATGATGATAAATTTTAGTGGTGTGTCCAGAAGTCTCTGACCTGCCAGCGGCTGCTGCCCAGTCCCCAACTAGTGGGTTCCAGCACCTGCCTGTCACCACGAGCTGCTCAGTGACTTCAGCTATTCGCTCCTAAGAGGTACCTACCTTTTTCTGTGATCCAGAGAACTATCCAGCCTGCCGATGATGCCCACCTGCCCTCTTCCAGCCTCAGACCAATGTCCCCAGCGTAGGAGGTCTCAGGGGTAGAGAGTTTACCTGAGAATTGGTGTGGGTTTCTCACCCTGGAGATTGCCTGCCTATCCTGGTCCCACACAGGCAGCAGAGTGTAGGGGTTAGAGGCCAGCCTGCTTAGGCTCCAATCAAGGCTCTGCAGCCCCTCAGTGCCACAGTGTCTCATTCACCTATGTACGTGTTTATGAAATAAACGTGGCAGTAAGTGGCCCGGGCACGGACAGTCTGAGAAGTGGGCAATCTGGGAGACACAGGGTTTGGAGCAAGAGCAGGAGGTACAGGAATTGGACCAGTGGCATTGCTTCACCAGCAGTGGGGGCATATCCCCAGTTCTTCCTGACTCTGATGGCTTGTGACTCACTGGCCCAGGCTTCCTTTTTTCAGGTGTGTATGGGTTGTGTCATAAGAGAAGGTTGTGGTCTCCAGGGTTGGCAGAGCCTAGGGGAGGGAGATGGGCACAGGGAGCAAGAGGGCCTGACCGGGGGTTCTCCGGAAGTGATCCTGTTACCTCTCTTCTCTCACCCCAGGCAGAGAGGGACAGAATCTGTGGGCTGTCCAGGCAGCCCACAGGGCCCTGGATCATGGTGCTTGAGCCAGTAGCTCAGAGGTAACCCCTCTCCAGATAGGAGGACACCGAGACCGTAAAAGGGCAGTGACCCAACTGAGGCCCCTGAGCCACATAGGCCTGGACCTCAAGAGTCCAGACTCCTGGTCCAGGGCATTTCATGGGCTTTGCAGAGCTGCAAGCAGAGGGTTGTGGAACTCCCCAGAAAGGGTAGGAGACAGAGGGCATTCAGGACTAGACTGCTGGCTGTTTGCAAGCCCAGACCTGTCATGTGGGGCGGTGGGGACCTAGTTGAAGACCTGGGAGATGAGCTGGGGTTCTAAGTCCTTGAGGTCTTCCCGCGACTGTGCAGTGGTACCTGGCGGTTTTCCCCTCCTCTCCGTTGTTTTCACAGCAGCCATCACAGAGCCTTCTCTACCTCCCAGTGCTGAGCCCACCTGGAGGCACCCGAGAGCCTCCTCCCACCAACGTGCCTTCTAGATCCTTGGGCGGCCACTTGCCGCGGTGGATGGTGACGGGGCCTCCAGTGCTGCCCGGGGAGAAGCCTTGAGCTCTCCAGACAGGAAATGGAGAACTGGGCCATGAGCAGAAAAGAGAATCAGTACCAAATCACTTTTGG